>NC_000006.12:31878181-32181212 GCF_000001405.40 Homo sapiens
GCTCCCTGCTGTTTCTCCCCTCAGGCTTCACCCTTCACAGGAACCCCAGGGGCCCTGTCCCTATTCCTCAGAGTACCCCAAGACCAGCTCCTGCTCCTAGCTCCTCACAGAGACCCCTAGGCAGGACCCCAGCCCCCTTTCCACAAAGACCCTCAGCCCCAACTCCTCACAGGGACCCCCAGCAGAACCCACTCCCTCTGCCACTTCTCCCAGAGACCCTGGCAGGCAGAGGCCAGCCCACTCAGGGTCCCCTCACTCCTCAAGGGAGCCGGCAGACCACAAGCAGCTTTCGCCCTCAGAGACCCAGACTCCAGGCTGAACCTCCTCCTCCTTACAGGGACCCTGGCCTCACTGGTTGCAGGCTCTGCAGCACAGGACACTCCCAGCATCCAGCCCTATTCTGCTCAGGGCCCCAACCTGCCACCTTCCATCTCGGCTTTGTTTCCTAGGGCCCTGCCCTTAGGGACCCAGAGTCCAGGCCTGAAATACCCCCCTCCTCCCAAGGACCTCAGCCCCAACTCTTCAGAGGCACCCAGCTTCACTCCCCATGGGCTCCCCAGCAACAGCCCCAGCCCCCGGGCCCCATCCTCCTCCCAGGACCCTGACTCCCTCCCTCCATGGCTCCCGGTTCCCGGGCCCTCCCCTCAGGGACACAGTACTCTCCTTAGTTCCTCTCCCTGGAGCCAGCCCCAGACACCATTCCCAAAGTACCCGTCCTCCCCTCCCTCCACAGGGTCCCGGGCCTCGCCCCAGTCTCACCGTAGGCCTCGTCATCCTCGTCCCGCTGCTTTCCCCCCATGGCTCAGTCTCCGGAGTGATTGGAGCCCTGGAGACCTGGCGTCTCACCTGCTGCCCGCCCCGCCCTCCCACACGTCACAGCCCCACCCCCGCCTGTGGTCCCCGACACACTCTAGTTCCTTCTTCTCAACTTTGTGCCCAGCGGGCTGGGGAGCTGGAGCCTGGGACGGGGGCTCAGGGCTATTTCCTGGGGGCACTACGGACCACAGTGAACGACCTGGCATGCTCTGATAAGAAAACGCTTTATAATCTCGCCAACTACCTTAACTGCCGTACACTCCCAACACGCTCCCGCCAAAGATTAAAGTGTGGAAATTGGACCTGTTTTTTCCTTTTTGAGATGGAGTTTCGCTCTTGTTGCCCAGGCTGGTGTGCAGTGACTCAATCTTGGCTCACTGCAACCTCCGCCTCCTGGCTTCAAGCGGTTCTCCTGCCTCAGTCTCTGGAGTAGCCAGGATTACAGGTGCCTGCCACCACGCCCAGCAAATTTTTTCTATTTTGAAAGATGGGGTTTCACCAAGTTGGCCAGGCTGGTCTTGAACTCCTGATCTCAGGTGATTCGCCTGCCTTGGCCTCCCAAAGTGCTGGGATTATAGGTGTCAGCCACCGTGCCTGTGAAACTGGATCTTCATAGTGGCCCCCCACCTCCCTGCCCCGCACTGGGCGGCCATCACACCAGCCACACCTGTCCAGCCTGCTTCCCATCCTATTCTGGCCCTTGGACCCACATTCCCTCTAGCCAAGTATGCTTTCTCCCCACCCCAACACAAAAATCGCAGTTTATTACCAAACCCAACATTTATTGAGAACAAAAGGAACCAGTTGGCATAGAGGCCCGACTTCAATTCATCAAACTTCAACTGAGGATGGGGAACACGGGGGGTGGCCAGCCCTGAAGTTGCCCTCCCAGGGAGGAACCAGCTCTGGGAGGGAGGGGCTGTCAGACCTCCAGGGCCTGGCTGGGATCTCTGGTCAGGAATGTGTGAAAGGGTGGTGGGGAGAGAAGATGGCAGCACCCCCAGGCATGGGCTGCGAGCAGCTGGTGGCAGAGGAGGCGGCTGAGCTGTGGCCATCCATGCTGGGGAGAGAGGGTGTGGTCCGTTCTCATGTGTTGACAGGGGGCAGGGAGCCGAGCTCGGGCAGCAGCTCAGGGTGTGGGTCCAGGCGGGCCAGACGGCTCTGCTCCAGGGCAATGGCTTCGGCTGAGTGCTTGCACTTCTCAGAGCCACATTGGCAGGTGAAATATTTGCTTTTGATGTCCCAGAAGCGGTCGCCATAGTCAAACCTGTCAGAGGAAAACAGGAGCTTGTGGGACCTGGACCCAGCCACCAAGAGCCCACCCCGAAGACCCTGTGGATCCTGCTCCCTGAGAGGGACCCGACACCCAACCTATCTTCTCCAGATGGGATCTGAGCCCCTTGTATGTTCTATGGACTTTCAGCATCAGCATTGCCTGGGGACTTTTTAGAAATGCAGAATCCTGGGCCCCATCCCAAGCCTACTGATTCAAAATCTCTCTGGGAGGCACAGGACTGTTTCCCCAAGTCCTCCAGGAAATACTTATGTACACTGAAATCTGAGAAGCTCTGCACTACTCCATGCCTGGACACCAGGTACATGCCAGCCTTCAGGTCCCAGGTTTGCTGCATCTCCCACCCCCTGGCAGAGCCCCTAGAGACCCCTAGAGTCTCACCCTAGCTCCTCCCCAGTCCGGATGTCTCGGGAACTGAAGAAGGCGATGCGTGGAAATCGCAGGTCTTGGTGCAGCATGAAGACCCGGACGGGAATGATGTTGGGGTCACACAGGTGGTTGATGAAGCGGCTGATGTTGCCATAGTAACGGGCATCTATGCAGTACACCTCTCCATCCTGGGGCAGGGGGATGGCACTCTTCACATCTCCCCCGACCCTGCTTGCCCTCCCCACCCACTGACTCCCCAGTCCCTCCTCCCCAGGTTTCCATTTGCTGACTTCCCAGAGGCTCCTGAAAGCCAGCCCTGGGGAGCAGCAGGGTAAGGAGGGTCTCCTGCTCACCTTGTTGTCTAAGTCGAAGAGGTAAGAATCATCCTCTCTCACATCAGCCTCAGCATCAGAGATCAGCTCCCCGACATACCTGTGGGACAGGAATCCATGGTTCTGAAGGTGAGTGTGGGCTATTAGGAGGTGGCTCCAGGCCCCATCTCTCTTCACAAGCCTGTGGAATCTGGAATGGGCAGGGCTGGCAGGTGTGGGGAAGGGAAGGCCTGGAGCAGCAGTGGTGGGCAAGTGAAAGGGCAGCATTCCAGCCTTGACAGAGGAAGCCTTCAGTCAGCACAGAGACAGACAACAAGCTCTGTGGTTAAGGGGATTAATGTGTAGGGGCAGTTGGCCTGGGTGGGGAAGTTCGGGTTTGGACACAGAGAGGTTTGTGTTCCAGGAGCCACCCGGCAGGAATGGGCGATATGGAACAGGAGAGGGGCCAGGACTGCAGGAAGAGCCAGAGGTACAGGAGTGGCAAGGAACTCAAGGCATGATTCGGGGCAAGAGCACCCACACATATCTGGACACCAGAGGGAGGAGAGGAGCCAGCTATCTAAGGAGGGTGAGCAGACATGGGAGATTCAGACACACGGAGAGGACGTGGGTGGGAAGTGACTGTCAAGAGACAGCTTCAGCAGAGTGGGAAGGGCAAAGGCCGATTTTGGCAGGGACAGGCAGTGAGTGGATGGTGGGGAAACTGAGGCCCAGCAGGAAGGGGCTGCTTGCCAGAGAAGTTGAGAGATGACATGATGGAAAGAAACTGGATGGTCTGTTGAACAGGCAAGTATGGTTAGAGGACTATCTTTTTTAAAGGCCAAAGAATGGTCAGGCACGGTGGCTCACGCCTGTAATCCCAGCACTTTGGGAGGCCGAGGTGGGCGGATCATCTGAGGTCAGGAGTTGGAGACCAGCCTGGCTAACATGGTGAAACTCCGTTTCTACTAAAAATACAAAAAATTAGCCGGGTGTGGTGGTGCGCACCTGTAATCCCAGCTACTTGGGAGGCTGAGGCAGGAGAATCGCTTGAACCTGGGAGGTGGAGACTGCAGTGAGCCAAGATTGTGCCATTGCACTCCAGCTTGGGCAACAAGAGTGAAACTCCGTCTCAAAAAATAAATTAAAAAAAAAAAAAAAAAAGAGCCAAAGGAGACTAAAGTAAGATTGAGGGTTGTGGGATGGCAGCCAAGAGAAAGGGGGAGATTACAGATGCTGGGCAGAGAAAGAACTGATGGAGAGGGACAGGCCCCTGAGGAGGTGGACAGATAGGTAGCTGTTATCACCTCCACTCTACAGACAAGAAAAATAAGGCTCAAAGAGGTTAAGTAACTTGGCCAAGAACATCCAGAAGCAGAGAGGGGCTCAAACCCAAGTCTGTTTGTCTCCCAAACTGGCACTTTCTCCAGCTAGGAAGGGCGAGGAGGGGGTGGAGGGGAAGGTAGAGGGTGGAGGTGGAGGGGAGGGAAGACAAGCTCTGTGGTCTGGGCAGAGTGGAGGCAGGTGCCATTCTCAGCTGGGGGGATGGGGGTCAGAGGCGGCTGGCTGCTCAGCTGCAGGAATAGGGGTCAGAGGAGGCTGGCTGGAGAGTGGCCAGATGGAGACATGTGACTCATCAGGGCAGATGGCTGAGAGGGAGGCCTGGCAGTCAGCAGTGGCCATGTATCCCCTTCCCACCAGGTGTTAAGGTGCTCCCGGTGACTTACTCGCAGATGAAGGTCCCCTGTGGGATGGTCTGCAGGGCGCGGACCCCCCAGCCCATCTTGGCTGTTCGGTAGAGCTGTAGCCGCACCCTGGGGGTAGGAGAGATGGCGCTGTTGGGTGGAGGCCCTGGAAAAGCCCCAGGGGCAGGGAGGAAAGGGTGAGGTGGGGAGAGGGTGGGCTGTGGAGCAGGGCCTCACTTGATGCCACTCTGTACGACCCGGTTCTTGCAGTTTCTCCAGCATGAGCACGCCTGGTTACACTCGAAAATCAGCGGAGGCTCAATCTTGTTAAATTCCTGGAGCAATCGCCCATCCTAGGGTGCGGAGGGGAGGATAGTGGTTTCTCTGTGGGGCCCACCTCAGCTGCCCACCCAGGAACCCCAAGACTCTACAGAGACAGGGAAGTTGGGGTTGGGGAGGTCACACAGGCTCTGAGATCCGAGAGCACGAAATGCAGGAGCATCATCCCTGGTTTGCATAGACCTGGGCACACGCCCATCGCTGTCCCAGCCACATCCCAGGATTCCCAGGCCTTGCCCAGTCCTCTCAGTCACTTCCCCCACAGGGTAGGAGGTGAGGGACATGGTCCCAGGGAGCTGGTTTATTGGAGGCTGGCTCCTCTGAAGGAGGGGCCGGGTGTCTGTGGCCAAGGCAAGGGGCACGCACCTTGTCATACCAGCACCGGATGCTGAGCTGGCCGCACAGGCAGTTGGAGCTAGAGCAGTCGTCCACACACGTGCAGTGCTGGGGCGAGGAGGCAGAGGTCAGCTCAACCCCATGATCGGTCTGGGCCCCTCTACTCTTGATGCCCCCTGACCCCCTAACCACTGTCCTTTCTTTGGGGTCCATGTGTTACAACAGTGGGTGGTGATGGTCCTAGGGTGACGGGTAATCAGTATGGTGGTGTCCCCAGGGCTACTGGGAGCTCATATGATACCTTGCTGTGACCTAGGAAAAGGATCCCTCCCCTGGTGGGGATGCGACCCCACACCAGGGCTCCCTTTCAGCCAACCCTTCCTTGGCCAGGTGCCTTTGCTGGTTTGAAGCTTGTCCAACTGTACTTGGCAGCTCTCGGTGTCCTTTTGGGGAGGCCCCGGGCCCCCTACTCACCTGCAGGTGGGTGATGTTGCGATCGATGTTCATGGTGGACGTCTCGCAGTTCTCTGAGATGTACTTGTAATCCTCAGGGCAGGGCTCCCCATCCACACCGTTGACACAGGGAATGGGCACGTTCTCATAGCCCCGAGCCACGTCCCTGCAGAAGACGGGAAGAAGGGGCTGGGAAGCTGGAAAAGGGGGTGAGGAGCTACTCCAGGTATAAGGAAGAGAGTTGGGGAGGTTCCTGGGGCTGGGGGCAGGGGAGTAAGGTTGCCAGGTAAGATGCAGGACAGCGAGTTAACATAGAATTTTAGATAAACAAGAAATAGCTTTTTAGTATGTCCCAAAAATTACACAGGACATTCTCACACTAAAAAAGTATGCATCTGTGCATCTGAAATTCCAGTTTAACTGGGTGTCTTCTATTTTTATTTGCTGTATCTGGCAACCCTAGTGGGGAGGGGGCCTGTGGGTGGTTCTGGGGATTCAGTGGTGCATGGGGAGGGGTTGGGGAATGTTGTGAGGATGCAATGGAGCCTGGGGAGGGTATGGGTGGGGAGGAGGTGGTCTTGGGTGCAGAGAGGGGCCCAGGGCTCACCGGCAGATGATCTTCTCTGTGCGGATGGCCCGATTTCCCACCCCAAGTCGGAGCTTGCGGTTGAGTTGAAGCGCAAACCACACGTCGGAGCGCTCGGGAGTCAGGTCCCATGCTGTGTCCCCCTCTTTGTTCCGCAGCTCAGGGTTGGCCCCACGTGACAGGAATAACCTGAAGAGGGGACAGGATGCCCAATGCAGGGTCTGAGGCTGCAAGAAGTGGGGGCAGGGGCATCAAGGGCGGGGCAGGGGCTCACAGCACGCAGTCATGGTAGCTCTCCCGAGCTGCGATGTGCAGGGGGGTGTCCCCATGGTAGTTGACAGCATGGAGGTCACAGCGCGCATTCAGAAGGACTTCGGCGATGGCGGCGCTGCCCGTGAAGGAGGCCCAGTGCAGGCAGATGTTCTCCTCCTGTGGAGGTAGGAGGGGAACAGATGAGGTGCAGGCAGCTGGGCCCTTGAATCCAGCCTCCACCTTGCTCAGGGGCCTGGGGCTGCCCTACCTCAACCAAACGCTCACTCACGTTGTCAGTGAGGGTGACGTCGGCGCCCCGCGTCAGTAGCATGCGGATCACCTCGATGTGCTTGTGCTCTGCAGCCCAGATGATGGGCGTCCACCCCCCACTGTCCTGTGGGTGGGAAGGGAGTGAGGGTGGGGGCAGCTGGCCCTGCTCACCAAAGCAGCAAATGGTCAAGATTGGCTGTGTGTGTGAATCCCAGCTCCACCATTCACAAGCTGTGGGACCCTGGGTAAGTCACTTAACGTCTCTGGGTCGCAGTTTCTTCATCTAAAAAATGGGACTAGTAGGGTCGGGCGCGGTGGCTCATGCCTGTAATCCCAGCACTTTGGGAGGCCGAGGCGGGCGGATCACGAGGTCAGGAGATGGAGGCCATTGTGGCCAACACGGTGAAACCCTGTCTCTACTAAAAAATAGAAAAAATTAGCTGGGCGTGGTGGCAGGCGCCTGTAGTCCCAGCTACTAGGGAGGCTGAGGCAGAATGGCGTGAACCCGGGAGGCGGAGCTTGCAGTGAGCCAAGATCGTGCCACTGCACTCCAGCCTGGGCGACAGAGCAAGACTCCGTCTCAAAAAACAAACAAACAAAAATGGGACTAGTAGCGTCTACCATCTGATGCCAGAGAGAAAATAAAGTAATTGTTCTCTTTCCAAAAAATACAGCCAGGAGCTGGTCATGGAGGTGCATGCCTGTAGTCCCAGCTACTCATGTGACTGAGATGGGAGGGTTGCTTGAGCCCAGGATTTCGAGGCTGCAGAGAGCTATGACTGTCTGTGAACTGCTACTGTACTTCAGCCTGGGTGACATAGCAAGACCCTGTCTCTTAAAAGAAAAAACGAACAAAAATTTCCTAAGTCTGCCCACTCAAAAGTCCTAGAAGCAGCGACAACCCAATAACAATAAACACTCCTAGGAACATAGATTGTATTCTCTAAAAAATGCTTCTGGCCGGGCGCTGTGGCTCACGAGGTCAGGAGTTCAAGATCAGCCTGGCCAATATGGTGAAACCCCGTCTCTACTAAAAATACAAAAATTAGCCGGGCATGGTGGTGGGCGCCTGTAATCCCAGCTACTCGGGAGGCTGAGGCAGGAGAATGGCGTGAACCTGGGAGGCGGAGCTTGCAGTAAGCTGTGATCACGCCATTGCACTCCAGCCTGGGCAACAGAGTGAGACTCCGTCTCAAAAAAAAAAAAAAAAGTTTCCCATAAAGGAAGCAGAGTTTCTTAGAGAAATGGTGGATTCTGAGTTGGGGGCAGGAAATGTGCTGAAAGGTCAGGAGGCTCTCAAAGGCCACTGGGCCACTGGGTCATGTCACAGCCACAGAGGCCTCTTAAAGGGGCTTCTTCTGGACAATGATGGAATAATTCAAAGACTGAGAAGAATGCCAATAAATGACTAAAACACATCCAATGTATGACAACCCAAGAGTTAATAAAAAGCCTCACTGGACACTTTCAGAGATTAAGACAGGAACTGATTATTCTGAAACTTGATAAAGAGAAAGAAACGAGAAAGAAAAGAATGAAGAGAAATACAAATGAGGAAGAAGAAAGCAATGAGGACAGACACGAGCAGTGTGAGGTCAGATGTAGGAAAGGCGGCCCAAAGCCTGAGGCCAAGCCAAGGAACCCAGGCACCAGGGACCCAGAGGGGCTGGGCTGGGTGGGCCGCTGACCTGGGCGTTGACGTCCACCTGTCCTGTGCTCAGCAGCAGGCTGACCATCTCCAAGTTCCCGATTTTGGCTGCGTGGTGGAGGCAGGTGGAACCGTCCTCCTCCTGAGGGAGACACGGGCAAATGAGCCTTTGGGCTGGCACCCCAAACCTGGTCCCTGACTCCGGGGGCCACGCCCTGCTGCCTGCGCGCACACCTTGCTATAGACACAGCCACCACGCTGCACCATGTAACGGGCTACCTCCAGGTGGTTGTTCACCACGGCCTCCATCAGTGGCGTCCGCTGCTGTTTGTCCACTGCATTTATGTTGGCTCCAGCCTGTGAGGGGGCAGGAGGGCTGGCACCAGGGAGGCATGGGGCAGGGGAGGGGCCTAAGGGCCTGGTGAATGAGGCATGGGGCCGGGCCCGTGCTGACCTGCAGCAGCACATGGCAGATCTCCACGGAGCCCTTCTGGGCGGCTGCATGCAGGGGCGTGCGCTTGCTCTGCTGGTCGCTCTGGAAGTTGGGGTCCAGGTTGTCCACTGCGGGGAGAGCCCGCCACACCGGGAGAGGGAGGGACAAGTGGTAAGCAAGCTAGGGGGCAGGTGGCACTTCTTTCAGGAAGGCTTCTCAGGGCCCCAAGCTGGATCAGGGCCCCTCCTGGCATTCTCCGAGCTTGCCTCCACCACAGCATTTATCAGAATAAGGAGTCAAAGGCATCAGCTCTGCCTGAATTCAAACCCTGCCTTGCTTCTCAGTACCACTGTGCACTGTGCAAGGTCCCTAACCTCTCTGTGCAAGCCAAGGCTAACAGGTATAAGCACTCAGAACAGGACCCAGCACCTATGAGTCACCACATCCCCATCGTTATGGGTTACATGTGTCTTTTCCCCACCACACTAAGTCCTTCAGGGCAAGGACTGTGTCCTTCACGACTGTACTCCTGGCCCTGTACCCAGTGCCTGGTATATACATGAAGCTTGGTCAAGGTCTGCTGAAGGAATGGGTGGCACTCACACAGCATCAGGATCACCTTCTGCAGCTCGCCCTGCTTCACGGACAGGTACAACTGCCGAGGGTGGAAACGGAGCTTCTTCCGCCTGCCAAGGGAGCACGGGAGCGGGGAGAGAAGGGGAGCTCCTCAGATTCCAGCATCAGCCTCGACACCACTCCTCTGGCCTCAGCCCCAGTTGCTGTGCCTGAGCAACTCCCCACTCACCTCTCTGACTCCTGGATGACCAGGGCCTTTTCCAGGGCCTCCCGGCCTGGCCCCAGTGGCAGCCCCACGGCTGAAAGGCAGCCCCCATTGGGCAGGGTCAGGGAGGGCCCTGAGCTGTCAATGGTGTCAGCCAGGGGATCGCAGGGCGGGCGCCGGGGTTCCCCATGCCCTCGCATCCGGGCACTGTGGAAGAAGGAGCTCATGTCCAGGAGCAATAGGGGTGGGGGAGGGAACAGACAGTACAGAAGGGGGAGGCCAGTACCTGGGCTGAGAAGTGTCTGCTCTCCCGGGGACATCCTGGGACAGGGGTGGGGGTGCAGGAGCTGCAGTGCCGGCCGGTGGGGTCACCCCGTCACCCCGGGGGATGGTCACCTCTTGAGCTTCAGAAGCATCCTCCCCACAGTGGGGACAGAAGACCATCCCATTCAGCTGAGACACACAGGCCTTGTGGAAGCGGTGGGCCACACGGAAGTCAGGGTGGCACTCCAGGAAGGTGCCCTGGGAGCAGGGAAACGACATGGTCAGGTTACTGGGGCCCCCTCTGCCACAGGGCATGCTACCTGTCTGCCCCACTGGTCACTCACCGCCGTGCAGAAGTAGCCGCAGCCCGGGCAGCAGTGGTGTTTGACCATGCGGGCGCGGTGGGTCTCACAGAGCACCATCAGGGCCACACGGCTGGATGGCCTCATGGTCTCCCGCTTGAGGATGGCGGCATTGCAGCCTGACAGCTGTGCGCAGTGAGGATGGGTGAGAAGAGAGCGTGAGGCTGGGGCCGGGGACTGGACGCCCTGGCACCTCTCCCACCAGCCCACGGCCCCACCTCTCCGTCCACACTCTCAGTGGCCATGCACTTGTGCCCCGCCCTCTCGCTGATGCGGTCAATCTTGGGTGCCTCCATGCGGCAGCTGCACAGGGGCAACTCCTCAAACCCTCGCTCTGTCTCCAGCGAAGATGTGTCATTGGACACCCCTTGGATGGAGGAAAAGAGGAGCTGAGGGAGGCTCTGCACCTCACCTACTGGGACCCCTGGCGGGTCCTCTCACTCCCTCCCTACCCCACCCCGCCATGCCCCAGAACCCCTAAAGCCTGGCCATGGACACCCCGGCTCTGGCGTGGTTCCCCTCCTTCCCTTTCCCTCCTGCCCTGAGGTCGCCCCCTAGTGGCTCCCTGTCCCGGCAATTGGCAATTACCAGCGTGGTTGGGGGAGAGGGTCCCCTCGCTGGGCAGCTCCAGGGACCCCAGAGGGACCTCCATGTACTCACTGGGGCCTGAGGAGCCCACACCATTCACTCCTGACACAGAGACAGAGAGAGTGAGAGTGCGAGCTCACAGGTGCCTGGACGCGTGGGTACATGCAGGTGGACATGCGAGAGCGTGTGTGTGCGTGCACACACTCTGGGGGGCCGGGCGGGGGCTGGAGGGCACCCAAAAGCAGCAGAGCCTCCTCACCTCGTGGCTCCTTGGCCCGCGGAGGCTCCCGCTTGCGCCGTTTCCGAGACGGCTTCACCCATGGGCTGTCTTTTCGCCATTTCTTCTTGGCCTTGCGCCGGCCACTGGAACCACTCTGGGAAGGGGGAGGAGGAGGAGTTAGGAACCCTCACCCCCAGGGGCCCCCCCAACACCTTCAGGACCAGACCTCCAGCCCCATAGTCTCCCACTCCTCTGGAGATATCAGCCTCCGTCTCTTACCCTATCTGACTGATTCCCTGACTCCTCATCTTCCTCTTCTTCTTCCTCTTCCTCCTCCTCTTCCTCTTCTTCTTCTTCCTCCTCTTCCTCCTCCTCCTCTTCACTTAGTTGTTCAGTTAGAGCTTCAACTTCAGACTGGGAGAGAGGCAGAACAGACATATCCAACCCCCAGGACTCAGACAATGAGGTGAGTAAAGAAAACCACCACCACCATTGCCCCCCGCCACTACCCACGGATGGCTGCTGGGGATAAGTGTGGGTAGCAGAGGAGACAAAGGGCCACATAAAGAGAGGGTGCATGGAATATTACACAGCAGTGAAAAAGTTACAGACAGCAATGTGCACAGATCTTGGTAATGTGATATTAAGTTAAAAAACAAAAAGCAAGTACCAGAAGATAAACATACTTTGATACCCCTTTTATGATGTTCATAAACAGGCAAGACCACCAATGGTTGCTAAAAACACTAGACACAAAGCTCATGAGAAACTTTATATGAAAGGTTCAGGCTGACATCACCTGAACCCACTGGTCAATCTTATCACTAACAAGAAAAATGACCAGATTAGATGTTCCATGCATCCTGATGTGATGTGGCCAGAAGCACTTGCACCCACTGTCAAGTCTTCTTGGCACCTGAAGCTGATTCCGCCTCTAGATCTATCAGTTTACAAGAAATATGGGCAGAGAGGATGTGTCAATCTCCACCCAATCAGCCAACTCCTAAATGTGAAAAATTCTGTAGGACAACTGAGCTGGTTTCTTTGACAAATAAATGGCAAAAAAAAAAAATCTTTCTTATTTATTTATTGAGTTTTGCTCTTGTTGCCCAGGCTGCATTGCAATGGTGTGATCTCAGCTCACTGCAACCTCCACCTCCTGGATTCAAGCAATTCTCTTGCCTCAGCCTCCTGAGTAGCTGGGATTATAGGCACCCGCCACCACACCCAGCTAATTTTCGTATTTTTATTAGAGATGTGTTTTCACCATGTTGGCTAGGCTGGTCTCAAACTCCTGACCTCAGGTGATCCACCTGCCTCCCAAAGTGCTGGGATTACAGGCGTGAGCCACCACGCCTGGGCCAAAAAATTTTTTTTTAGAAGATGAGGAAATCAGGCCAGGTGTGGTGGCTCACGCCTGTAATCCCAGCGCTTTGGGAGGCCGAGGTGGGCAGATCACGAGATCAGGAGTTTGAGACCAGCCTGGCCAACATAGTGAAACCCTGCCTCTACTAAAAATACAAAAAATTAGCTGGGCATGGTGGTGGGTGCCTGTAATCCCAGCTACTTGGGAGACTGAGGCAGGAGAATTGCTTGAACTCAGGAGGTGGAGCTTGCAGTGAGCCAAGATCACGCCACTGCACTCCAGCCTGGGTGACAGTGTGAGACTCCATCTCAAAAAACAAAAACAAACAAACAAACAAACACAAAGAAGATGGGGAAACCTAAATACTGAGAGAGACCTAAGACAAAAAAAAATTTTTTTTTTTTTGAGACGGAGTTTCGCTCTTGTTGCCGAGGCTGGAGTGCAATGGTACGATCTTGGCTCACTGCAACCTCCACCTCCCAGGTTCAAGCGATTCTCCTGCCTCAGCCTCCCGAGTAGCTGGAATTACAGGCACGTACCACTACGTCCAGCTAATTTTGTATTTTTTTCAGTAGAGACGGGGTTTCTCCATGTTGATCAGGCTGGTCTCGAACTCCCAACCTCACGTGATCTGCCCGCCTTGGCCTCCCAAAGTATTGGGATTACAGGCGTGAGCCACTGTGCCTGGCTGACCTAAGACAAATGTTAATCAAATCAAGGTGTGGGCCTCATTTGGATCTTGACAAAAACCATTTGTGAGAGCTGAGGAAATGTGAAGACTGACAGGATATTTGATGGTATTAAGAAATCGGTAAGTTTTTTTAGGTGTGAAAACAGTAGTGTAATGATGTTGAACGACAAAAAGAGGCCTTATATTTACAAATCTATATGGATATATGTTTAGGTAAAATGATATGAGGTCTGGGATTTGCTTTAAAATAACCTAGTAGGTGTGTGTGCTGGGAGATGTACAGATGGGTCAAGATGGACTGTGTACTGATAATGGCTGGAGCTGTGTATTGGGTACATGGGGGCTCCCTATTCTACTCTTTTGATTATGCTTGCAAGTTTTCATGATAAAATGTTAAATAAAAGGCAAAATCAGAGAGACTAAACATTCTACTGTGTAGGCAAACATATAAGATAAAACCAGACAAAGAGCAACGAAATAAGCAAATAAATGACAATGCAATGCTTTTGAATTTTATATAAACAGCATAACGTATGTTTTAAAAAAGTGCTTTCTGGTCATTTCTTTTTTTGTTTTCTTTTTTTAAACAGTACATGTCTGTTAAATGGTCATTTCATTAGCTGATTAAAAAAAAAAGAATACTAAATCCCATGTGCAGGGTGGTGGCCACCTTTGTGGATGAAACGGGCAGAATACACATTGAAAATGAGTTACAGCTGGGCGCGGTGGCTCACAGCTGTAATCCCAGCACTTTGGGAGGCCAAGGTGGGTGGATCAACTAAGGTCAGGAGTTAGAGACCAGCCTGGCCAACACAGGGAAACCCCGTCTCTACTAAAAATACAAAAATTAGCCGGGCGTGGTGGCAGGTGCCTGTAATCCCAGCTACTCGGGAGGCTGAGGCAGGAGAATTGCTTTAACCCTGGAGACAGAGGTTGCAGTGAGCCCAGATCGTGATATTGCGCTCCAGCCTGGGCGACAGAATGAGATTCCGTCTCCCCCCACAAAAAAAAGGAGTTATAGACAGCATGGGGCAATGACTTAGTGGATATTCAGAAGATAAAAAGGACAGAAAGCAGAAAAACAGGGAACAAGGAGGACTGGACAGTGAGCCCCAGCCCTGGGGGAGCACCGGCGGGGAGGGCAGACCAGCTCTGTCTCACCTTGCTGTCGGAGTCCACGCGCTCATCCACAGAGTAGGAATCATAGTAGAGACTGAAGTCATCACCCACCACCGTCTCCCACTCCTCCAGGGACCCGGGGTCCCCTTTCGTCAGGGTCACTTCTCCTGAACGCCGGGCAGAACCTAACTCCTCTGACTAGAAAAAGATCAGAAAAATTGAGGCCACTGACACCCTGCGCATTTCTACTGAGGATGGGATGCAGCCCCACCTCTGACCCTCCCTCAGAGCAGCCCCCGAGGGGTAGAGGCTCTGCCTCTGCTGCTTACCAGGCCACCTCCTGAGTTCAGCTTCCTCCTTTTGGCCAGATCTGGAAGAAGAGAGAGAATGGTGTGGGGCCTATCACCGAAACCTTCAGAACAGACCACATCAAGCCACCGGGGGTGGGGGATGGGACTGACCTGAGGTCACCTTTCCCAGTGAGTGGACATCATCACTCATGCGGAAATGCTGTATTTCAGGGGGCCGCTTCTCAGGGACCGGGGGCTGTGGGCCGAGAGGGAGCACACTGAGGGTCAGAGAGCACCTACAGTTTTGCCTGGGTTAGCCTGGAGCCCCAGGCGGGGGTGGGGTAGTGAGCCACACCTCCAAATGCCATGTGAGGCTCCAGTAGCCACAAACTGGCAACCACGGGTGCTATTTCCTCAGAGGAAGAGTGTCAAGCACACTAACACTCACTCATCTCTGCAACCATGCAGAGCAGGCCCTTTTCCATTTTACAGATGAGAAAACAAAGCTTAATAAAGTTAAAAGACCTTTTATATGTGGCCATATACACAGCAGGACTGTTTACAACAGCTGAGGTGCGGAAGCAACTCAAGTGCCACTGACAGATGAATGGATAAGCAAAATGTGGCATTTATACACAATGGAATAACATTCAGCCATAAAAAGGAAAGATATACTTTTTTTAAGAGATAAGGTCTCATTCTGTTACCCAGGATGGAGTGCAGTGGCATGACTATGGCTCACTTCAGCCTCGAACTGGACTCAAGCCATTCTCCTGCCTCAGCTTCCTGGGAAGCTGGGATTACAGGCACATGTCACAATGCCTAACTAATGTCTTCTTAATTTTTTTTTTTGGTAGAGAAGAGGTCTTGCCATGTTGCCCAGGCTGGTCTTGAACTCCTGGTGTCAAGTGATCCTCCCCAGAAAGTACGGGATTACAGGCGTGAGTCACTGGGCCTGGCCTTTGAAACATTCTTTTAAACTTCTTTTAGAGATGGGGTCTTGGTATGCTGCCCAGGTGAAAGGAAAGAAATTCTGACATGGTACAACATAGATGAACCTTGAGGACATTATGCTAAGTGAAATAAGCCAGTCACAAAAGGATAAATACTGTATGATTACACTTAGATAAAGTACTTACTCAAATTTATAGAGAAAGAAAGGACAGTGGTCCTTGCCAGGGGCTAGGGGGTGGAGGGAATGGAGAGTTATGTTTTAATGGGTACAGAGTTTCAGTTTTACAAGATGAGTTATGGTGACTGATGATTGCACATGATGAAAGTATTTAATACCATTAAATTATATACTTAAAAATGTTTTTTATTTTATTTTTAAATTTTTAGATGGAGTCTCACTCTGTTGCCCAAGCTGGAGTGCAGTGGCGCGATCTCAGTTCACTGCAGCCTCTACCTCCCAGGTTCAAGCGTTTCTCTCACCTCTGCCTCCTGAGTAGCTGGAACTACAGGCACATGCCACCACGCCCGGCTAATTTTTGTTTTGTTTTTTTTTTTGAGACAGAGTTTTGCTCTTGTTGTCCAGGCTGGAGTGCAATGGCAGGATCTCGGCTAACTACAACCTCTGCCTCCTGGATTCAAGCGATTCTCCTGCCTCAGCCTCCCAAGTAGCGGACTGTTACAGGCATGTACCACCATGCCCGGCTAATTTTGTATTTTTAATAGAGATGGGGTTTCACCATGTTCGTCCGGCTGGTCTCGAACTCCTGACCTCAGGTGATCCACCTGCCTTGGCCTCCCAAAGTGCTGGGATTACATGCGTGAGGCACCCCGCCTGGCCTAATTTTTGTATTTTTAGTAGAGACAGGGTTTCACTATGTTGGCCAGGCTGGTCTCAAACTCCTGACCTCAGGTGATCCTCCCGCCTCGGCCTCCAAAGTGCTGAGATTACAGGCGTGAGCCACTGCGCCTGGCCTAAAATTGTTTTTTAGATGGTAAATTTTACGTGACACTAGTCCCCTCTTATCCAGTTCATCAGCAGTGATGGTGGCATATTGTTAGAATTGTGCTATTTTTTTTGAGTCTCGCTCTGTTGCCCAGGCTGAACCGCAGTGGCGCGATCTTGGCTCACTGCAAGTGATTCTCCTGCCTCAGCCTCTCGACTAGCTGGGATTACAGGCGCACGCCACCACACCTGGCTAATTTATTATTATTATTATTATTTTAGTTAGAGACGGGGTTTGGACATGTTTACCAGGCTGGTCTCGAACTCCTGACCTCAAGTGATTGCCGGCCTTGGCCTCTGAAAGTGTTGAGATTATAGGCAAGCCACGCCTGGCCTACTGTTAGGATTACGCTATTATGTTATTATTGTTGTTAATCTCTCACTGTACCTAATTTATAAATTCAATTTTCCTTTTCTTCCCTATTCTTTACAAAATGAATTGCAACTATAAAAATTAATGTTTATCATAGTGAGAAAGGAAAGGTAGCTCATAGCAACCTGTGCTATGTGAAGCAGGCAAAATTGATCAGGCTCAGCGAGAAGTCAGCATGGAACGGTTAGGGCCCATGCCTGGAGGCAACTGCTTAAAGGCATTTTGTACCTGACTAGGGTGCTGCTTCACCCATTATCTTCATGTGCCTAATATCTGTGAGACAAAGAACAATGTATAGCAGATCAATAGCTTGTTATTCTAATGTAAACTGGTAAACAATTTAGGAACTGCCTCTTCTTTTCCTTTGTTATTTCTTCAATCTTTTAAAAAATTTTTATCTTTTTTTTTTTCTTTTTGCGGCTCCTTCCAGAGCAGGGCTAACTCCTACGCAGTGTGCCCAGAGTCAGCCTGTTTTTTTTCAATATCTTCACGTCATCCAATCTTCTTTTCCTTTAAAAACCTACTTGTGGGCTGGTTGTGGTGGCTTGCACCTGTAATCCCAGCACTTTGCGAGGTCAAGGCAGGAAGATTGCTGAAGCCCAGCAGTTTGAGACCAGCCTGGGCAACATAGTGAAACTGTCTTCAAAAACAAAACAAAACAAACAAAAAAACCCCTACTTATAACTGCTGCTAATCAGAGTGTATTTTCACGGCAACTTGAATCTTTGCTCCTAAAGGCTGTCCTCAAAACCTGACCAAATATACTTTACTTAATGTTAAGTTTGCCTCAGTTTTTTCCTTTAGGTCAACAATAGGTATGACCCAAGAACCCTAGAACTTGGTCATAAAGCTTCTGGTGCCCTTGTCACTTCCCTCCTCTATTATTTCTGTGGCCCTCATCTCCTTTCCCACTGGGATTCCCAGGAAAAACTTTACAAATAGAGCAGTGACAGATGAGTTCCCCAAGGGCTTGCTTTGAGGTAGAAAGGAAGAGTGGTTTGAAATTCCCTTACCTTGTCATTATCATAAGAGTAATTAAGACATTAACTATATAATTGACTCTTTAACATCAAACTTTCACCACCCAAGAATGTAAACTGCAGGAAGAGAGGAACCTGTCTGTTGGTTCACAGATCAAGCACAGCCTAATATTTGACACACAGCAGCCCCTTGCTTAAATATGTGAATGAGTAAATGGAGTAGAAGCCTTAAGTGAAACTGTAAAAGAGCTCACCAAAGGTTTATGGTTGATTATCCCATCTCTCCCATCCCACTCACCTGTCCATTTCCTGGTTTGGACATGGTTTTGCGGGCTCGGTGGACCTTGGGCTGTCCCTCTGGGCTCGTGGTGGCTGGAGGGGGTTCAGACCCTGCTGCTGCAGCTCCCTGGGCTCCTGGCATACTCAGTAGCCTCATAGCCAAACTCTGGACAGATGGAGGTGATTTTCCCGCCCCTGTCATTGACATCTTGGCCCGGCTAGGACAGGAACCCCCCTTGCTGGGGGAAGAGGGGAATGACTTTGTGGCATGGCCTAGAAAACAGGCAAGCAAAAGGCAAGATAAGAAAGAAGGCAAGAGTCAGAAATTTCCCACCAACCCCCCAGGCTACCCAGCCTCTCACCCAGCAGGATCCGGCCCCCACGGAGGTCCCCATCTCCCTCAAGATTCTCAGATTCATCCCCAATGAGTGGTGTAGCCCCTACAGGGGTGTCAGCCCCCTCATCACCAACAGTGACAGTGACAGAGGCTGGAGATGAGGGGCCAGCAGGCTCCAGGGAGTCGGGGGTGGCCTTGGGCAGGGTTTCTTCACTACGAGGGGTGTCCCCCAAAGAGCCATGAACTGTAGAGGAAGAGAAAAAGTTCAGAGCTAAGGGCTCAGGAGATCCTGTGTTTAGGGAAGGTGACGGTCCAATTGGGGCCCGTTTTAGCTGCACTCACCTCTCTCGGTGGCTCCTCTGGTTTCCTTCTCCAGCAGCAGCGCCCCCATCTCAGCGGGGGCCTCCCCCTGGGAGGGGAGACAAGGGACAGGAGGGCTGGTCAGCCCAGTAGAGAGTTGGGGGGTCCAGGATGCCTGGGCCCTGGGAAGAGAGAGTAGGCTCCGGGGCCTACCTCTTCCTCTGTGGGGCCCCCCCCTTCCGCGGCCTCGGCTGCCCGGAGGGGCCGCACGACCCCTCCCCCGGGCCCGCATCAACCCCCTCCCTCTCGGTAGACCCCGCATCTCTGGGGCCGAGAGAAGAGGAGGGGGAGGGGGCGGGGCCTCCGCGCCCCGGCCCCGCCCCCTCCTCCCGGCTGCACGCGCCGCTCCCCCTTTGTCCCCCAGGCCGCGGGGACCCCGGGCACCAACCCCTCCAGCACCCGCTGCCCCCCAGCCCGGTGGACGGCCCCTCGTGCCCCTCACGCGTGCTCCTGGGGCCCCGGCGCCCGTCGCCCACTCAGGGGCAGCCGGCGGCTGCACGCGCGCCTCCGTGCCCACTCCCCCCACCTCCCACACCCTGGTCCCCTCATCCGCCCCCGGTGCTGGCCCCCTGGATTGCTGCAAGTCCCGCCCGGGCCCCCCGGCCCCGTTGCACCCCCGGAGCATTGCACGGGCGCGCGCTTCCCCCGGGCGCGCGCGCGGGCATGCACCCGCCTCTCCCCCTCCCCTTCCGCACCTCGGCGGCCGCCGCCGCTGCAGCTCCCGCCGCCGCCGCCATCGCCGCTTGCGCTGGGGGCCGAGCCGGCGCGCGGCCGCCCCGGGTCACGTGGGCGAGGGAGGGAGGGCGAGGAGGAGCCTTAAAGGAGCCGCTACATGCTTTTTGGCCATTTTCCCCTGAGAGCGGCCTCGGAGATGGCTGTGACTGTCCTAAGCTGGGAGCTGCAAGGGAGAATTCCTGTCATTCCTGGCCTCAGTTCTGCAGGGACCGAGGGCGAGACACGCCTGGGCCCAGGTGTGGCGTCTCTGTCCCCATCTGGTTTTAGGTAACAAGCGGAGCTTCTGAACTTCTCGGCTCTCGGCAGCGGCTGTATTTCCTCTGGCCTGGTTGGGCTTTTCCCGCCTCTGGTTGCTTTTCTGCCTTTCTAGTTTTTGGGTTACCAGATAGAAGGCTTGGCCTCAGTTTTGGCCTCGCCTTTTTGCTCTTTCTAACGAGCACGAAGGGGCGATAGGGACGCGGAGGACACCTTTATTCTTGGCTGGTTCTAGCATGCTGCTTCATGTCCCCTGGAGCAGCGTGCCCTTCTGAAAACCTGTGGCTAAATGTCTCTTCTGTTTATATCAGGCGTGTTACACCTTCACACGCACTAGGGATCCAGGTAAGCCCAGCGGCCCGAACGTCATTACTGACTGGTGACACTGCAGTAAGTAAACCTTTTTTGCCGAACACTTCATAAGCACAGTCAGGTACTCCGTGGGTCATAGCCCAGCGGACAATTTAAGTATAAATGATATACACCAAGATAGACAATCTCGATAGCTGTATTTAGGGTACCATCCCTTTAGGTATTACGTTTTGGTCGAGTTTGGAAAAGATCTGTATGATTTCACACGCAGTATTTGACACAGGCAGGTGGGGCACCTGAGGCCAATTAAAGGCCTTCTGGGAACTGTAGTTCTCTTTGGTTAACTATTCCAGAGCTTTCTGGGAATTGTAGTTTTCCCTGCACCTTAATCCAAACTTAGCTTTTTTTTTTTTTTTTTAGCTTTCCTGAAGACATGACCTATTTACCCCAGACAAAATATGACCAAACAGACTCCTGCTTACAATTTCCGTGGGCAGGTTGGCCACCTGTAGCTCATCCCTAGCACTGATCCTAAGTCCCTCAAATAGAGTTCATGTGCATCCCCACGACTGCCAATCACTTGTACTGTGAGGTACCTGGCTAAGTGTTGAGATTGCAGAACTGGTGGAGGGCTGGGGGTGGGGACTTGGGGGAGTCCCTGACCAGAGGAGCTCACTTGTCACACTCCTCTCCCATGTTTAGGGCTGGGCTCCTTCAGGCAAGGGATATGCAGAGTTGTGACCTCTAGGTATTAAGAACGCAGCATCACAGGGAGAGGCTGTCTAGGGCAGGATAGTCATGTACACGCAGTTGCCAGAGTGTAAAGGAAAAAAAAAAGTTTTTTTTTGTTTTTTATTTTGTGGAAAACAAAAGCAGAAAAACTAAAACCCCAAACTCCAGAAAAAATCCTAAAAAATATGTTTTTTCTTAAAAAATACTGTATGTCTCTACTCCTCTCCCTCCCTCCCAACAGCCCTTCTTGTGTTCTTTCTTTTCTAAGTGCCCTATCCCCCCCACCCCCATGACTATCCATTGTTTCTTGCTATTGTACCCCCACTTCCCAATATCTACCCAGGATGCGCACCCCACGTTCTCTTACCTGGCGTCTTACTTTGTTCTCCCTCAAATTTCAGCAAGCCTCATACTCGCAGTCTCATTTCCCCAGCATGCAAGAACTGTCTCCCACTTCCTTTTCTGGGACTCAGTAATCTTTTCCCCTTACCACTCCCTCACCCCAGGTCTATTCTAAGCAGGAGCATGTCCTCCTGCCAAATTCCCTCCCTGTTCCCACCCACCCCCCAACCCTTCTTATCTCGAGAAATGTCAGAACCTTCCCCTGGGCAGCCTTAGCCAGGAATAAAACATTTTTGTCTTCCCTCATTCTATAGGACCCTTTTCCCTCCCTCCACATATACATGCACTTCTAAGAGAAGGAAATCTTTCTCTGGGACCCCGTATTCCCCTGGCCTCCAAGAACCCTTTTCCCAGCTCCAGATTCTTGCACTCTCAAGAGCAAGTCTCTCCAAGGAATCATCTTCCCTCTCTCAGGATGTGTGCATCTGCTCAGCCTCCCACTCTTACCTTTCTGCCCCAGACCCCCCACCCCCCAATTCTCCTGGGCCAAAGAGCCCTTTTTCCACGCAGCCCAGGGGCCCCAGCCTCCTGGCCTCCACGCCTGCGCGGCTAGCGGATGAGGACGTTAATCTCGGCCACACTGGCCTCCAGCACGTTCTCGGCCGTGGTCTTGCCGTGTTGCTCCTTGAGGTGCCGCCTAATGGCAGGCTTGTGGGCGAAGCGCACGTCGCAGTAGGAGCAGCGGTAGGGCCGCGCTCCCGAGTGCAGGTTGAGGTGGTCGTGAAGGGTGGACTTCTGTGTGAAGCACTTGCCGCAGATGCCGCACGAGTGTGACTTGACACCACGATGCACGTTCATGTGGCGGTTGAGGTTGCTGCTGTGGTTGAACTGCTTGCCACAGCGAGGGCACATGAAGATGAAGTGCTGCGCCCGCATGTGGAAGACCAGCTTCTCCACGCCCTGGAACACTTCCGGGCACTTGGTGCACTTGATGTTCTTTAAGGGGTTTCCACCTGAGAAGCCCCCAGGCAGGGGTCCCCGGCTGCCCCCCGCCCCCAGGCTGCCCCCCGCCCCCCGGGCAGCCATGGCCACCGCTGCTGCTTCCACCAGGCCCGAGGTGGCCCCCACGCTGGCCCGGCCTCCGGGAATCAACAGCAGGCCCTCCCCTTCTGCATCTTCCGACAGGCTATAGCAGGCCTTCACCACACCCTGCGGTGGGGCTACAGTGCTGGGGGGAACGCTGCTCTGGGCCAGCTCCCCAAGGTGGCCACCCACGGAGCCTCCAATGCCCAGACCCCCTCCCAGGCCTCCAGGGGGTTTGAGCCGGTGTGCCACCTCCAGGGCCGACTCCACCTTGACGATGCAGATGTCAGACACGTCCTCATCCTCATCCTCATCCTCTTCCTCGGCTTTCAGCTCCAAGTCTTCATCCAGTGGGAACTCCAGCTTCACTGGCCGCAGGAGTGGAGGGGGTAGAGGAGGTGGGGGTGGGGGCTTCGGGGCTGGCTTTGGGGTCCTGGCTGGAGGGAGGAGGGACTTGGTGGCGCTGATGCTGCTCACAAGGCTAGCCTCACTGACCCCATCCTCTTTGAGGCCTATTTTGGGCTCAATGAACTGGCTGAGGGCATTCCGGCATTTCTCCACCACGTGCTCCATCTGCAGGTAGGAGGCGGCTGTAAGGTAGTTGACGATGTCCCTAACAGCGAATTCCAAGGCGCCCGTGTAGCAGGAGAGGAGCAAGTCGGCCACGATGCGTGCACTGTGCATCAGGGAGACCTGCAGCTCCGAGCTGGGGTTCAGCAGGAACTGGTCCCGCAGGAAGGGTGAGCAGGCGGCCAAGATGACCTTGTGGCCTCGAAACTTGAGGCTGTCGGCCACAATGGTCACGTCGCAGAACCGCTCCTCTGCCCGGAGCTGGTTCATGTTCCGTAGCGTTGCGGCCTCGTGGCCGGGCAGCTGGAAGCGCAGGACTTCCACCCCAGAGGCCATTGTGGCGGGGGTGGGCAACCCTGGTTGGGAAGGAAACCGGTCAGAGACAAAGGTCTCTGGCTCTCCGAAGCCAAGGCTCCAGGACCCTCGCCCCCATTCTTGCCCAGCCCCCCGGCATCCGATCTCCCGGTCTTCAGATTTCTTCCTCAGTTTCCCCAACCCTGGGGAGGTGCTGTCCCTCTGAGAGGAGGGAGGCGTGGTTCTCGGGGGCGGGGCAGCGGCGTCCACACCCCCCAGCCCAGCAGCCCGCTAGGATGGGGCGAGCCCGCGCGCCCACGGTGGAAGGACGGAGAAAAAGGGGGGCCAGAGGCCTGGGGCTCTGGACTCCAAGGTGGCCCCGGTTGCAGGCTCTTCTCACCCCGCCCCCTTTACCGGCTGCCTCATTCCTCCGCCCCCCCCTTACACGTTTGCACGCGCTTTTCACGTCCTCCCCCCCGCCGCCAGCACGCACCGTGCACGCCCTGCCCCCACGCTCAGAGCTCCGTGGCACGCCCCCCCAGCCCCACGACCCTGAGTGCACGCTCCTCTCACCTGGCCCGGTTCCGCGCGCTGTTTTTTTAATCCCTTATTTTCCCCACCCCCCCCCGGGGCCGGCAGCGACCCCCACACACGGGCAGGGCCTGGGCAGCGCGCAGGCGCGGGGATGCACGGGACGCGCGCGCGCGCGGGGCCGGCTCCGCGTGGGCGTAAGGGGGGAGGGGCGGGGGCGGCTCGTGCCGTGTGTTCCAGGCCCCGCGCGCGCGGCGGCGGCGGCGTCGGCTAGGACTCGGGGAGGAGGAAGAGGGGAGGGAATTAAAGGAGCAGGATCCCCCCTTCCCGACCCCCCTTTCTTCACCAGCACCCCCACGCGGTTAAAGGGCCGGACGGCCTTGCCTCCTCTTTGGCCGGGATTATTTGTCCGCCAGAGCGGAAATACGTTCCACACCCCCCTCTTTCTCGCTCCCCCTCCTCTGTACCTCCAAGCCCCGCGGCCAGTTTGCGCGTGCGTGCCAAGTGCCGCGCGGAGGCCCGCTCACTCGGGCCCGCCCCCCAATCCCGGCTGCCCATGGCGCTACTCGCTCCGCGTCCCCGCGCCCCGCCCGCGCCGCATCCCGCAGCGCGCGCGCGCACCCGTTCTCTCGGCTGCGGGCGCTGCCACCTGCTCCCAGGGGTGGTGCGTCTCCGGTCCAGCTGTGCCGAGCGCTGCCCTGGGTGCATCCGTGGCACCTCTCAGGGCCCCATCCGCCCCGTGGCTAACAGAGCTGTTGGTAGCTATTACCCACGCCTGCCTCCTCTGCTGAGTGTGCTCACAGTTGCTCCAGACACATTCCCAGGCTTTTCCAACTCTTGTAAAGCTAGTAACCGCCTCAGCCCTTCAGGCCTGAAATATGATTTCACTTTCCACAAAGCCAGACGATCCAGTGCCCTCAACTTTCCTCCACTCCATGTCAGTCCTTTAAAATCACACCCGCCCTCCCCTCCATTCTCAGGATTGATCCCAACTTCTTGCCAAGGCAGTCGCCCTCCGCTTGTGCTATCGATGACCTTGCCCATTTCACCTTTAGTATATAATTAACCCTAGGACTAATTTTAATGATGTGATTTATTATGTTAGTATGATTCTACTCTAATCTTCCACCGCTCCGTCCCCCTTATTCCTCACCTCTCCTCCAGACTGACAAGGTCCAGCTCTAAACAAAACTTCCCTTCAACACTGCGCCCGGGCCTTCTCTTTCTCTTGTCTCTCTCAGACTAAGTTATAGTCTCCACAGCTTCAGCGACAGCACTTAGGAGCGTCTTGAAGGCTGGTGCCTTCCCTTCCACTTCCTCGTACCTACACCCACTTCCCCACCTATCCAAGTCCGCGTGAAGATGCCACTGTTTCCTGCCAATTGGATTTCTTTTTTACGTCCTTCAGGAGACTAGTGCGTTTTCCATACATTTCAATTCTGATGAAGTTTCTTATTATGTGTTCAATATCTGGTTTCCCCATTAGACTATAAACTTCTTGGTTGCAGGAATTATGTTGTGGGTTTTGTTTTGCAAATAAAAATCATGCAATAGGGAGGGTGTGGTGGCTCACGCCTGTAATCCCAGCACTGTGGGAGGCCGAGGCAGGTGGATCACCTGAGGTCAGGAGTTCGAGACCAGCCTGGCCAACATGGTGAAACCCTGACTCTACTAAATATACAAAAATTAGCTGGACGTGGTGGCAGGTGCCTGTAATCCCAGCTACTGGGGAGGCTGAGGCAGGAGAATCGCTTGAACCTGGGAGGTGAAGGTTGCAGTGAGCCTAGATTGCGCCATTGCACTCCAGCCTGGGCGACAGAGCAAGACTCCTTCTCAAAACAAAACACCAAAAAAGGTCATGCAACAAATGATTGTTGAAGTAATTCCTCTTTGGCTCAGCCAGCATCCACCCATAAAAAGTTTGTTCTTGAGCTGAAACTGAATTCTTGAACTCAAGGGATGCTGTTTGGCAGGAGGGTGGAGGCAGCGTAGACAGTGTTTAGGTGGTACCTTGACTTTTTGCCTTTTTCTTTTAAATTCTCTGATTTGTATGCCCGCACCCAGTTCCCTCTGTTGAATCTAAGAGTCTGTTCTAAACTGCTCTCTTTGTATTTAGGCCTTGTAGATTTGAGGAAGAACACCTGATTTTGTGTCAGACGCACCTAGGCTTAAAGCCACATTCCTAGGAGTTTCTGAGCCTACTCTGGCTCAGAAGGCTGCCAGATTCGCAAATCATTAAAAAAATAAAATAAAAGCCCTATTCCTGTACCAAATGAGGCCCACTGGGCAAGTTACTTAATTCTCTGAATCACAGTGTCCTTATCTTTGTCTCCCCCGCCCATCCTTAGCTCATCTGAAAGCATTTTTATCTTGAAGGCCCTGATCTCTCACAGGGCTAATGTGAGGTTTAAATGAGCCTGGCATGCAGTAGTTGCTGAGTAAACAATAGCTCTGTTCTCCTTTTCCTAATCTGGGAAACGGACTATGAAATTTTCAAAAGAATTTTATTTTATTTTAATTAATTAATTAATTTATTTAGCTGGAGTTTTGCTCTTGTCACCCAGGCTGGAGTGCAATAGCACGATCTTGGCTCACTGCAACCTCCGCTTCCCAGGTTCAAGTGATTCTCCTGCCTCAACCTCCCAAGTAGCTGGGATTACAGGTGCCCGCCACCATGCCTAGCTAATTTTCGCATTTTTAGTAGAGACGGGGTTTCACCATGTTGGCCAGGCTGGTCTCGAACTCCTGACCTCGGGTGATCCACCTTGCTCAGCCTCCCAAAGTGTTGGGATTACAGGCGTGAGCCACTGCGCCTGACCCAAAAGAACTTTAAAAATTCTGTTTTTCTATCTCATCTCTTCTTTTCCGCATTGCCAAACTTCTCAGAAGAATAGTTCACATTCCAGTGAGAGCAGAAATACAAAAAGCTGTCAAGTTAAGAATTAGAGTTTGTAAAATTTTGTTTCTTGTCCCTTTCTTGCTACTTTTCCTTTCTAGGAATGTAGATGGGACAGGGGGCCTAACTCAGCCCATGGCTCAAGACAGGTAGTCCTTGGTGGCAGGTGGAGTTGACAGCCAATGAATCCTTCAAGTGTCCAGCCCACCCAGTTACAACTCTGCGTAAAAACAAGCAGAGGTGCACAAACTCTTTTCCATGTAGTCTGGTGGAGAGATGATGTGGAGCCATTTCCCATGCATCCCATCCAGGGGGTTTACAATCATCTAGATCCTTGTCCCTTCTTCCCCAACTTCTGCCAGTATAAAACCAGGGGCTTTCCTGTCCTTAGCTTGCAGTACCAAATGCCTTGGTGTGGTGTCAAGAACAGATAAATTTAGGAGATACTTTTAGGATTTTTGGGTCAGGCTCAATGGTTCATTCCTGTAATCCCAGCACTTTGGGAGGCCGAGGCAGGAGGATCCCTTGAGCCCAGCAGTTTGAGACCAGTCTGGGCAACATAGCAAGACCCCATCTCTACAAATAATAAGAAAATTAGCAGGGCATGATGGTGTGTATGTGCTTGGGATCCCAGTTACATGAGAGGCTGAGGTGGGAGGACTGCTTAAGCCCAGGCAGTTGAGGCTGCAGTGAACCATGATAGTGCCACTGTACTCCAGCCTGGGCAACAGAATGAGACCCTGTCTTTTAAAAAAAAAATTAGGATTCTTAGTGAGCTTTAGAAATAAAATCTGGGCTGGGCACTGTGGCTTATGCCTGTAATCCCAGCACTTTGGGAAGCTGAGGTGGGAGGATCACTTAAGGCCGGGAGTTTGAGACCAGCCTGGGCAACAAAGCGAGACACCTGTCTCAAAAATAATAAAATAATAAATAAAAGTAAATACATTTTTTAAAGGAAATAAAATTTGACTAGGGATGCAAGGAATAACTAGGAGACAAAAGGTCCAGGTTCCAGTCCATCTTGAAGTCATCAAGGCTCCCCAGGTTTCAGTATTCTCTTTAATAAAATGGAGGGATTACTCTCTGAAGTATTTTCCAGTCCTATGAGTCCATAGCAGCTTACTTTGAAAAGGGGTGTTTATGTTTGTGGGCATCTCTGAGAGAAGCTAGCTCACAGCTTAGAGCACTACCCTTGGCTACTCATAGAGGTAAGGAGTGGCCTTGATAATCCAAAACCGTAGCAAACATTGGACATTTGTCTAAGACATTCAAAGTATTTTAGGCTGTGGGCTTACTTTTTACAACGATGCTTAGCACGTACTAGAATAACCATATTTCCTGAGCAATCTATAGGAAAGGAAGAGGTAAGTCAGCCTGGACTTTTAAATCCATAGGCTGATGAAACTGTCTTACATTACAACAAAACCTCCAACTTCTTTCTCTTTCTCCTTTGATCTGCACTCAGCTCTGCCCTCAGCGCAGGAACCCTGGTAAAAACTGCAGGATGTTTTGGCAATGTTGGAAGGGGCTTACTGCTTGGGGAAAGAAGCCATGTGAAAACAAAGTGCCTGCACCACTCCCATCCATCTGCAAAACCACCTTTTCTGAACTCCCATCCATCCCCCTTGACTGCTCCTCAATGCTGGCTCCTCCTCCTTCTTCAGAGCTCCTTATCCCTAGCTCTTCGGAGCCCTCTCCCAGCCTCAACCTGCCTCCAGACAAACTCTTCCCTCCCCCTCCTACCTCGGAGGGAATTTACTCCCTGCAGCCCACCACCTTTGCCATCGTCCAAGTCCTCCACACACCCTTGCTGACTCTGCCCAGATCCAGGTCTATCTGGGGAAATGGAGGCAGATTCTCCCAGCACCTTGTGAATTCCAGACAGAAAAAGACTCTTCCACTTCTCGACAAATATTCTATCCTCTGAGCCTCACCAAGTCTGCTCTGCTACCCTATGTCATCCTTGCTGCTTGAGCAACTGACTTTCGGGCCTGTGATACCTGCCTGGATCAGGTTGTCCTCCCCAGGCCTGCCTGTGTCCCTGCAAATGACCTAATCCATATCCCAAGTTTAAAAAAAAAATTGTTCATTTTATTTTTTTCATGGAGTCATTCGTGAGAGCAGAAATACAAAAAGCTGTCAAGTTAAGAATTAGAGTTTGTAGGGCCGGGTGCAGTGGCTCACACCTGTAATCGCAGCACTTTGGGAGGCTGAGGTGGCCGGATCATTTGAGGTCAGAAGTTTGAGAACAGCCTGGCCAACATGGTGAAACCTCGTTTCTACTGAAAATGCAAAAAAAATTAGCTGGGCGTGGTGGTGCATGCCTGTAATCCCAGCTACTCAGGAGGCTGACGCAGGAGAATTGCTTGAACCTGGGAGGCAGAGGTTGCAGTGAGTTGAGATCACGCCACTGCACTCCAGCCTGGGTGACAAGAGTGAAACTCTGTCTTAAAAAAAAAAAAAGCAAAATAAAAGCATTAGAGTTTGTAAAATTTTGTTTACAAACTCAAAATTCAAAGTTCAAAATTCAAAATGTAGTTTTGTTCAAAATTCAAAATGTGTAAGTACAATTCCAAATTCAAATTGTAAAGTTTTGTTCAAAATTTAAAAAATATAAGAGGGTACAAGGCTGGGTGTGGTGGCTTACGCCTGTAAACTCAGCACTTTTGGGAAGCCAAGGGAAGAGGATCACTTGAAACCAGCCTGGGCAACAAGGCAAAACCCAGTCTCAGAAAAAAAAAAAATAGCTGTGGGAGGTGGTGTTGCCTGTGGTCGCAGCTATTCAACAGGCTGAAGTGGGAGGATTGATTCAGCCCAGGGAGGAGAAGGCTGCAGTGAGCCTTGTTCGCACTGCTGCACTCCAGCTTGGGTGATGGCGCAAGACCCTGTCAAAAAAAAAAAAAAAAAAAAAAAAAGTGGTTTCTTTTGCTCAGGCTGGAGTACAGTGGTGCAAAGAAGGCTCACTGCAGCCTCGACCTTCCTGGACTAATTTATTTATTTATTTTTTAGACAGAGTCTTGCTCTGTCGCCAGGCTGGGGTGCAGTGGCACAATCTCGGCTTACTGCAACCTCCACCTACCAGGTTCAAGTGATTCTCCTGCCTCAGCCTCTGGAGTAGCTGGGACTACAGGCGTGCGCTACCACTTCTGGCTTTTTTTTTTTTTTTTTTTTTTGAGATGGAGTTTCGCCCTTGTTGCCCAGGCTGGAGTGCAATGGTACAATCTCAGCTCACTGCAACCTCTGCTTCCCAGGTTCAAGCAATTCTCCTGCCTCAGCCTCCTGAGTAGCTAGGATTACGGACGTCTGCCACCACGCCCAGCTAATGTTTTGTATTTTTAGTAGAGATGGGGTTTCACCATGTTGGCCAGGCTGGTCTTGAACTCCTGACCTCATGATCCGCCCACCTCAGCCTCCCAAAGTGCTGGGATTACAGGCATGAGCCGCAGCACCCGGCCATTTTTTTTTTTTTTTTAATTAAAAGTGGCAAGACTGGGTCTTCCCGTGTTGCCCAGTCATTGATCTTGAATTCTTGGGTTCAAGTGATACTCCTGCCTTGGCCTCCCAAAGTGTTGAGTCTACAGGCATGAGCCACCGTGCTCGGCCCAGATAAATCTTTTTATAAAAGTTAGAGTCAGTAGATACAGCAAATTTCATTGTTGTCTTATTTTAAGAAATTGTTGGCTGGGTGGGGTGACTCACTCCTGTAATCCCAGCACTTTGGGAGGCTGAGGTGGGCGGATCACCTGAGGTCAGGAGTTCGAGGCCAGCCTGGGCCAACATGGTGAAACCCAATCTCTACTAAAAACACAAAAATTAGCTGGGTGTGGTGGGGGTGCCTGTAGTCCCAGCCACTTGGGAGGCTGAGGCAGGAGAATTGCTTGAACCCAGGAGATGGAGGTTGTAATGAGCCGAGATTGCACCACTCCACTCCAGCCTGGGTGACAGCATGAGACTTCATCTCAAAAAAAAAAAAAAGAAAAAAAGAAATTGTCAAAGCCATCCCAACCTTCAGCAACCACCACCCTAATCAGTCAGCAGCTATCGATATCAAGATAAAATCCTCCACCAGCAAAAATGTTACAACTCACTAAAGACTCAGATGACTGTTAGCATTTTTTAGCAATACAGTATTTTAAAATTAAGGTTACATACATTGTTTTTAGACGTATGCTATTGCACACTGAATAGACTACAGTACAGTGTAAACATAACTTGTGTGCACTGGGAAACCAAAAAGTTGTTGATATGACTGGCTTTATTGAGGGGATCTGGAACGAAGCCCAAAATATCTCTGAGGTATGACCGTGTATACTTCATTTGCTTATTGTAATAGTTTCAGTATCTATGCAGTTGTAGGTTTTCCCGGACAGTTTAGTTTTGTCTGTTTGACCATCACACAGATGAATCATACTGTACATGTTCTGGGGCTGGCCTTTTCACTCAACATTATGGTTTTGTTGACTTGTGTAGCTGTAATTCATTCATTGTCTTTTAATTGGATGCTTATACTAGAATTTGTTTGTATACCTATTTACAGTTCTTTTGGATATATACCTAGGAGTGGAACTGTTGGATTATATGGCAATTATATGTTAAATTTTTAACGTATTATTATTATTATTTTTTTTTAGACAGGATCTCTGTTGACCAGACTGGAATGCAGTGGTGTGATCTTGGCTCACTGCAACCTCCACCTCCCAGGCTTAGCCTCCCGCCTTAGCCTCCCGAGTAGCTAGGACTACAGGTATGCACCACCATGCCTGGCTAATTTTTGCATTTTTGTAGAAACAGGGTTTCACCATGTTGCTCAGGCTGGTCTGGAACTCCTGAGCTCAAGGGATCCGCCTGCCTTGGCCTCCCAAATTGTTGAGATTATAGGCGTGAGCCATGGCATTTGCTCCCCCGCCCACCTCTTTTTTTTTTTTTGTAGAGATGAAGTCTTGCTGTGTTTCCCAGGCTGGTCTCGAACTGCTAGGCTCAAGCGATCCTCCAGCCTTAGCTTCCCAAATTCCTCTCAGCCTGGGATCACAGGCGTGAGCCACTGTGCCCACCCTATATGTTAAACCTTTTGAGGAACTGCCAAACTGTTTTCCACAGCAGCTGCACCATTTTATGTTCCCACCAGGAGATTGTACACAAGCTTCAATTTCTCCATATCCTTGCCAACAGTTGTTATTTTCTGTTTTTTTTTGTTTTTTGTTTTTTTTTGAGACAGCGTCTCACTCTGTTGCCCCGGCTAGAGTACAGTGGTGCGATCTTGGCTCACTGCAACCTCTGCCTCCCGGGTTCAAGGGATTCTCCTGCCTCAGCCTCCTGAGTAGCTGGGACTACAGTCACGCGCCACCACGCCTGGCTAATTTTTGTATTTATAGTAGAGATGGGGTTTCACCATATTGGCCAGGCTGGTCTCGAACTCCTGACCTTGTGATCCGCCCACCTCAGCCTCCCAAAGTGCTGGGATTACAGACGTGAGCCACCGCGCCTGGCTTGTTTTTTTTTTTAAATAGACATTCTAGTTGATATGAAGTTGTACTCATTATAGTTTTATTTTCATTTACTTAATGACTAATGATGTTGAGCATCTTTTCATGTCCTTGTTGGCCATTTGTGTGTCTTCTCTGGAGAAATATCTATTCAAGTCCTTTGCTCATTTTTTTTTTTTTGACAAGGTCTCACTCTGTTGCCCAGGCTGGAATGCACAATCATGACTCACTGCAGGCTTGACCTCCCCAGGAACAGGTGATCCTCCCACCTCAGCCTCCAGAGTAGCTAGGACTACAGGCACACGCCACCACACCCAGCTAATTTTTGTTATTTGTTGTAGAGACAGGGTTTTGCCATGTTGCTCAGGCTTAGAAGGCTTTCAAGCACAAAATGTATTACATTAGGATAATGTCTTGGGGGTAGAAATAGAACTATGAAAATAAGAATTCAGAAGAAATAGAACAATGTGAAATTTCTGACTGTTAAAGAAGATTATAATCATGTACTTTAAAAATGAATCATGAGCCCAGCACGGTGGCCCACACCTGTAATCCCAGCACTTTGGGAGGCTGAGGCAGATGAATCACTTGAGGTCAGGAGTTCAAGACCAGCCTGGCCAACATGATGAAACCCCATCTCTACTAAAAATACAAAAATTAGCCAGGCGTGGTGGCGCATGCCTGTAATCCCAGCTACTCGGGAGGCTGAGGCAGGATAATCTCTTGAACCCGGGAGGCAGAGGTTGCAGTGAGCCGAGATCGTGCCACTGCACTCCAGCCTGGGTGACAGAGCAAGCTTCCATCTTAAAAATAAAATAAAAAATAAATAAATAAAATGAATTGGGCTGGGTGTGGTGGCTCATGCCTGTAATCCCAGCACTTTGGGAGACCAAAGCGGGTGGATCACCTGAAGTCAGGAGTTCGAGACCAGCCTGAGCAACAAGGTGAAACCCCGTCTCTACTAAAAATACGAAAATTAGCCAGACGTGGTGGCAGGCACCTGTAGTCCCAGCTACTCGAGAGGTGGAGGCAGGAGAATTGCTGGAACCTGGGAGGCGGAGGTTGCAGTGAGCCGAGATGGCGCCACTGCACTCCAGCCTAGGAGACAGAGGGAGACTCTTGTCTCAAAAAATAAACAAATAAATACATAAAAAAAAAAATAAAATGAATCATGAAGGGAATGGTTAAAAAGTGAAATAAGACTTTTAAAAAAAGATCCATGTTTACAACACACTGGAATGGCATTCTTTTGCAACTAAACATTTGGGGAAAGTTTTAGATAGCAGCATAAAAACATGCAAGGGGTACATAATTTGCAAAATTCTTTTAATGTGAGCAAAAGGGTTTGAAGATTACATGCTTCTTGAAATCAGCATGCACATGAGTCATCTGGAGTTTTAATTCGGAGTCTGAGTCAGTAGGTCTGGGTGGGGCCTGAGATTCTGTGTTTCTTTCTTTTTTTTTTTTTCTCTCTCTTTTTTTTTTGAGACAGAGTCTCGCTCTGTTGCCCAGGCTGGAGTGCAGTGGCACACTGCAGCCTCCGCCTCCCGGGTTCAAGCAATTCTCCTGCCTCAGCCTCCCAAGTAGCTGGGACTACAGGCACATGCCACCACGCCTGGCTAATTTTTGTATTTTTAGTAGAAATGGGGTTTCACCATGTTGGCCAAGCTGGTCTCGCACTCCTGACCTCAGGTGATTTGCCCGCCTCAGCCTCCCAAAGTGCTGAGATTACAGGCATGAGCCACCATGTCTGGCCCTTTTTTTTTTTTTTTTTTTCCAATTTGAGACCGGGTCACTACGTTGCCAAGGCTGGTCTCTAACTCCTGGGCTCAAGCGATCCGCCCACTGCAGTCTCCCAAAGTGCTGGGATTACAGGCGTTGAGCCACCGTGCCTGGCCAGATTCTGCATTTCTACAAGTTCCTGCTGATGCTGATGCTGTCTGTCTGTGGACCACAGTCTGAGTAGCAAGCATCCACATATTCGTAAGAGTGGAGTTGCTGGATGTTGAGGTCTGCACCTGTTCAGCTTCCCTGCTAATGCTAAACTATTTTCTGAAGCAGTTGTACACCAGCCATGAGACTGTTGCTTCTTGGGAAAAAAGATATAAAGGCTTCAAATTTAATGGATATTATTCAGTGCTCCTCTTACTTGAGCTTTCTGCAGTCTGTGACATACTTGACCACACTGTTTGATCCACTGCTTTTCCCTGGTTTCCATGACACCCCTGTATCCAGGCTCCCTTCCTTCTATAATTTCAGTCTGTTCTATAAACCCTCACTCCTTTCCTGTCTTGACCTTTTCCTCTGTTGATGCCTTTGGCCTTCTAGGCCTTTATCTCATTCTCTCTGGGTGGTACCATGTGCTCTTTAGAGATTGGTTACCAGGCCGGGCACGGTGGCTCACACCTGTAATCCGAGCACTTTGGGAGGCTGAGGCAGGTGGATCACCTGAGGTCAGGAGTTCGAGACCAGTCTGGCCAACATGGTGAAACCCTGTCTCTACTGAAAATACAAAAAATTAACCAGGGTGATGGTGTGTGCCTGTAATCCCAGCTACTCAGGAGGCTGAGGCAGGAGAATCGCTTGAACCTGGGAGGCAGAGGCTGCAGTGAGCTGAGATCATATCACTACACTCCAGCCTGAGTGACAGAGCGGGACTCTATCTCAAAAAAGAAAAAAAAAAAAAAAGAGATTGGTTACCACATTGATGACTCTGTGATGGTTAATTTTATGTGTCAGGCCAAGCGCAGTGGCTCACGCCTGTAATCCCAGCACTTTAGGAGGGCAAGGTGGGAGGATTACTTGAGCCCAGGATTTCAAGACCACTCTGGGTAAGATGGTGAAACCCTGTTTCCACAAAAAAAAAAAAAAAAAAAAAAAGATGTGTCAATTTGGCAAGGCTATGGTGCCCTTGGGCACTGTATATATACACATTTGCATTATTATTTATCTTAATGAGATAGACTCTCACTATGTTCTCCAGGCTGAACTTGAACTCCCAGTCTCAAGTGATTCTCCTGCCTCAGCCTCCTGGGTATCTGGGACTACAAGCATGCCACCATGCCTGACTGTAGTCTGGATACTTCAGTGAGGGCATTTTGTAGATAACACTGACATCTTGGCTGGGCACAGTGGCTCACGCCAGTAATTGGAGCACTTTGGGAGGCCAAGGTGGGCAGATCACCTGAGGTGAGGAGTTCGCGACCAGCCTGGCCAACATGGTGAACCGCTATCTCTACTAAAAATACAAAAATTAGCTGGGTGTGGTGGCAGGCACCTGTAATCCCAGCTAGTTGGGAGGCTGAGGCACAAGAATCATTTGAACCTGGAAGGCAGAGGTTACAGTGAGCTGAGACCGTGCCATTGCACTCCAGTCTGGGCAAGTCTGGGCAACAAAAGCGAAACTCCATCTCAAAAAAATAAAACGAAGCAAAGACATTGCCATCTATACTCAGCTGACGTTAAGTAAAGGAGTTTACTCTTTTTTTTTTGAGATGGAGTCTCATTCTGTCACCCTGGCTGGAGTGTAGTGGCGTGATCTCGGCTCACTGCAACCTCCGCCTCCTGGGTGTAAGCAATTCTCCCGCCTCAGGCTCCCGTGTAGCTGGGACTACAGGCACCACACCCGGCTAATTTTTGTATTTTTAGTAGAGACAGGATTTCACTATGTTGGCCAGGCTGGTCTTGAACTCATGACCTCGTGATCTGCCCGCCTTGGCCTCCAGAAGTGCTGGGATTACAGGCATGAGCCACCGTGCCTGGCCCTTTTTTTTTTAAGACGGAATCTCGCTCTGTCACCCAGGCGCGATCTTGGCTCACTGCAACCTGCGATCCGACTCCCTGGTTCAAGTGATTGTCCTGCCTCAGCCTCCCAAGTAGCTGAGATTACAGGCACATGCCAACACGCCCAGTTAAGTTTTGTATTCACCGTGTTTCACTATGTTGGCCAGGATGGTCTCAATCTCATGACCTTGTGATCCGCCTGCCTCGGCCTCTCAAAGTGCTGGGATTTCAGGTGTGAGCCACCACGCCCAGCCAGGAGATTACTCTTGATATTGTGGCCTAAAGAGCAAAGACTTAGGTTTCCCAGAGAAGGAATTCTGCCTCAAGACTGTCACATAGAAATCCTGCCTGAGTGGCCGGGCGCGGTGGCTCACTCCTGTAATCCCAGCACTTTGGGAGGCCGAGGTGGGCGGATCATGAGGTCAGGAGTTCGAGACCAGCCTGGCCAATATGGTGAAACCCCATCTCTACTAAAAATACAAAAATTAGCTGGGCGTAGTGGTGTATGCCTGTAGTCCCAGCTACTTGGGAGGCTGAGGCAGAAGAATCGCTTGAACCTAGGAGGCAGAGGTTGCAGTGAGCCGAGATCGTGCCACTGCACTCCAGCCTGGGCAACAGAGTGAGACTCCGTCTCAAAAAAAAAAAAGAAGACTATAGTTAATGAACAAGCAATCGGCCGGGCGCGGTGGTTCACGCCTGTAATCCCAGCACTGTGGGAGGCCGAGACGGGTGGATCACGAGGTCAGGAGATGGAGACCATCCTGGCTAACACGGTGAAACCCCGTCTCTACTAAAAATACAAAAAAATTAGCCAGGCGTGGTGGCAGGCGCCTGTAGTCCCAGCTACTTGGGAGGCTGAGGCAGGAGAATGGCGTGAACCCGGGAGGCGGAGCTTGCAGTGAGCCAAGATCACACCACTGCACTCCAGCCTGGGCGACAGAGCAAGACTCCATCACAACAACAACAACAACAACAAAAACAATGAACAAGCAGTCATGGTGCAATGTGATAAGACACCCAGGTGTTCTGAGAGTCAGAGGAGGGCTCAGGGGCCCCGTGGTCTATGCCTCAACGTTGGTGCTGGCTTTCCCTTCCTCATTTCTGTGCTTGCTTTTAGCCCCTGTTGTCTTGCCAGGACTCTAAATGTCTCTTAACTGGTCTTCCAGCCCCTACATACTGATTCCAGAATAATATTTCTGAAATGCAAATCAAATCATATCACTTCCTTATCTAAAATTCCATATAGCAAATCGCCTTACAAGCTGTAAATGCTGTTTCTTCCATAAGGCATTCTCTCCTTCCTCCCTGGTCTAGTGTCATTGTGGCCTTCCTTCCCTCCCCAGCCCTGAAAGGTCCTGAACTTGCAGTTCCTTTAATGCGCTCTGGGGTTTCATTGCTCACCTGGATGCTTGCATCTCTTCCTTGTCAGGTAAACACTCATCTTTTAAGGCTATCTCAAGTTCATTGATGAAACCTTTCTGATCTTCTAGAGAGACCTAATATTCCCCTGTTTGTGTCCCTGTGAACTTTATATGGACTCCTATCTCAGCTTGTATCAGTCAGGATGGCTACATCATGCTGCAGTAACAAACAACCCTGGAATCTCAGTAGCTTAACACAACAGTTTTATTTCTCACTATTGCTCTCTGTTGGGTCAGTAGGAGTGTTAGAGTCTCTGATCATCATAGTCACTCAGGCATCCAGATCAAAGGAGGCTCCATCAAAAGAGGGTGCTGGAGTGTCTTGTGTTACATTGGCAGTTAAATACTTGTGCCTGACAGTAACAACACATGTGACTTCTGCTCTTATTTCACTGGCCAAAGCAAGCCAGTTAGGCCTCTTGCAGTGGCCTAACTTCAGGAGGGCTGAGGAATTCCATCCTATCATGTGCCTGGAAGGCAGAAAACGGGAAAATTCATGAAGAGCCTCAATGGCTGCCTCAACTCGGTGTAGCGCTGACTGGCTCACATATCTCTCTCCCACTGGACAGTGGGGGAACCAAACGTGTCACAGCGTTCCTACCCTTTAGCAGTTTGTGCTCCAGGAATGTGGAGAGACCAGTATATGGATGGATTATAACTCTGTGTTAATGTTACAGTCTGGGTTTGCTGGCGTGGAAGGAGTTTGTGGAAGAAGGGCAGTAGTTTATAGGGAGAGGAGGATGGAAAGGGATGATCTTAATTTTGGTGACCCTGACAGCAGAGCTTGAGACAGGACTTGGCCATAGGTAGTTAATTTAGGTGATCCCAGAAAGCAGAAGCGAGGCTATAGGGAGTGTGAGATCCTGAAGGAGGAAAGGCCAGTTTAAGAGAATGATGTTGGCCGGGTATGGTGGCTCACGCCTGTAATCCCAGCACTTTGGGAGGCTGAGGTGGGTGGATCACCTGAGGTCAGGAGTTCGAGACCAGCCTGGCCAACACGACGAAACCCTGTCTCTACTAAAATTGCAAAAATTAGCCTGGCGTGGTGGCATGTGCCTGTCATCCCAGCTATTTGGGAGGCTGAGGCAGGAGAATTGCTTGAACCTGGGAGGCGGAGGTTGCGGTGAGCAGAGATTGCACCATTGCACTCCAGCCTGGGCAACAGAGTGAGACTCCGTCTCAAAAAAAAAAAAAAAAAAAAGAGTGATGTCACTGTTGTGTGCAGTGGAGTTCGATTCCCCCAGGCCCTCCTGAGGAGAGAGCTGAATGTCTCCAGACGCTTTCCACCTGAAGGACAGGAGGCAGGAGCATCTGTCTACTGCTTCCCACTCTGCAATAATTGCAGGTTGACTCTGGGCATTAGTTCTCTGCCCTTTTTTTTTTTTTTTTTTGAGACAGAGTTTTGCTCCTTTTGCCCAGGCTGGAGTTGTAGTGAGCTGAGATAGCGCCACTGTACTCCAGCCTGGGTGACAGGGCGAGACTCCATCTCAACAAAAAAAAAAAAAAAAAAAAGGCTGGCTGTGGTGGCTCATGTCTGTAATCTGAGCACTTTGGGAGGCCGAGGCGGGTGGATTACCTGAGATCATGAATTTGAGACCAGCCTGGCAAACATGGTGAAACCTCGTCTCTACTAAAAATACAAAAATTAGCCGGCGTGCTGGTGGGCACTTGTAATCCGAGCTACTTGGGAGGCTGAGGCAGGAGAATCGCTTGAACCCAGGAGGCGGAGGTTGCAGTGAGCCAAGACGGCACCACTGCACTCCAGCCTGGGTGACAGAGTGAGACTCTGTCTCAGAAAAAAAAAAAAAAAGAAAAAAATTATGATACAGAGAACAATGAGATGTTTTATAAATTTATAGTTCAAAAGAAACATTTTATTTTGGTAAAAGCCAAGAAGTGAAAGATAAATAGTTTTGCAGCCATAAAAAAAAAAAATTAAATCATGTCCTTTGCAGCAACATGGATGGAGCTGGAGGACAGAATCCTAAATGAATTAGCGTAGGAACAGAAAACCAAATGCCTAATGTTCTCACTTATAACGGAACTAAATATTGAGCACATATGGACATAAATATAGGAACAATAGACACTGAAGACTACTAGAAGGGGAGAGAGGGAGGGAGTGTGGGTTAAAAAATTACCTAATTGGTTCTATGACTACCTAGTGCAATATACCCATGTAACAAACCTGCACCTGTACCCCCTGTATCTAAAATAAAAGTTGGAATTTTAAAAAAAGAAAAAAAGGCCAGGCGCGGTGGCTCATGCCTGTAATCCCAGCACTTTGGGAGGCTGAGGTAGGCGGATCACCTGAGGCCAGGAGTTGGAGACCAGCCTGGCCAACATGGTGAAACCCCGTCTCTACTAAAAATGCAAAAATTAGCTGGGCGTGGTGTCAGCCGTTTGTAATCCCAGCTACTTGGGAGGCTGAGGCAGGAGAATTGCTTGAACCCGGGAGGCGGAGGTTGCAGTGAGCCGAGATCACGCCATTGCACTCCAGCCTGGGTGACACAAAGAGACTCTATCTGAAAAAAAGAGAAAGAAAATGTGCTCTTATGTAAGTGAGAAATGTTCTGAAAAAAGAAAAAAGAGAAATATTTTAAAATGAAAAATTTGAGCTTTTCCGTAAAAAAATTTTTAATGAATTCCCAGCACTTTGGGAGGCCTAGGTTGGAGGATTGCTTGAGGCTAGTTCAAGACCAGCCTGGAAAACATAGCAAGACCTCATCTCTAATTAAAGTAAACAATTAAAAAAAACTTAGCCTGGTATGATGGCATATGCCTGTAATCTCAGCTACTCAGGAGGCTGAGGTGGGAGGATTGTGGAAGCCCAGGAGTTTGAGGCTGCCGTGAGCTATGATCAGGTCTCTGCACTCCAGCCTGGGCAACAAAGCAAGACCCCATCTCAAAAAAAAAATATTCCTCGAGGCCAGGCACAGTGGCTCACACTTGTAATCCTAACACTTTGGGAGACTGAGGCAGGAGGATCACTTGAAGCTAGGAGTTTGAGGCCAGTCCGGGCAACATACTGAGACCCCTGTCTTTACAAAAGTAAATAAATGAATAAATTAGCTGGGCATGGTGATGCATGCTTCTTGTCCCAGCTTCTTGGAAGGCTGAGGTGGGAGGATCATGTGAGCCCAGGAGTTTGTGGTTACAGTGAGCTGTGATTGCACCACTAAACTCCAGCCTGGGTGACAGTGAGACCCTGTCTTTAACTTAAAAAAAAAAAAAAATCCTGGCTGGGAGCGGTGGCTCACGCCTGTAATTCCAGCACTTTGGGAGGCCGAGGTGGGCGGATCACGAGGTCAGGAGTTCAAGACCAGCCTGGCCAAGTTGGTGAAACCCCATCTCTACTAAAAATACAAAAAAATTAGCTGGGTGTAGTGGCGGGCACCTGTAATCCCAGCTACTCAGGAGGCTTGAACCTGGGAGGCAGAGGTTGCAGTGGGCCGAGATTGCATCACTGCACTCCAGCCTGGGTGACAGAGCAAGACTCTGTCTCAAAAAAAAAAAAAAAAAAAAAATTCCTGGAAGGAATGGTTGGTGGGTGGTATATAGACATGAACCCAGACCGTCTATGAACCGAGACCGTCTATGAACTGAAGCTAGATGATGGATACATACATGAAAGTTCATTTTACTATTCTCTCTACTTTACAATATGTTTGAAATTTTACAAAATAAAACTTAATCTGCAGAGAGATTGTATCAGGGTCTCTTGTTAATAGTCCAGTAGGGTATTTCTTTTCTTTTCTTTTCTTTTCTTTTTTTTTTTTTTCTGGAGACGGAGTTTTGTTCTTGTTGCCCAGGTTGGAGTGCAGTGGTGCAATCTCAGCTCACAGCAACCTCTGCCTCCCAGGTTCAAGCAATTCTCCTGCCTCAGCCTCCTGAGTAGGTGGGGTGACAAGTGCCTGCCAACACACCCGGCTAATTTTTGTATTTTTAGTAGAGACGGGATTTCACCATGTTGGTCAGGCTGGTCTCAAACTCCTGACCTCAGGTGATCCACCTGCCTTGGCCACCCAAAGTGCTGGGATTACAGGCGTGAGCCACTGGGCCTGGCCTTGAATAGGTATCATATGTACCCAGTGAAAACTACAAGGAGTAATAAAGGGGATTTGGTGAAAATTAAGTTGCCTTCTTTACCTCCCACCTCATTTTCCAGCCCCCAGTTCTCCCCAGAGGCAACTCTCCTATCCAGTTTTTTGTAAACTTTTCCAGTGAAATTATATACACACAGAGAGCATATGTGGCTACTATCCTCTTTCCCTCCTTTTTTTGCATAAATGGTGGCATCCCATACATACAGTTCTGAATGTCTATCTAGTTTAAAAGTGTATATTATATAACATATATATCTGGAGACATTCAGCTCTGTACACACAGATAAGCCTTAAGCTTGCAGAGACTGCGTAGTATTCAGTTGTCCCCATACCACAATGTGCTGTGTCTGTCCCCTATTAATGGACGTGGGAGTTTCCAAACATTTCCTCTTGGTAACAGTGAATGCTAAAGCAAATATCCTGGTACCTTTTATACCTGTAGGGTAGCCGATCTTCTCCTTTTGATGGTCCTAATTCTCAAAGGTAACCTTAAGGGGAGTGTATTTTGCTGTTGGTTCTGTGGATGACAGGTGACAAAACAGGGTGAGTAAGGCTACGAAATAGCTAATGAATTTGCCAAGCCAAACCTGAGGTTCCAGGCTGTCTTAAGTCAAAGCCTGAATTCCTCATACCACACTGGGGCTGGGGCCAGAGACGGGGCAGGAGGAGCTCTTCTCAGGTATAACCTTTCATTTGTGTTGGGCAGGAAAGCAAGGCATGAACGTATGTCTTTCTACTGGGCAAGTTCCCTCTTCACCCCTTGGCAGCACTGGAGGAGTGAGGGCAGGAGGATTCTCCCATGTGAGCCCCAGGCTATCCTTTTGTCAAGAGGGTACTGGTACCCAGAACTGGGAAGGGGATGAATATCTCCCCACTCCCCAGGATAAAGGAAAACATTAGAGAGGAATTTTCAATGAAAGGGCAGAGGAGGCTAGTGAGGCCCCCACTGCCACCAATGCTAAGCCCAGAGCTGGGGTTGGGGTGGTGAGGACCGGAGCCAGGGCAATTCAGCCATAGGCCACCCCTCCCCCTGGCCCATCCTCAGCTGACCCCTGAGCACCTGAGTTGTGTTTACCACCCTCTTACCTGGGTTACCCAGGGCAGCTCCCCTGATGGGTAGCAAGAAGTGGGTGATAACATGCACCATGCCCCCCACCAGCCCAAGGACAGTGGAGACCTCAGAGGGCTGAGGTAAGAGCTGCGGTGTGGGCAGATGGACACCCTGGTACACCCCAGGCCTGTGAGTCTTTAGAGGTTGAGTTTTTGTCTGAAAGAGATATGGCGCCTACAGGAGGTCAGGGACAGGCCTTCTGTTTCTTGGGAGGCCCTACCCCACCCCTTAGTTCCTCGTTCCATTCTCAGGAATTGTTTGTGCAATGGATGGACAAGGACAGGAGGTTCAGTGTCTAACCCAGTGTCTGGGCCTGCAGGGTGGCCTCTGAGGCCCAGGGCCCTGGAAGAGCCTGGGCATGGGGAGGAGCCCCATGGGGCAGGGCAAAACCCTTTCTGAGGCTCTAAGGGTGATGTATGTGGAGATTCCTCAAGATCATAGTTGGGCAATCACTTCAAAGTTAGTAGGCAGTGCCTGCTAGGATGGGGGATGGTGTGTGTACCGAGGAACTTAGCAGAGGCCTTTGTGTGGAAATGGGTGGGGTCTGACCCAATGTAAATATTTTTATTAAAAAAGAAATGGATGAGAAACCAAAGCCAATTCTGTTGCTGACCTGAAAGATGCTATTTACTTGGGGTGGAAATAGGATGGGGGAGGGCATTGGCTTGACCTTACTTGGATAGCTCATTGTTTAAAAAAAAAACTCCTGGATCCTTCCTCTGGGGAGCTTGAGACAAGTGCACAAGTAGCTAGAAGGTGGGAAATGGCGTGGACAGGTCTTGTAGGAGTCTGGAAGATGAGGGATTTGAGAAGGATGGAAAAGAAGGTGTTATGGGAGAGGGGGTGCCAAGAGGAAAGAGCCTAGGGGAGAGAGGGCTTGGAAATGCAAGGGGCTGGGGTAGACTTCAGGGATGCGCAAGGAGCTCCCAGCAGTCACTAAAGAGAAGACGTGAGGAAGAGGCACTACCACTTGGTGGCTATGAGTGTGGACCCAGGAGCCATGCTGCCTGGGTTTGAATCCCGGCTCTGCTGCTTAGTACCTGTATGAACCTGGGGCAGCTCACTTAACCTTTGTGTGCCTCAGTTCCCTCATCTGTAAAGTGGGAGTAACAACAGAACCTGTGTCATAAGCTTGCTGTGAGGATTAAGTGAGCACCTACATTTAAGACTTAAAAATACTGTCTGGCACTATGTCCTGCTAATATGAAGTCTTCCTCCCCCAGAAGCAGACCTGGAGACAAGGGTTCCAGTGCAGACAGTGCATTCTGGAGGTGATCGCAAGAAACATGGGTAGTGGAGTGTGATAGAGAAGGAAGGCAGTCAATGAAGGGTGTGTTATCAGGCAAATTTACCATTGTGGGTGAGTGGAGGTCAATCCCACTCAGGAACCCTGGAGTGGTGCAGAGTTATCCCATGGTCCAGGGTGAGGGAGCCCAGTATTTATACCAATCAGTCATTGGTTGAAGGCCTTAATTCTCTGTCATTTCCAGCTTTCTGTGCACAGATGGTGCAGGACACCAAAAACAATCCTTGGGTAGAGACAGAGATGCTGCAGCTGGAAGTCAGTGGAGCACCCCAGTGATAAGGCCCAAGGGATATGGTGGGGCAAGGACAGATCCACTAAAACCACCAAGAGGCTTGCAGAGCAATGCTGAATCCCCATCTAAAGTCACACATTAAGGCTGTGAACCAGGCCAAGCCAGACTAGTTTTCCAATTTGGGGGTTGACCTGCAGTTGCCATAGAAGGTTGAGGGGTGGCAGATCCTAGGATGACCGCGAAGTCCATGCCCAAGTGGCCAGACTGGATAAGGAGTAGACTGGCCACTAGAGTGGGGTCGGCCTCTGCTATATGCCACGTTTCCTCAGAAATTTTCAGCTGCAAGGTGCTGAGCTCTCCAGGGGAGAATAAGGCATCCTGAGAGGCCATCAGAGCATCATTTCTGATTTTTAAACTCTGATTAGGGGGCCTGGCACAGTGGCTCACACCTGTAATCCCAGCACTTTGGGAGGCAGAGGCAGGTGGATCACCTGAGGTCAGGAGTTTGAGACCAGCCTGACCAGCATGGTGAAACCCCATCTCTACTAAAAATACAAAAATTAGCTGGGCATGGTAGCACATGCCTGTAATCCCAGCTACTTGGGAGTCTGAGGCAGGAGAATCCCTTGAACCCAGGAGGTGGAGGTTGCAGTGAGCCGAGATCGTACTGCTTCACTCCAGCCTGGGCAACAAAGCAAGACTTTGTCTCAAAAACAAAAAACCAAAAAAACCAAAAGCAAAAATCCAACTCTGACTAGGAGATGAAGTACAGAATTGGGGTATTGGTTTTTTCTCTTTGGAATTGTACCCTTGGAAGCAGATATTAGAAGCCTAGAATTGATAAGAAGAAATTTGGACAAGATGGAAGAAGCTGGCAGGAGAGGCATGTCTGTTTTTTAGATATTATTCACCTGCTTCCCTCTACCTGGAGTGAAAACACGGTTACATTTGCTGGGCTTTTGAATGGTACAAGAAATAGAGAAGCCAAGGTCGCCCTCATCTGGTGGGGTCTACTGAAAAGCTAATCGGGAGTGCCGAGGGGAATAAAGGTCTGGCATCTTTAGCCCCACAGGTCAGGTCATGGTCCTTCCACATTCGACTGGGCCTCCTGGAGAGCTGACAGTGGACTATAACTGACTTTTTGCCAATGGAATATGAATGGAAGAGTGGGGTGGGAGGCAGACTTGATGGAGACCCTGTTTCAACCATGCAGACAAGGACAATTTCCAAAGGCATGAACCACAGATGGAAGGAAGCTGGAGGCCTGAAGGAGGCTGATGAGCAGCTCTGCCAGCCAGGGCCACACACGCCATCTCAGCCTTGTCTGCTTACCCTGAGCCTCTTATTTTGTTTTTATTTTTTTTTTGTTGAGATGGAGTCTTGCTCTGTCACCCAGGCTGGAGTGCAGTGGCACGATCTCCGCTCACTGCAAGCTCCATCTCCCGGGTTCACGCCATTCGCCTGCCTCAGCCTCCCGAGTAGCTGGGACTACAGGCGCCGCCACCACACCCAGCTAATTTTTTTTTTTTTGTAGTTTTAGTAGAGACAGGGTTTCACCATGTTAGCCAGGATGGTCTCGATCTCCTGACCTCGTGATCCGCCCGCCTCGGCCTCCCAAAGTGCTGGGATTACAGGCGTAAGCCACCGCACCCGGCCTCTGAGGCTCTTATTTATTTATTTTTTTTGAGATGGAGTCTCGCTCTGTCTCCCAGGCTGGAGTGCAGTAGCGCGATCTCAGCTCACTGCAAACTCTGCCTCCCGGGTTCCTGCCATTCTCCTGCCTCAGCCTCCCGAGTAGCTGGGACTACAGGCGCCTGCCACCGCGCCCGGCTAATTATTTGTATTTTTTAGTAGAGACGGGGTTTCACCGTGTTAGCCAGGATTGTCTCGATCTCCTGACCTTGTGATCCACCCGCCTCGGCCTCCCAAAGTGCTGGGATTACAGGCGTGAACCACCGCGCCCGGCCTCTGAGGCTCTTATTTGAAAGTGCAGCAAAATTCTATCTTATTTAAGTTACTGTATTTTAGGGTCTCTTTATTACAGAAGTTTAACGTGTATCCTAATAAACACACTTCTCTGAGTGTTGCCTTTGGCTCTCACATTGATTTCTTGCTAGGTATATCAGTTAGACATGGTTTGGCTTTGTTATAACCAAGCTAGAATAACAGCAGCTTAAATGGTCTGAGCATAAGTGGTCCAGGTCAATCCTATTAGCTCTACAGGATTGGAGAGCAGGGCCTCTTTAATTTTGTTTCTTTATCATCATCCACATGTGACTTCCATTTTGTGATCTAGGTGGCTGTTCCAGAGTCCACCATTCTGTCCACATTCCAGCTGGTGGGAAGGGAAGAAGTTTTATACATTGAGGAGTAAACACTTCTCCTTAAGAACATACTCTGTGGGCCCAGAAAACTTGGGAGTTTTATTACTTAAGCAGGAAGAGAGAATGAATTCTGCCACACTGTGCCAAGTTGATGTAGCTCAACAAATACTGGGAAAAACTCATGAAAGAAAGGCCCTTTCTTTTGAAGGCAGCTGTTACATATTAGTTTGATGGCTTTAAAAGGCACCCAAAGTTTAGTGATTTGAATGTTCAGTCAGGTTAGGCTTCATTACGTTCTGGTAACCAACAACCTAGAAATATTTGTTGCCATAGGAGGGCTTACAAAATATAGCCATCAGTCTCTCCTATTCTGATGTGCCTGCCCCTTTGCCGTGTGACTTTGCCATTCCTCCTATCAAGAGGTAAATTCTATGCCTCCAGTCTTAAATCTGGGCTGACCTTGTGATTTGCTTTGACCAATAGAATGTGGCAGAAGTGATGTTATGTGACTTTTGGGGCTAGGCCTCGAGAGACCTTGCAGCTTATGTTTTGGATTCCTCAGAAGTTGTCCTGAGACTGCCATGCTATGAGGGCTAGGGAGGAAGGACCTGCTGTCCTACTGTTAACTGAACTCAGCCCCTAGCTGACTGCCGCTGCATGGAAGATCAGCAGAAGAACCTTCTGGCCAATATGAGAAAGAATAAATCATTTTTAAATTTCCTACATATTGGGTGGGTACTTTTTTTCCTGCATTAGTAGAAATGCAATGAATTAAAATAACAAAGGTTTATTTTTTGGTCATATTACTTATCCACTGAGAGTCAGCCGAGTATTGCGCTTTTTTTTTCTTTTTTGAGACAGAGTCTCCCTATGTCACCCAGGCTGAAGTGCAGTGGTGTGATCTCGGCTCACTGCAATCTCTGCCTCCCGGGTTCAAGCGATTCTCCTACCTCAACCTCCTGAGCAGCTGGGATTACAGGCGTATGCCACCACGCCCAGCTAATTTTTGTATTTTTAGTAGAGATGGGGTTTCACCATGTTGGTCAGGCTGGTCTCTAACTCCTGAACTCAGGTGATCCCCCTGCCTCGGCCTCCCAAAGTGCTGGGATTACAGGTGTGAGCCACTGTGCCCGGCTGGTACTGTGCTTTCGATATCACCCAGGGATCTTGGCTGGTGGAGCAGCCACCATCTCAGACGTTACCATACAGAGGGGAAGAGCAGGGTGAAGACTACATTGAGCTTCCATCAGGAAGTGATACATATCACTTGTACTCACATCTTATTGGCTAAAACAAGTGGCTGGGGAAATCCTATCCTACCATGTGATTGAAAGAAGACAAGGCTACAGTATTTGTGAACATCCTTAAATACCCCCCACCTTTACGATAGTTTATTTCTCTCTTGTAACAATCTAAGTGGCTGTGCAGGGCTGGTATGACATCAACACTGTGTCAGACACCCAGGCTCCTCTGTCTGTTTGCTCTGTCATCCCCAGCATGTTGCCCTCATCCTCCTGGTGGAAGACGGATCTCCGCTAGGTTTATATTCCAGCCCATGAAAAGAAAAGGCACACTGCCTTTTTATTTTAGGGACATAACTTGGAAATGACATACATAAGTTCTACTAACATCCCATTAGCCAGAACCAAGTCACCTGGCTACCTAGCTGCAAGGGAAGCTAGGAAATATGGTCTTTAGCTGGGTGACTGTGTGTTCCCCTAACCATCTCTTACTGTGGAAGGAGGGAGAAAAGATACTTGAGGGGCAGGGGAGGCACTAGCAGCTCTGCCACAGCAGCCACTTTGGAGTCCCTAACACCAGGATGTCCTGATTTTCATGCACTTAGCCCTGTCCAAGGGGAGTCTCAATTTGTGTACTCTTTTTTTTTTTTTTGAGACAGAGTCTTGCTCTTGTCACCCAGGCTGGAATGCAGTGGCATGATCTTGGCTCACTGCAACCTCTGCCTCCCGGGTTCAAGTGATTCTCCTGCCTCAGCCTCCCGAGTAGCTGGGATTACAGGCCCCTGCCACCACACCCGGCTAATTTTTTGTAATTTTAGTAGAGACGGGGTTTCACCATGTTGGCCGGGCTGGTCTCAAATTCCTGACCTCATGATCCACCCGCCTCAGCCTCCCAAAATGCTGGGATTACAGGCGTGAGTCACTGTGCCCGGTCTTATTTTTTTTTTTTCTTTTTGAGATGTAGTCTTACTCTGTTGCCCAGGCTGGAGTGCAGTGGCACAATCTTGGCTCACTGCAACCTCCATCTTCTAGGTTCAATCAGTTCTCTAAGGACTCACTTATAAATCAAAAGGGTTTTTACGAACCTAAATGATCACTTCAGAGAGGTTTCATGTTCATTTTTTTATTGGTCTTATTTATTTTTACCCTACATTGTTCAAAAAGGTATTGAAAAGACTTCTGTGGGTCAGGGAGACTAACACACTAGCTTCAAGTTTCTTTGCTTCCTGCATTTCATACAAGTGTAGGTTATGATTTAAAGGCATATCCCAGCCCCCGCAAAAGTTTTATTCCTTTGAGTAACCAACCCCAAATGTATTTACTTTGCCAGTTGGGAATTTCATCTACTAGACTTTCCGTAAAAATGTTGTAAACATTTTTCCTGTCTCCAAAACTAAGTGTTGATTTCATTTTTTCCACCTAGATTATCTCTAGGGAAGGATTGTAGGGAATAAAAAAGTATTGTCAATCTTCCTATTTATCAAGAAGTTCTAAAAAAATTAGTTTCACCCCCCTCGGAAGTTTATCTTCAAGAAGACAGAACTGTTCTAGGCTCTCAGGAAGTAAAACCCACTTGGTACAACCCAAAAGAACACTAAAACTTTACTTAAATGAAATATTTTGCAATATCTTGGATGGTTTGTGGGTTTGTGTGCTTTAGACTATTGACTATTCACACAAGAGCAAGGTGCATGTGTGCACACACGAGCCCAAATATGTGTTTGCCTGCGTGTTTGTGAGCATGCGTGTATGGTGCACATGTGCACGCATGGGTGGGTGGAGCGTGGGGGCAGTACACAAAGCCTGTGGGGGAGATCTATTGACCCTATAGATATATTAGCATCAGGGAGACAGGGCAAAGGTTTCACCCTTCAGTTCAGTCCCCAATCCCTGCTTATTATTTCCCTAACAGAAGACCATCCCCCTTGCCACTCCCTGGTTTTTCTTCTCTGGCAGCAATGAAGCAGCTGCTGACCCAGCTCTAGTTTTCGGGAAGTCAGATGACCTTTTCCCTCCCGCGGCTCTCTACCTCTCGCCGCCCCTAGGGAGGACACCATGGGCCCACTGATGGTTCTTTTTTGCCTGCTGTTCCTGTACCCAGGTAGGAGGCAGGGAAGGGGGAACGTCAGGGTCCTGTGTGTGAGGTTGGTGCTCCCAGCTTGAATTCCCATGTGTGAAACAGTCTCTTTTGCTTTCCTTTTCTCATCTGTGTCTTCCTTCTTTCTCCATTGCTGTCTCCTTGTTCCCACGGCTCTAGGTCTGGCAGACTCGGCTCCCTCCTGCCCTCAGAACGTGAATATCTCGGGTGGCACCTTCACCCTCAGCCATGGCTGGGCTCCTGGGAGCCTTCTCACCTACTCCTGCCCCCAGGGCCTGTACCCATCCCCAGCATCACGGCTGTGCAAGAGCAGCGGACAGTGGCAGACCCCAGGAGCCACCCGGTCTCTGTCTAAGGCGGTCTGCAAACGTGAGGCTCCCTGTGGGCTTTGCTCAGGGTGCTACACCAGGGGCCACCCCAGAACTTTTGTTTAGGAGTTGCTCAGGGTGGGACTTAACCTGACTAGATGGCAAAGTTGCTTTTGCAGAGGGCTTTTCAAAATATCCAGAAAATGTCAATTGCCAGTAGCAAGGAATTGGGAACAGGTCTTGATGGAGACTGTGGGGTACTAAAGCCAGGGATGACTTTTTATGTACAATTGACTGCCTAGTAGTGACCATTCAGAACAGATGCTGAATGGTCCTGGAGTCCTCTAGACATCTGAGGATCCCAAGGGGAGTGTCTGGGGAGGCCACGGCCCTCAGGAGACTGAGGGAAGTGGCTATTTATCAATCAGTTCGCTTAGACTCTGTGAAATTGGCAATATTCAATCAGTTGCCAAAAACAGCAATTTCACATGTTGCAACCTAATATTTCAGTGTTTTGACAGCCAGTTGACCATTCCCATGCATTCCAGCATAAAATCACCTGCTTAATCCCCAGCCCAGGTGTTATCCATCCAGTCCTATATTCCCCACCCACTTCCTCTCTCTCCAGCTGTGCGCTGTCCAGCCCCTGTCTCCTTTGAGAATGGCATTTATACCCCACGGCTGGGGTCCTATCCCGTGGGTGGCAATGTGAGCTTCGAGTGTGAGGATGGCTTCATATTGCGGGGCTCGCCTGTGCGTCAGTGTCGCCCCAACGGCATGTGGGATGGAGAAACAGCTGTGTGTGATAATGGGGGTGAGTTCTCTGGCTGATGGGCTACACAGGGGGCTGGGGTCTCCTGGGGAACCCTGGGGCCCAATGTGCATCCAGGAAGCCTCTGTGGGGATAGGAGTCTGTTGTTCAGTGTGCCATAATAATATTCCTGGATTTTGGTAAATTGAGGTCTACAGGTCACACATCACAAGTCTGCAAGGGCCAGGCCCCAGGCAGCTGGTGCTAAGCTTCAGATGTAGCATAAAGCCTCCACACACTCTGCCTGGCTTTTCTAAGTGCCTCAAAGCAAGACTTCATATTCAGGCCCCACAGATTGTTGTAGGGAAGATATGCTGGGAGAGAGTCAAGTACTGTGCTTTAATGCCTTGCCTTTAAAGCCAGGTTTGGGTTCCAAGCCCTACTCTGACTTTGACAGACTTTGGGAAGGCTATTTAACCTTTCTAGCCCTCAGTTTTCCCATCTGTAAGACAAGGATAGTGAGTGCTGACCTGAGATTGCCATCTGGATTAAATGAGTTGACATTAGTAAGCATATACAACAGCCCTGGAGTGCGGTGGCTCACGCCTGTAATCCCAGCACTTTGGGAGGCCAAGGGGGGTGGATCACAAGGTCAGGAGTTTGAGACCAGCTTGGCCAACATGGTGAAACCCCGTCTCTAGTAAAAATACAAAAATTAGCCGGGTGCGGTGGCGCATGCCTGTAATACCAGCTATTCAGGAGGCTGAGGCAGGAGAATCATTTGAACCAGGAAGTGGAGATTGCAGTGAGCCGAGATTGCATCATTGCACTCCAGCCTGAGTGACAGAGTAAGACTCTGTCTCAAAAAAAAAAAAAAAAAAAAAAAATGCCAGCCTCGGTGCCTCACGCCTGTAATCCCAGCACTTTGGGAGGCTGAGGTGGGTGGATCACCTGAGGTCAGGAGATTGAGACCAGCCTGGTCAACGTGGTGAAACCTCGTCTATACTAAAAATACAAAAATTAGCTGGGCGTGGTTAATCCCAGCTACTCAGGAGGCTGAGGCAGGAGAATCACTTGAACCTGGGAGGCAGAGGTTGCAGTGAGCCGAGATCGTGCCACTGCACTCCAGCCTGGGTGACAGAGTGAGACTCTGTCTCAAAACAAACAAACAAACAAACAAACAAAAAACAAAAAAAACAGCCCCTGGAATCTGATAAATGCCATGTACACTTTTTTTTTTTTTTGAGACGGAGTCTAGCTCTTGTTGCCCAGGCTGGAGTGCAATGGCGCAATCTCAGCTCACCGCAACATCTGCCTCCCGGGTTCAAGTGACTCTCCTGCCTCAGCCTCCCAAGAAGCTGGGATTACAGGCATGCGCCACCATGCCTCGGTAATTTTCTATTCTTAGTAGGGACAGGGTTTCTCCATGTTGGCCAGGCTGGTCTCAAACTCCTGACCTCAGGGGATTCTGCCCACCTTGGCCTCCCAAAGTGCTGGGATTACAGGCGTGAGCCACGGCATCCGGCCTTGTTTTTGTTTCTTTAAGAGACAGGATCTCGCTGTGTTGCCAAGGCTGGCTTCAAACTCCTGAGCTCAAGTGATCTTCCTACCTCAGCCTCCTCAGTAGCTGGGAATGCAGGCATGTGCCACCACACCTGGCCATAAGCACTTTTGTCATAGTTATTGCTGCCCCTGTGAATGGTGAGGGGCTCTGCTTGGCAGAAGTAGGGCTCCTAGGATTCCCTGGAGCTGCATTTGCCTGTGGGTTTGGGAGCTTCTTGGATCATGGTTCTTAGCACATCATACAGAAGACACGGAGTCCACAAGATGGCAGGACCACCTTCACCTAGTGGCCCAGACCATGGATCCCCACTCATGCCCTTGGGTTTTGGCAAATGGCCATTTATTCTGTAGGAGGGTGAAGTAGATGCCTGGTAAGACTGTGATAAGTAATGCTTGAATTATTAGACGTGACTCTAACTTATTTTAAAATTGAGGCATAATTTACCTATTGTAAAATGTACAAATCTTAACTATTCAGCTCAATGATTTGTTACAATGCATCCACTCATCTAATCACCACCCAAGACAGAATGAGGTTCCCTCTTGTCCCCTCCCACAAGGTAACTGCTCTTCTGACCTCTGTCTCCATGGACTAGGTACCTTGTGCTTACATTTCCTGTAAATGGAATCATGCGGGATGTGGTCTGTTGCTTCTGGCATCCTTTGTTCTATATTCTGCCTGTGAGATTTATCCATGCTGTTGTGTGTATCAGTACTTTGTTCTTTTTTATTGCTGTGTAGTATTCCATTATATGGGTATATTACAATTTATCCATTCCCCTCCTGATGGACATTTGGATTATTTCCAGTTTGGGGCCATTAGGAGTAAAGCTCTAGGAACATTCTTTTTTTTTTTTTTTTTTTAATTGATCATTCTTGGGTGTTTCTCACAGAGGGGGATTTGGCAGGGTCACAGGACAATAGTGGAGGGAAGGTCAGCAGATAAACAAGTGAACAAAGGTCTCTGGTTTTCCTAGGCAGAGGACCCTGCGGCCTTCCGCAGTGTTTGTGTCCCTGGGTACTTGAGATTAGGGAGTGGTGATGACTCTTAAGGAGCATGCTGCCTTCAAGCATCTGTTTAACAAAGCACATCTTGCACCGCTCTTAATCCATTCAACCCTGAGTGGATACAGCACATGTTTCAGAGAGCACAGGGTTGGGGGTAAGGTCACCGATCAACAGGATCCCAAGGCAGAAGAATTTTTCTTAGTACAGAACAAAATGAAAAGTCTCCCAGGTCTACCTCTTTCTACACAGACACGGCAACCATCCGATTTCTCAATCTTTTCCCCACCTTTCCCCCCTTTCTATTCCACAAAACCGTCATTGTCATCATGGCCCCTTCTCAATGAGCTGTTGGGTACACCTCCCAGACGGGGTGGTGGCCGGGCAGAGGGGCTCCTCACTTTCCAGTAGGCGCGGCCGGGCAGAGGCGCCCCTCACCTCCCGGACAGGGCGGCTGGCCGGGCGGGGGGCTGACCCCCCCACCTCCCTCCCGGACGGCGCGGCTGGCCGGGCGGGGGGCTGATCCCCCCACCTCCCTCCCGGACGGGGCGGCTGGCCGGGCGGGGGGCTGACCCCCCCACCTCCCTCCCGGACAGAGTGGCTGGCCGGGCAGAGGGGCTCCTCACTTCCCAGCAGGGGCGGCCGGGCAGAGGCGCCCCTCACTTCCCGGATGGGGCGGCTGGCCGGGCGAGGGGCTGACCCCCCCACCTCCCTCCCGGACGGGGCGGCTGGCCGGGCAGAGTGGCTCCTCACTTCCCAGTAGGGGCGGCCGGGCAGAGGCGCCCCTCACTTCCCGGACGGGGCGGCTGGCCGGGCTGGGGGCTGACCCCCCCACCTCCCTCCCGGACGGGGCGGCTGGCCGGGCGGGGGGCTGACCCCCCCACCTCCCTCCCGGACCAGGTGGCTGCTGGGCGGAGGGGCTCCTCACTTCTCAGACAGGGCGGCTGCCGGGCGGAGGGGCTCCTCACTTCTCAGATGGAGCGGTTGCCAGGCAGAGGGTCTCCTCACTTCTCAGACGGGGCGGCCGGGCAGAGACGCTCCTCACATCCCGGATGGGGCGGCCGGGCAGAGGTGCTCCCCACATCTCAGACGATGGGCGGCAGGGCAGAGACGCTCCTCACTTCCCAGATGTGATGGCGGCCGGGAAGAGGCGCTCCTCACTTCCTAGATGGGATGGCGGCCGGGCAGAGACGCTCCTCACTTTCCAGACTGGGCAGCCAGGCAGAGGGGCTCCTCACATCCCAGACGATGGGTGGCCAGGCGGAGACGCTCCTCACTTCCCAGACGGGGTGGCGGCCGGGCAGAGGCTGCAATCTCGGCACTTTGGGAGGCCAAGGCAGGCTGCTGGGAGGTGGAGGTTGTAGCGAGCCAAGATCACGCCACTGCACTCCAGCCTGGGCATCATTGAGCACTGAGTGAACGAGACTCCGTCTGCAATCCCAGCACCTCGGGAGGCCGAGGCTGGTGGATCACTCGCGGTTAGGAGCTGGAGACCAGCCCGGCCAACACAGCGAAACCCCGTCTCCACTAACAAAATACGAAAACCAGTCAGGCGTGGCGGCGCGCGCCTGCAATCGCAGGCACTCGGCAAGCTGAGGCAGGAGAATCAGGCAGGGAGGTTGCAGTGAGCCGAGATGGCAGCAGTACCGTCCAGCTTCGGCTCGGCATCAGAGGGAGACCGTGGAAAGAGAGGGAGAGGGAGACCATGGGGAGAGGGTGAGGGAGAGGGAGCTCTAGGAACATTCTTGCATGTGATTTTGGTACATGTATGCACTTGCTTCTCTTGAGTAAATGATCTAAATGTGGAATTGTCACATCACAGGCTGGCATATGTTTAGTTGTAGTAGAGGCTGAGAAAGTTTCACCCACGTACATGCCAGCAAGGTAACAGAGTGCCAGTCGCTCTGCATCCTCTCCAACACTTGGAATTACCTGTTGTTTCAGTGTTAGCCGTTTTGATGGGTGTGTAGGGATGCCTCACTGTGGTTTATGAAATATAAATGTTCTCTGAAGGAGTGGAGGGACCATCAGCTGACTTCTTCCCTGGGTCTCTGGGGGCTCTGGGACAGACATGGGTGCATCCCTGGGTTGGAACTGGGAAGCTTCTGCTGGCAACTGAGGCCGCTGAGGAGGCAGAGCCTGATGGGAGGGGGCTACTCACCTCTGCCTTCCTTTGTTCACTCGCAGCTGGCCACTGCCCCAACCCAGGCATTTCACTGGGCGCAGTGCGGACAGGCTTCCGCTTTGGTCATGGGGACAAGGTCCGCTATCGCTGCTCCTCGAATCTTGTGCTCACGGGGTCTTCGGAGCGGGAGTGCCAGGGCAACGGGGTCTGGAGTGGAACGGAGCCCATCTGCCGCCGTGAGTAGCTGCCCTGCCCTCCTGAGATTCCTCGGCACACCCGGCCACTGCCCCGGCTGACTCCTGTGTGGCTCTCCCCACAGAACCCTACTCTTATGACTTCCCTGAGGACGTGGCCCCTGCCCTGGGCACTTCCTTCTCCCACATGCTTGGGGCCACCAATCCCACCCAGAAGACAAAGGGTGAGTGTTTGAGGTGGGGTTTCTGGTTGAGCAGGGTGCTGGATCTGGGCCGGAGCAAGGGAGGATGCAACCTTCCTGGAGGCCAGGAGCCTTGGTGGGCTCAGCCACTGAAAGGGAGGGAGGCAGAGAAGCTGGACCTGCTTGGCGAGAGCGCAGGAAGGAGGTGGGGATCTGAATCCTCCCCTTCCACATTTCTCCAGAAAGCCTGGGCCGTAAAATCCAAATCCAGCGCTCTGGTCATCTGAACCTCTACCTGCTCCTGGACTGTTCGCAGAGTGTGTCGGAAAATGACTTTCTCATCTTCAAGGAGAGCGCCTCCCTCATGGTGGACAGGGTCAGGAATCAGGAGTCTGCCTGCAGCAGAGGCCTTCCTGTGCTCACTATCTCTCTCTGTCTCCTTCCCCTCCTCAGAACCCCACTCACAGCCCACCTCCTCCAAGAAGTCTTCTCAGATTATACTCATGCCATGTAGGAATCATGAATTCAATTTATACAATCATAATTTTTATTCCACAAGCACTGTTGGGACACTGTGCTGGGGCTGGGCGACAGCAAAGATGGAAAGGCTGAGGTCTTACTTTCCAGGAATTCATCATCTAGAACAGTGGTCTCCACAGAAAGGTAGTGAGATAACCCACAGGAGTGAAGCAGAAAAATACTGGTGCCCCTGTGGAATAATTTAAATCAGATTAATAATTTAATATTTAATAATTTCCTTTTAAAACTTCAACATTTTGTGCAGGCTTTAAAATGTGTGTGATAGACTGGGCATGGTGGCTAGTGCCTGTAATCCCAACACTTTGGGAGGCCGAGGCAGGTGGATCACTTGAGGTCAGGAGTTTGAGACCAGCCTGACCAACATGATGAAACCCTGTCTATACTAAAAATACAAAATTAGCCACATGTGATGGCGCACGCCTGTAACCCAGCTACTTGGGAGGATGAGGCAGGAGAATCGCTTGGATCCGGGAGGTGGAGGTTGCAGTGGGCTGAGATCACGCCATTGCACTCCAGCCTGGGCAACTAGAGCAAAACTCTGTCTCAAAAAAATAAATAAAATAAAATAAAATAAAATAAAATATGTGTGATAGAAGTTTGGAAGCCACTGGTTTAAGTTCCTCGCCAGAACTTTGTTTTGTAATTGTGCTTTTCACAATACTTCATGTAACATTATAGATGGTTTTCCCTCCCAGCTACATTTTAAAGAGGGCAGTTTCTGTGCTCTCTTGGGACTCAAAATTAAGTAACTCATTGCACTGCGAGGCGGCAACACACACCAGTTGGAGCAGTGATTGAGAATCATGTGACACATTCAGATCCCACTTCCACCTCCTCCTCATGGTGTGATGGGGGAAGGGGGACAAGGCAACATACCTCAGTTTCCTTATCCATAAAATAGGGGTCATCATGCCCCTCACAGGGTGGAGTGAAGAGAGTCTGTCAAAGAGAAAGATGTTCAACAAAGGTTTCTTCCTTAGCTGCTGCTGTTCCTTATTTTTATTATTATTATTATTATTATTATTTTTGAGATAGAGTCTCTGTCACCCAGGCTGGAGTACAGTGGTGCGATCTCAGCTCACTGCAAACTTTGCCTCCTGGGTTCAAGTGATTCTTCTGCCTCAGCCTCCTGAGTAGCTGGGATTATAGGTGCTTGCCACCATACCAGGCTAATTTTTGTATTTTTAGTAGAGATGGGTTTTGCCATGTTGGTCAGGCTGGTCTCGAACTCCTGACCTCAGGTGATCCACCTGCCTAAAGTGTTGGGATTCAGGCATGAGCCACCGCGCCCAGCCCCTAGCTTCTTCCTAACAGCCATTTCCTAGTGTCTCCCCTGGTCCTTGCCTCTGTCGGTCTCACTCCAGTTTCTCTGCCTCCTCCAGGGCCCTTTGTTTGCTCTCTTACCATCTCCCCTTTGGCTTCAGGGCCCTTTACGCTGCCTCTCACTTGCCCCGCACAGATCTTCAGCTTTGAGATCAATGTGAGCGTTGCCATTATCACCTTTGCCTCAGAGCCCAAAGTCCTCATGTCTGTCCTGAACGACAACTCCCGGGATATGACTGAGGTGATCAGCAGCCTGGAAAATGCCAACTATAAAGGTACGGGTGTCATCACGTGATGGTGATGAGAGAGGAGAAGATGGACCCTCTCAGGGCCTGCAAACAAATTCTGGATGAGTTAAAAAGAGAGTGAGGCCTCTTGGTGGCACCTGAGTCCCACGAGTCTGGGGTAGTTTCAACGTCCAGGGTTATGGTGGGGGAGTCCAGCTGCCCCCAGCTCATAGCTCATTCTGAGATGCTGCAGGTCCAAAGACACTGTGCAGGTCTTCAATTCCTTCCAGTTGCCAAAACCACACTGTCTGGTTTGCATGGCTGCACACTGCCATCTCCCCATGTCATTAGCCACCCATACACCATGTAAAGTGCCTGGTTGGCACTTAGCAAATGGCTGAAGCCACTCAAGGTTTTGGAAACCTCATCTTTGAATCTTGGGACTTTAGTGTGGTCTTGGATTGGGGTTATGCAATGAACATTTCTTTTTTCTTCTTCTTTTTTTTTTTTTTGAGGTGGAGTCTCGCACTGTCACCCAGGCTTGAGTGCAGTGGCACGATCTTGGCTCACTGCAACCTCTGCCTCCAGGGTTCAGGCAATTCTCCTGCCTCAGCTTCCCGAGTAGCTGAGATTTCGGGCACCTGCCACCATGCCTGGCTAATTTTTTATATTTTTAGTTGAGATGGGGTTTCACTATGTTGGTCAGGCTGGTCTCGTGATCCTGACTTTGTGATCCGCCCACCTCAGCCTCCCAAAGTGCTGGGATTACAGGCGTGAACCACCTTGCCCGGCCCTATGCAATGAACATTTCTAAGGTGGAAAGGCTTTTAAAGTTTGAACAAGCAATGATGCCACATCTCTATCTGAATGGCAAATGTCTGAGTTTATCAAAACAATCGATAAATTGCATTTCCAGGCCGGGTGCAGTGGCTCATGCCTGTAGTAATCCCAGCACTTTGGGAGGCTGAGATGGGCGGATCACTTGAGGTCAGGAAACCAGCTTGGCCAACATGGTGAAACCCCATCTCTACTAAAAATACAAAAAATTAGCTGGGCATGGTGGCTGGCACCTGTAATCCCAGCTACTTGGGAGACTGAGGCATGAGAATCACTTGAACTGGGGAGGTGGAGGTTGCAGTCAGCCAAGATCACGCCACTATACTCTAGCCTGGGTGGCAGAGCGAGACTCTCTCAAAAAAAAAAAAAAAATTGCATTTCCAATAATTGGGGGAATAGAGTGATTCCCTACCCCTAGGTGGTAGGTGGGAAGTTTCTAAGAGAGTCCTTCCTTTTGGCATATTCCAGATCATGAAAATGGAACTGGGACTAACACCTATGCGGCCTTAAACAGTGTCTATCTCATGATGAACAACCAAATGCGACTCCTCGGCATGGAAACGATGGCCTGGCAGGAAATCCGACATGCCATCATCCTTCTGACAGATGGTGGGTATCATGGTCTCTGAGTGTGTCTGGAATAGTGGAAGGGGCACCAATATGGGGTCAGAAGCCCTGAATTCTGATTCTCCCTCTGCCTGCCACTTTGGGCCCCAGTTTTGTTTTTGTTTTTAGAGATGGGGCCTTGCTATGTTGCCCAGCTGATCTCAAACTCCTGGCTTCAAGCAATCCTCCTGCCTCAGCCTCCCAAAGTGCTGGGATTACAGGCATGAGCCACCACACCTGGCCCAGTTTCTTATTTATAAAATAGGGCCAGTGTGGTGGCTTATGCCTGTAGTCCCAGCACTTTGGGAGGCCAAAGCGGGTGGATCACTTGAGGTTAGGAGTTTGAGATCAGACTGGCTAACATGGTGAAACCCCGTCTCTACTAAAAATACAAAACCATTAGCTGGGTGTGGTGGCAGGCGCCTGTAATCCCAGCTACTTGGGAGGCTGAGGCAGGAGAATTGCTTGAACCTGGGAGGCAGAGGTTGCAGTGAGCCAAGATCATGCCACTGCACTCCAGCCTGGGTGACAGACCAAGATCCTACCTTGTCTCAAAATAAAATAAATAAATAAATAGAATTAGTGTTGATGATGATGACCGTAACCACAATGACAGCAATGATGATCATGATGGCTGTCCTCCTTTCCTTACACAATTTTTATGGAAAGCTATTTAAGTTGCCTGTGTGAAAGTGCTCTGTGTTAGCTCTTGTTACCATCTGGGAGGTAACTTGGAGATAGATGAGGAAACGTGGCTCTTGAGCAGGAATGTCGAAGGGCACGGATGCAAGGAACAGTCTGTAGTGGATCTGGCCTTGTCATTTGCCTCTTGCTATTGTCCAAATTACACAGTTCCTCCAGGACTTAGTATATAAAATGAGGATACCCACTCTACCTGGGGTTTCATGAGAATTAAATGAGTTAAAGTATAGGAAGCACCTGGCCTGGTGCCTGGAATGTAGAACATTTCAGTAAAAGTGTGTATATATATATATGTATGTATATATATATATATGTATACATACATATATATATATATATATTTATTTTTTTGAGACAGGGTCTCACTCTATTGCCCAGGCTGGACTACAGTGGTGCGATCTCGGCTCACTGCAACCTCTGCCTCCCAGGCTGAAGCAATTCTCGTGCCTCAGCCTCCAGAGTAGCTGGGACTACAGGCATGTGTCACCATGCCTGGCTAATTTTTATTTTTATTTTTTGAGATGGAGTTTCACTCTTGTTGCCCAGGCTGGAGTGCAATGGCGCGATTTCGGCTCACCGCAACCTCCGCCTCCCAGGTTCAAGCGATTCTCCTGCCTCCTGAGTAGCTGGGATTACAGGCATGTGCCACCACACCCGGCTAATTTTGTATATTTAGTAGAGGTGCGGTTTCTCCATGTTGGTCAAGCTGGTCTCAAACTCCCAACCTCAGGTGATCCACCTGCCTTGGCCTCCCAAAGTGCTGGGATTACAGGCATGAGCCACCATGCCCGGCCACACCTGGCTAATTTTTTGTGGTTTTAGTAGAGACAGGGTTTCACCATGTTGCCCAGGCTGGTCTGGAACTCCTGAGCTCAGGCAATCCGCCTTCTTCGGTCTCCCAAAGTGCTAGGATTACAGGTGTGAGCCACCATGCCCAGCCTAAAAGTATATTTTGAAGCTCTCACAGGCAATGTAAATGTTGAGGTTCCCAGGCTAAATGCTTTCCTACTCTTCCAGGGCCTGGGGAAATCCTGATATTACCTAGAAGAATTCTTTATTCTCTTTGTTCTAGGAAAGTCCAATATGGGTGGCTCTCCCAAGACAGCTGTTGACCATATCAGAGAGATCCTGAACATCAACCAGAAGAGGAATGACTATCTGGGTGAGCCCCTGCCACTGCCACCACATTTGTTCTGCTCCTGCAGAGGTCATGAGATCTTCAGCCAGGGATCCCAGCATCTTAGCTATGGTCCAGAGCCACATGGTTTTATTTCTGCGTTGTTCTGTACAAAGGCAACTCATGTTGAAGAGCCTGGGGTCAAACTACTGCCCATGGTCTCAACCTTACCTTCTTTTTTTTTTTTTTTTTTTTTAAGACAGTGTCTCACTGACACTCAGAGTATATTCCTGGAAAGATGTCCACCCATGCCGGCCCAGAAGCTGGTCCAGAAAGTAACGATGTCCACCATGCCACCATGAAGTGCAGTGGTGCAATCATAGCTTACTGCAGCCTCAAATTCCTGGTTTCAAGTGATCCCCTCAACTCAGCTTCCCAAAGTGGTAGGATTACAGGTATGAGCCACTATGCTCAGCCCGTCTTCACAAATTTTTTAAAATTAATTTTTAAATTTTTTTTGAGACAGAATCTTGCCGTGTTGCCCAGGCTGGAGTGCAGTGACTCGATCTCAACTCACTGCAACCTCCACGTCCTGGCTTCAAATGATTCTCCTGCCTCAGCCTCCAGAGTAGCTGGGATTACAGGTGTGTGCCACCATGCCCGGCTCATTTTTGCATTTTTAATAGAGACAGAGTTTCACCATGTTGGCAGTCTGGTGTCAAACCCCTGGCCTCAAGTGATCCGCCTGCCTTGGTCTCCCAAGGTGCTGGGATTACAGATAGGCGTGAGCCACTGTGCCTGGCCAATTTTTAATTTTTTAATTATTATTTTTAATCAACAGCTTTAGACAGAGAACCTTGGTTTCATCTTCAGTGGGCTGTGGCCATGGGCAGTTTCTTCATCTGCAAAAGGGGAGTAGTACTAGGACCCAGCTCACAAGCTGACAGGGGAAGATGCTCAGACAAACACTGCCTGCCTGGCATAGAAAAATGCCCAGCATATGTTAGCCATGACCACGACCGTCGTCGTTATCATCATCATCATCATCATAGCATCTCATGTTTCAGGAAACTTTCCAGGAAGAAGGGACCTCGATTCCCTCTGGGGAATGTCCCTGGTGGTTGCTCTTTCAGCAGCACAGCTGGCTAACTAAGGCTTTGGCAGTTGCAGCCTCTAAAGGAAAAATTCCTCAGGTTCAGACTAAACACAAATTGCACTGACCTTTGATCAGAAAGTAATTTCAGAGAGAGAGATGCTCAGACAGGGAGGGCAGCTGGTTTTGAGCCCCAACCTTTCATCTTCCCCTTAGCTCCTCTCCTTTCCATTCACACTGCCCCCTCCCCCATCACCTGGCCCTCGGGGGTAAGCTGATTCCTCTTTAAAACTCTGGCCCAAGGAAGACAAAATTTAAAGCCCACTCCCTTCCTCCTTAGCATCACTGGACCAAGGTCAAATGCTACAAAAACATTTTATTGAAAATAAGCAGGAAACCAAACGAAAATAGTCAAAGAAAACGCACAAGGCACGATCGTTGTCTAGCTCCAACTGTAACTGTTTCTATCTGGGCCATTGCCAGATTGCCTCCTGGCTGAAGATCTCTTGGTCCACCTAAGCACCTTGCTTTTTACACACAACGCGGGGCTCTCTGAGAACAAAAATGGGCCACAAGGGGTGCAAAGGCTGGGAGAGGAGTAGACTCTGTGGTCTGTCTGAGGGCAGTTCTGACTGGCACCACAGTCGGAGGACAGGCGCGGCCTGTTGTGTGGGTCCAGGGCCTCCAGTGGGAAAACGTGGCTTTAGGCCCTTCTCCCAGATGCTACCTTTTACAGAGGAAGACCAGATCTGAGGTTTAGTTTCCATGTTGTGTTCTGAGTTCTTTCTATTCATTCAGTCATTTAAAAGTACTTACCAAACTACCACAAACCTGGGTGGCTTAGAACACAGAATTTCTTTTTCTTACAGTTCTGGAGGTTAGAAGTCTGAAATCAAGGTGTTGGCAGGGCCGTGCTTCCTCAGAAGGCTCTTGGGAAGAATTCTTTCCTGCCTTTTCCGGCTGCCGGCAGCTCCAACCTTGGCTTGCGGCAGCATAAACCCATTCTCTGCCTCTGTCTTCAACTCGCCTTCTTTTCTGTGTGTGCCTCTGTGTCATTACATGCTGTTCTCTTATATAGATAGGAGACCCACTACCTGTGTCTTTGTGTCCAAATTCCTTTCTTCTTTTTCTGTTCATTTGTTTGAGACAGAGTCTCGCTCTGTCACCCAGAAGCCCAGGCTGCAGTGCAGTGGCGGGATCCCGGCTCACTGTAACCTCTGCCTCCTGGGTTCAGGTGATTCTCGTGCCTCAGTCTCCCAAGAAGCTGGGATTACAGGCATGTGCCACCATGCCCGGCAAATTTTTGTATTTTTAGTAGAGACATGGTCTCGCCATGTTGGCTAGGCTGGTCTTAAACTCCTGGCCTCAAGGCGATCTGCCTGCCTTCGCCTCAAAAAAACTGCCGGGATTACAGGCATGAGTCACCACCATGCCCAGCCAGTTCACTTTTTTTTTTTTTTTTTTTTTTGAGATGGAGTCTTGCTCTGTTGCCCAGGCTGGAGTGCAGTGGTGCAATCTCGGCTCACTGCAACATCCGCCTCCCGGTTCAAGCGATTCTCCTGCCTCAGCCTCCTGAGTAGCTGGGATTACAGGTGTGTGCCAGCATGTCTGGCTAATTTTTGTATTTTTAGTAGAGACAGGGTTTCACCATGTTGGTCAGGCTGGTCTTGAATTCCTGACCTCGTGATCTGCCCGCCTCAGCCTCCCAGAGTGCTGGGATTACAGGTGTGAGCCACCGTGCCCGGCTCACCTCTTCTTTTTTTTTTTTTGAGACGGGGTTTTGCTCTTGTTGCCCAGGCTGGAGTGCAATGGCGCGATCTTGGCTCACCACAACCACCGCCTCCTGGTGATTACAGGTGTGAGCCACCACGCCTGGCTCTGGCTTACCTCTTCTTATAAGGACCTCAGTCATTGGATTAGAGCTCACCCTAATCTAGTATGACTTAATCTTAACTTGATTACATCTGCAAAGACCCTTTTTCCAAATAAAGTCACAGATACTGGGGATTAGGACTCGAACACATCTTTCTGGGGGACACAATTCCACCATTACAGGGAATAAACAGGATAAGAAAACCATAGAACCCAGCAGGTGGTAGGTGACACAAGCTAAGGGGTGTTGCCATGTTGCCCAGGCTGGTCTCAAACTTCTGGCTTCAAGGGATCCTCCCACCTTGCCTCCCAAAGTGGGGATGAAAGTTTGTCTGGGGCATTGCAGTTTTAGACAGGAAGACCAGGGAAGGCCTCACTGAGAAGGTGACATTTGAGCCAAGACTTAAAAAGGTACGAAAGTGAGCCATGTGGAAGTCTGGGGGGGAGGAGTGAACTAGGCAGAGGCACAGCTGGGCAAAGGGCCTGAGGTGTGACCATGCCTATGGATTTGAGGAACTTCAAAGAGGCTGTGTGCTGCAGGAGAGTGAAGGGCAGGGAGTGGCAGGAAATGAAGGCAGACAGGTAGCAGTGGGGAGGACGCAGGGGTCCAGCTCATGTAGGTCTTGATTGGACACAGTGAGTTTCAGATGACAGCCTCCTGTCTCATGGGGTAGCCCCAAAGCCACAGGAGTCTGGTGATTTCCCTCTTCCCCACCAGACATCTATGCCATCGGGGTGGGCAAGCTGGATGTGGACTGGAGAGAACTGAATGAGCTAGGGTCCAAGAAGGATGGTGAGAGGCATGCCTTCATTCTGCAGGACACAAAGGCTCTGCACCAGGTCTTTGAACATATGCTGGGTGAGTGAGCTTTGCCCTCCTTGGTGTGGGGAGGATGGTGAGGAGCCCGCCAGAGGCCCGTGTTGGGAACCTGGACACAGTGCCCCTCACTTGCCTCCTTCCCCATCTGATCCTCACACCCACAGATGTCTCCAAGCTCACAGACACCATCTGCGGGGTGGGGAACATGTCAGCAAACGCCTCTGACCAGGAGAGGACACCCTGGCATGTCACTATTAAGGTACCAGGAAGGAGGGGCAGGGCTTGGATTCCAGAGGTAAAAGCGGCCATGGGCCAGACATACTGCAATCTCTGAAAATCACCTGTTCCCCTGCAGCCCAAGAGCCAAGAGACCTGCCGGGGGGCCCTCATCTCCGACCAATGGGTCCTGACAGCAGCTCATTGCTTCCGCGATGGCAACGACCACTCCCTGTGGAGGGTCAATGTGGGTAAGGCAGGGGATGCACCAGCCTCCTGATCCTGAAGCCACAGATCCTACCACCTCACCCAGCCTCTGGCCCCTGCAGGAGCCCTGGTCTAGCCTAATCTAGTGTATCATTTCCAGGAGACCCCAAATCCCAGTGGGGCAAAGAATTCCTTATTGAGAAGGCGGTGATCTCCCCAGGGTTTGATGTCTTTGCCAAAAAGAACCAGGGAATCCTGGAGTTCTATGGTGATGACATAGCTCTGCTGAAGCTGGCCCAGAAAGTAAAGATGTCCACCCATGCCAGGTGCCTGGAGTCTGGGATGGGAGGGTGCCCTGCAGGGAAGAGTGCTCTGGAGATCCCTGGAAGAGATACTGGGGACAGGCTGGTGTGACCCTTGCTCTTCTCCCCAGGCCCATCTGCCTTCCCTGCACGATGGAGGCCAATCTGGCTCTGCGGAGACCTCAAGGCAGCACCTGTAGGGACCATGGTGAGTGCTGGGACTTATGGTGCTTGAGAGCTGGGGCCGGGGTTTGGGGGTGATAACAAGGACTAGGCTGCAGTCCCCAAGCCAGGAACCTGGATTCTGGGTAAAAGGACCAGCACCAACATCCCCTTCTCTTGACTATAGAGAATGAACTGCTGAACAAACAGAGTGTTCCTGCTCATTTTGTCGCCTTGAATGGGAGCAAACTGAACATTAACCTTAAGATGGGAGTGGAGGTGAGGGTCTCAGGTTGGGGATGCTGGGATCCCCCTGTGACAGCTCCCAGAATGTCTCTCTTCCTTCTCCAGGTCTGGCTGCTTTCTCTCTCTGACGCGGGTCACCCCTCCTCCCAAGCCTCACAAACCTGCTAGGTGTCCCTGGGTCTGCTTATTCTTTTTTTGTTGTTATTGAGATGGAGTCTTGCTCTGTCTCCCAGGCTGGAGTGCAGTGGCACGACCTCAGCTCACTGCAACTTCTGCCTCCTGGGTTCAAGCGATTCTCCTACTTCAGCCTCCCGAGTAGCTGAGATTACAGGTGCCCACCACCACACCAGCTAATTTTTGTATTTTTAGTAGAGACGGGATTTCGCCATGTTGGCCAGGATGGTCTTGAACTCCTGACCTCAAGTGATCTGCCTGCCTCAACCTCCCAAAGTGCTGAGATTACAGGCGTGAGCCACTGCACCCACCCGGGTCTGCTTATTCTACCCTTCTCTCTGGTTCCACCCCTGCTGCAGTGGACAAGCTGTGCCGAGGTTGTCTCCCAAGAAAAAACCATGTTCCCCAACTTGACAGATGTCAGGGAGGTGGTGACAGACCAGTTCCTATGCAGTGGGACCCAGGAGGATGAGAGTCCCTGCAAGGGTGAGTCCCTCACCATGCCTGGATTCCCAAGGGGAAGGCCACCTGTGTCTCTGTGGCCAGCATGCATGCCAGAACACCAGTCCACTGCCCTAGATGACACTGTCTCCTGTCACCCTTTGCTGGCAGGAGAATCTGGGGGAGCAGTTTTCCTTGAGCGGAGATTCAGGTTTTTTCAGGTGAGAAGGTAGAAGCTTGCAGGACCCAGGGGTTACAGGATCTCAGCCTTGTTGGGGGGATGAGGGAGGCCTTTGAGGGATCTAGGGAGGTTGGGGCTTACAGTTGGGGCTGTGGCAGCCTCCCAGCCAGTTCTCTCCTTTTCTCCAGGTGGGTCTGGTGAGCTGGGGTCTTTACAACCCCTGCCTTGGCTCTGCTGACAAAAACTCCCGCAAAAGGGCCCCTCGTAGCAAGGTCCCGCCGCCACGAGACTTTCACATCAATCTCTTCCGCATGCAGCCCTGGCTGAGGCAGCACCTGGGGGATGTCCTGAATTTTTTACCCCTCTAGCCATGGCCACTGAGCCCTCTGCTGCCCTGCCAGAATCTGCCGCCCCTCCATCTTCTACCTCTGAATGGCCACCCTTAGACCCTGTGATCCATCCTCTCTCCTAGCTGAGTAAATCCGGGTCTCTAGGATGCCAGAGGCAGCGCACACAAGCTGGGAAATCCTCAGGGCTCCTACCAGCAGGACTGCCTCGCTGCCCCACCTCCCGCTCCTTGGCCTGTCCCCAGATTCCTTCCCTGGTTGACTTGACTCATGCTTGTTTCACTTTCACATGGAATTTCCCAGTTATGAAATTAATAAAAATCAATGGTTTCCACATCTCTCAGTGCCTCTATCTGGAGGCCAGGTAGGGCTGGCCTTGGGGGAGGGGGAGGCCAGAATGACTCCAAGAGCTACAGGAAGGCAGGTCAGAGACCCCACTGGACAAACAGTGGCTGGACTCTGCACCATAACACACAATCAACAGGGGAGTGAGCTGGATCCTTATTTCTGGTCCCTAAGTGGGTGGTTTGGGCTTACTGGGGAGGAGCTAAGGCCGGAGAGGAGGTACTGAAGGGGAGAGTCCTGGACCTTTGGCAGCAAAGGGTGGGACTTCTGCAGTTTCTGTTTCCTTGACTGGCAGCTCAGCGGGGCCCTCCCGCTTGGATGTTCCGGGAAAGTGATGTGGGTAGGACAGGCGGGGCGAGCCGCAGGTGCCAGAACACAGATTGTATAAAAGGCTGGGGGCTGGTGGGGAGCAGGGGAAGGGAATGTGACCAGGTCTAGGTCTGGAGTTTCAGCTTGGACACTGAGCCAAGCAGACAAGCAAAGCAAGCCAGGACACACCATCCTGCCCCAGGCCCAGCTTCTCTCCTGCCTTCCAACGCCATGGGGAGCAATCTCAGCCCCCAACTCTGCCTGATGCCCTTTATCTTGGGCCTCTTGTCTGGAGGTAAGCGAGGGTAACCTTCCCTTCCTGCTGTCTCCAGCATCCCTCCTTGGCCTTTTGGGGCCAGGCTTCATCAGCCTTTCTCTTCAGGTGTGACCACCACTCCATGGTCTTTGGCCCGGCCCCAGGGATCCTGCTCTCTGGAGGGGGTAGAGATCAAAGGCGGCTCCTTCCGACTTCTCCAAGAGGGCCAGGCACTGGAGTACGTGTGTCCTTCTGGCTTCTACCCGTACCCTGTGCAGACACGTACCTGCAGATCTACGGGGTCCTGGAGCACCCTGAAGACTCAAGACCAAAAGACTGTCAGGAAGGCAGAGTGCAGAGGTTTGAGGGCAATGAGTGTGGGCAGTGGCCTAAGGCAGAAACAGGGCAGGCGGCAGCAAGGTCAGGACTAGGATGAGACTAGGCAGGGTGACAAGGTGGGCTGACCGGGAGTAGGAGCAGTTTTAGGGTGGCAGGCGGAAAGGGGGCAAGAAAAAGCGGAGTTAACCCTTACTAAGCATTTACCCTGGGCTTCCAGGCAGCCCTGGAAGTCAAGAGAACACTCAGAAATGGGGAGGGAGAAGCAGTGGAAATCCATATGGGTTGAGGAGTAGGTAAGATGCTGCTTCTGCGGGACTGGGAATGCGCTGTTTCTCAGTGACATGGTCTCCGAGACCAGGAGGGATACACCTAAGGCAGCCTTTCCCTCTTGATGACTTCTACTTGTCCCCCCTTCTCAAAGCAATCCACTGTCCAAGACCACACGACTTCGAGAACGGGGAATACTGGCCCCGGTCTCCCTACTACAATGTGAGTGATGAGATCTCTTTCCACTGCTATGACGGTTACACTCTCCGGGGCTCTGCCAATCGCACCTGCCAAGTGAATGGCCGATGGAGTGGGCAGACAGCGATCTGTGACAACGGAGGTGAGAAGCATCCCCTCCCCCTACATTGCTGTCTCCCTGACGGCGCCCAGCCCGAGGAGTGGGCACTCGGCTCCGGACACTGTAACTCTTGCTCTCTACCTTGCTCACGGGGCCTCAGGCTTCAGTGCTTACCTCGATGTCTCATACCTCTGCAGCGGGGTACTGCTCCAACCCGGGCATCCCCATTGGCACAAGGAAGGTGGGCAGCCAGTACCGCCTTGAAGACAGCGTCACCTACCACTGCAGCCGGGGGCTTACCCTGCGTGGCTCCCAGCGGCGAACGTGTCAGGAAGGTGGCTCTTGGAGCGGGACGGAGCCTTCCTGCCAAGGTGACCTTTGACCTGTACCCCCAGGTCAGATCCTGGTCTTCCATCCTACTGTCTTCTCTCCCCACCTCAACCCTGCTCTTTCCTCACTTTGTTTAAACCTCCCTGTACAACTATCTCACTTCTGAGCCTTTTATACCCTGGAAACCCATGATCCCCCGTCTCTTTGGTCACTGTATCCCTGACACTCCCAGACATTTGACCTCATTTCTGACTCTCCCAGACTCCTTCATGTACGACACCCCTCAAGAGGTGGCCGAAGCTTTCCTGTCTTCCCTGACAGAGACCATAGAAGGAGTCGATGCTGAGGATGGGCACGGCCCAGGTTTGAAGACAGAGAAGGGAGGCAGGGCAGGGAACTGGGGGAAAATGGAGAAGGGACAGAACTGTTAATGCTGGAGCCTGAGCCACTCTCCTGGCACCCAGGGGAACAACAGAAGCGGAAGATCGTCCTGGACCCTTCAGGCTCCATGAACATCTACCTGGTGCTAGATGGATCAGACAGCATTGGGGCCAGCAACTTCACAGGAGCCAAAAAGTGTCTAGTCAACTTAATTGAGAAGGTGGAATCCTCCTATCCCTGAACTCGGGGGAATGGAATCTCGCTGATCTTCCAGGACTAGCTCCCTGATCATTCCAGCCCCTCTGAACAACAGGGCCCCAGGAAAATCTCCAGGTCCTATTCTGTCCTCCTTCCCTTTTACTTGAAGCAGTTTCTTGACTGGTAATTCCTCCATGAACCTCAGCCCTTGAGCCTCTTACTGAGAGCCTCCCTGTCCCAGCAAAGTCGCTGAAATCTCCCAATCACAGTATTCTATTTTCAATGCCATGGCGCCTTGTTCTCCTCACCCACAGGTGGCAAGTTATGGTGTGAAGCCAAGATATGGTCTAGTGACATATGCCACATACCCCAAAATTTGGGTCAAAGTGTCTGAAGCAGACAGCAGTAATGCAGACTGGGTCACGAAGCAGCTCAATGAAATCAATTATGAAGGTCAGAGGTTAGGGAATGGTGGGAGGTTCACTTTGGGGTCAGGAGGTTCAGGGTGGAGGGGGTCATGAGACTACCTTGAGGGCGACAGGGAGGACCACTTTGTAGTCAAAAGTTGAACAGCAGGATCGTTGGGCAATGGAGGTTAGTGGGAACCTGTTGGGGGCTGGAAGGGCCACTTTGTGGTCAAAGGGAAGTCCGTGTAATGATGATTAACTTAAAAAGTTGAAAGATGTGGGATTTCAGTTGCAGATTGGTCTCTGGGGTTAAAAGATGGCTTGGAAGACCAGGTGAGGTGATGGTCTCTTCCCTCTCCACAGACCACAAGTTGAAGTCAGGGACTAACACCAAGAAGGCCCTCCAGGCAGTGTACAGCATGATGAGCTGGCCAGATGACGTCCCTCCTGAAGGCTGGAACCGCACCCGCCATGTCATCATCCTCATGACTGATGGTCAGAAGGGACCTCTCTCCTGTCCCAGCCTCCCCACCTTCTCAGACCAGCATGTGGCCCTTAAGTCCACTTGTAACACTATACCCATGGTTGGGGCCCTGAATGTGACTCATAGCTGGCTGTTCATCTCTCCTGTGACCCTTCATAAGGAATTCTTCCTAAGCCCTGTGATCAACTATCTCTAACCCTTCCTCAACTTGCTCACCCTGCCATGTGTATCCCTGCCTTTAGCCAGTTTATCTTCCTTATCTCCTACCCTCATGGTCCTGTCTCTTCTGCAGGATTGCACAACATGGGCGGGGACCCAATTACTGTCATTGATGAGATCCGGGACTTGCTATACATTGGCAAGGATCGCAAAAACCCAAGGGAGGATTATCTGGGTGAGTAACCTGCCTAGGACCCAGCACCCCACTTCCTCAGGGCTTGGACCCTCATCCTTCCTTTTTATCCCTCAGATGTCTATGTGTTTGGGGTCGGGCCTTTGGTGAACCAAGTGAACATCAATGCTTTGGCTTCCAAGAAAGACAATGAGCAACATGTGTTCAAAGTCAAGGATATGGAAAACCTGGAAGATGTTTTCTACCAAATGATCGGTAGGGAGATACAAGGGAATAAAGAACACAACTCTCCTCAGGTTCCCCTGAAGTAATTCATTCTTCCTCTACACCTGAAGCTCTAGTTGCCTGGAAAGCCTTCTTCATTCCTCCTTCTCTACCTCAGTGTCACTATTCTTGTTTCCTGGCACTGTTCACTTAACCTTAGAATCACAGAGCTCTGAGCACTTCAGAGATCTTTCTATAGTCCTACATTTGACACGTGGAAACAGAAGCCAAAGGAGGTCAAGGGACAGCAAGTTAGCAACAAGGGTGGGCTTGAAAACAGCCAGGCCTCTGACAGCTTGATCCCAAGTTCTTTCCCTTTTCAGTCCACCATAGCAGTTTTCTCCTAACACGAGGAAACAAATACCCGTGGTCTTTCCCTTTCTCCTTTTGGGCCTTTGCTCCCCATAGACTCCTACCCAAAAGGCTGCTGCCATTTGGGAATGAAGTGTTCCGAGTTTTCAGCACATTCTCCTTCTCTGCCAGATGAAAGCCAGTCTCTGAGTCTCTGTGGCATGGTTTGGGAACACAGGAAGGGTACCGATTACCACAAGCAACCATGGCAGGCCAAGATCTCAGTCATTGTAAGCACAGAATCCCAGTAGTGGGGACTTGGGGGAGGTGAGGTCAAGGTGAAATGGGAGTAGGGGAAGGAAAAAATGGCCATAAGAGATGGTGGTTTGTGAAAGTTGAGCTTTCCCTCTCTACTGTTGTGTCCCCAGCGCCCTTCAAAGGGACACGAGAGCTGTATGGGGGCTGTGGTGTCTGAGTACTTTGTGCTGACAGCAGCACATTGTTTCACTGTGGATGACAAGGAACACTCAATCAAGGTCAGCGTAGGTAAGGATGCAACTGAAGGTCCTGGGCTGCACCTATGCTCTCCAGGCAACACCTCCCACTTTCTACAGATCCTACACTCCACCCATCCTCAATGCAGCCCCATTCCTTGCACCCCAGACCAGTCAGGGATGGGGGAAGACGTGAAGTTAGGAATGACACGGGGCCAGAGGCAGGAAGCTGCCCACAAAGAGGTGGTACCTACTCTCCTACTTCAGGAGGGGAGAAGCGGGACCTGGAGATAGAAGTAGTCCTATTTCACCCCAACTACAACATTAATGGGAAAAAAGAAGCAGGAATTCCTGAATTTTATGACTATGACGTTGCCCTGATCAAGCTCAAGAATAAGCTGAAATATGGCCAGACTATCAGGTGAGAGCGTCCAGATCCCTGAGGAAAGGCTGGGAAAGGCTGGAGGACTGGGGTGAGGAGCAGGCCTGGTTTGCTGTTCTCCTTGTCCTTTATAGGCCCATTTGTCTCCCCTGCACCGAGGGAACAACTCGAGCTTTGAGGCTTCCTCCAACTACCACTTGCCAGCAACAAAGTAAGACATACTTGGCAAGAGGATAAGGATGAGATCCCAAGAGACAAGTGGGGCATGAGAGGGAGGTGCAATAGGAAGAGATGATGCCTGGCCCAGAACCTAGCTCTAGAAGGGCTTAGGGGACATCTACTGAGTGACAAAGGCAATGGGGAGATGACAGTGGTGGGAGCAGCTGAAGTGACGCAGTCTATTCGTCCAGAGGAAGAGCTGCTCCCTGCACAGGATATCAAAGCTCTGTTTGTGTCTGAGGAGGAGAAAAAGCTGACTCGGAAGGAGGTCTACATCAAGAATGGGGATAAGGTGAGAAACGGGCATCCTAAGGAGGCACTCTAGGCCCCAATCCTTCCTAAGCCACTTCTGTTCATTACTTCTCCATGCTTCCCACCTCCCCTACAGAAAGGCAGCTGTGAGAGAGATGCTCAATATGCCCCAGGCTATGACAAAGTCAAGGACATCTCAGAGGTGGTCACCCCTCGGTTCCTTTGTACTGGAGGAGTGAGTCCCTATGCTGACCCCAATACTTGCAGAGGTGAGAGAATGCTCTTTGGTTGTGCTACAAGTGCCCAAGGCCCAACAGTCCTTTTCTCTACAGCTTCTCCTCTCCTTGCAGGTGATTCTGGCGGCCCCTTGATAGTTCACAAGAGAAGTCGTTTCATTCAAGTGAGTCCTCCCTTTCCTATCTGGGGAGATGCCAAGTGGTCAGCATGGGCCCCAAAGCAGGAAAGCTCAATGCATGTGGCTAGTAATTCGAGGTAGGCAGAGCCTGCCTCACCTTAGGACCGCATGTCTTGCCTGCGTGTGTCAAGAACGAGGCTGAGCTGGGTCCCTAGTCTGATTCCTTTAGGTCAGCTAAGACACAAGCAGGAACAGCCATGCTTCCAGGATTAGGAATTCTACTGAATGATCCATGGCACCCCACTGCCTCTGCAGGTTGGTGTAATCAGCTGGGGAGTAGTGGATGTCTGCAAAAACCAGAAGCGGCAAAAGCAGGTACCTGCTCACGCCCGAGACTTTCACATCAACCTCTTTCAAGTGCTGCCCTGGCTGAAGGAGAAACTCCAAGATGAGGATTTGGGTTTTCTATAAGGGGTTTCCTGCTGGACAGGGGCGTGGGATTGAATTAAAACAGCTGCGACAACACCTGTGTTCCAGATCCTTTTGGGGCAAGGGAGTGGGGAACAGGCACTGGCCATGTTGTTACACTGAGATCAAACCTGACAGCCGTTTTTAAAGGTTTAACCCCAATCCCAAGTGCTGAAAAACCAGAGGCTGAGGGAGATGTGTAAGCTTCCACCTCAGTGTTTTACTGAGACCAGCATTGGGGCATATGAGGCACAAGGAATCCAGCTCTGTTCCCTAGAAGCCATCCACAAGGTTTTCCTTGTAGACGTCATCACTGTAGACAATCTGGGTCCTCTTGTCCCGGTGGCAACCCTTAGGGCTGTTCTGGACAGCTAGGGAGGGAGGAGAGGAACAGTTAAGGTCTAAAGGAGATCATAGAACAGACCCTGAGGCTGACTCCTGACCACCTCACTCCTGGCCACTGGCCCCTGGAAGCCCAGTTTCCACGCTGCCCTCTGGTGGCCAGGATGGCCTGTCTTCCTTAGCTCCTTTGTGCCAACCCATGGCCAAGAAAAGTATAAGTGGACATTTTGATGAATGTTTTGTTCTTAGAAAAATCCCAAATGTCATTGTTGAGACACGTGAATGATATTAACCCACTACTTACAGTCAGTATGTCAGAAGCTAAAAACTAGAAAACCTCTGTAGCCCTTTTTTGACATGCTGGTCAATTCTAGTTCCTTTCTTTTGCCTGAAGGGCCACTGTAGCTGAGCCCTTCTTTCTGCTCACTCCTTTCCCAGGAAAATCTACTTTCAGGGAAAATGGATTATTCACACTAAGAAATGCTACTAGCTCCACCAGAACTCATTCAGGGTGTAGCTTTGGCCCTCACCATTCTCTCTCAAGCCTCTAGCTGTTTCTTCCCCTTCCTCTTTCCTCCCTCCACCAGACATGTTACTCTCTTCACCCCATCCAATGGTTCCATCCCCACCACCCTTGAGCTACAGAGAATCTCTCTCACCCACTCCCATCCTGTGATCTCTGTGCCTCAACACTGCTGGCTACTCCCTCTTTCTCAAAGTGTGTGTCCTTTTGCTTCAGTGGCCCAGGCCCCTGCGGTGCTGCTCCCAGCCCTCCGACCCCTCCTCCTGTCTCCTTTGCTAACGTTAGGCTCAACGTTAGCCTAACATGTCAGGACAGCTGGGGACATGTGGGGTGTGAGGTGAACAGTCCTGTTTCCTAACATAGTCCCAGAGTACTCCTCAAACTGAGTCCTGGGTCGTTTTTTTTTCTCTGAAATCAGAGTCTCCCTGATGATCCTATTGTTTGGCAGCCACCCTGTGATGTGGATGACTTAATCTATGTTTTCCTTCCTTACCTCACACCTGAGTTCCAGATCCCTGATTTCGAATACTTATGAAACTCACTCTACTCCATCTCAAAATGAACAAGCCCCATGAGACACTCATCTTCCTCACCAATCTCACTCCAGCTCCCACTTTCTTCCCTGTTCCAGTCACTGCTTTGGAAGCTGTTTTCAATCCTTTTCTCTCCTTTCTTTACCTCTAACTGACAGAGGATCTGAAATTTTCCTTCCCATTCCCATAGCCTCCGCACACACTCTGACCTCGATCATCTCTAGGAAACCCAAGGATGTGTGGGGGAACCAAAAGGAATGGCCTGTGGGGGAGAGGATGGGAAAGGAAGAATCCCATTCTTACCGAGGGAGCCCCAGACAGACTTGCCAGTAGCGGCATCCAGCATGGGCTGTTTTCGGGCTATGTTGACTTTGAGCTGTACAGACTCCACCTGGGTCCCGTTGAGCTGAAGCAGAAGAGGGGAGGCAGAGGATGGGGAGGAAAACATTACAGATAAACCAAAGAAGTTATTCCAGGAGTTGCTATCCTAGGAGGAGACTGAATAAGGAATCTGAGAATGTGAGTTTTTCTGTGTGAATAGGGAGAGGCTTTCTTTATCAAGAGGAACCAACTTCTTCCTGGCATCTAGTATTTTGAGGAGAACACATGAGAACAGCAGAAGCGATGGGAAGAACAGATTTGGGAAGTTCCAACCTCAGCAACGGCCTGATCTGCTGACTCCATCTTTTCATAGGTGACGAAGGCACAGCTGGGATAAGAGAAAACACGGTCAGTGGAGAGCCAAGGGGCTCTTCTGGACCCAACCAAACCCAGTGATAATAGGCGGCTGCAGGGAGGGCAGCTTCTTCCCTCAGGTCTCACACCCCAGGATTCTCCCAGGACTTCTCATCATGCCCTGTTGTCATCCTTACTTTCTGGGTGGGTCCATGGAGAGGTCAATGATGTTTCCAAAAGGAGAGAAGGCCCCACGGAGAAGGGTGGGTGTCATGTCTTCTCCATATACATAGAGAGTATTCCCTTTCCTAGGGGCTCGCCGTTCAGGGAATGAATCCGACCCTTTGGGAGCACAAATCATAGTCACAAGACATAGACCATGCCACATTTCACTTAGTAGGACCCACATAAACCTCAGTTAAGGTCACCTTGACCTCCAGCCAAAATCACTCACTGCGGAAAGGACCCTCTCGGTCTCGGTCTCGATCCCGCTCCCGATCCCTGTCCCGTTCCCGGTCTCGATCTCGATCCCGATCCCGATCCCTGTCCCGCTCTCTGTCTCTGTCTCGATCCCGGTCTCGATCCCGCTCCCGATCTCGGTCTCTGTCCCGGTTCCTCTCATGGCTGCGGTCCCGGCTGCGGCTTCGGGGAGGGGAGGCTGAGGAGTGGGCACCACTGCGTTCTTCATAGCCCCAGTCAAAGCTTCGAGGGGGACCATCACCAGCCCCTGGGCCCTCTGCCTCTTCTCCATCTGGTCCTAGTTCTCGAAGTCGATCACTAGAAGACACAAAGCTGGGGAGATGCAGACTGAAGATCAAAGGGGGGTTTTACCTTCTCCCCTCAGACCCTGTGGAGACTCAATATTCCCTCTATAGCCCAGCTCCTACAGCCCAAACCTCCCAAGGACTCAGGCAATCAACTCCACCAAATGGGCCCAGCCTTATCTCTACTCTCTAACCTCTCATACAGAGATTTCCTCTGGGGACGTCTGGATGACTGTAAAAGAGACCAAGAACAGTTAAGATGATTTCCAGTTGCTGACATGTGGTCCAAAATATATTTGTCTCTCATATTCCTCCATCCCCAACCCCTCAGGGACAGAAATTAGGAGCCTTTACCTCTTGCAGGTCATCATCAGCAGATATGCTCCTCTGGAACGGCTGGAAAGTGGGGACTGGTCCCTTCTCGGGGTCCTGGAGTGGTGAGAGACCTACCTCAGTGTGGAGCAGGAGGTTGCCCAACCATGGACCAGAGGTGTTCCTCTTCCCTCACCCTCTTCTAGGTTTCCTCTGATCTTTTCTTCCCTTTTAATTCTACATACATTTCTTATTTGACGTGGTTTTACTTATTTTTTTTTTTTTTTTTTGAGACACGGTCCTGCTCTGTTGTCCAGGCTGGAGTGCAATAGAGCAATCGTAGCTTGCTGCAGCCTTGACCTCCCATGCTCAAGCAATCCTCCTACCTCAGCCTCCCTAGTAGCTGGGACTAGAGATGTGCTCTACCATGCTTGGCTAATTTCTGTATTTTTTTTTTTTTTTGTAGAGATAGGGTTTCACTATGTTGCCAGGGCTGGTCTCAAACTCCTGGGCTCAAGCAATCCTCCTACCTCGGCCTCCTAAAGTGCTGAAATTAACCAGGAATGAGCCATTGCCGCACCTGCCATTGTGGCTTGTTTTGTTTTGTTTTTGAGACAGAATCTTGCTCTGTCGTCCAGGCTGGAGTGCAGTGGTGTGATCTCCACTCACTGCAACCTCTGCCTCCTGGGTTCAAGTGATTCTCTGGCCTCAGCCTCCTCAGTAACTGGGACTATAAGTGTGCACCACCACATTCTGCTAATTTTTTTTTTTTTTGAGACGGAGTCTCGCTGTCACCCAGGCTGGAGTGCAGTGGCACAATCTCGACTCACTGCAAGCTCCGCCTCCTGGGTTCAAGCAATTCTCCTGCCTCAGCCTCCCAAGTAGCTGGGACTACAGGCGCCCGCCACCACGCCCGGCTAATTTTTGTATTTTTAGTAGAGATGGGGTTTCACCTTGTTAGCCAGGATGGTCTCGATCTCCTGACCTCGTGATCCGCCTGCCTCGGCCTCCCAAAGTGCTGGGATTACAGGTGTGAGCCACCGCGCCCGGCCTCACACCCTGCTGATTTTTGTATTTTTAGTAGAGACGGGGTTTTACCATGTTGGCCAGGTTGGTCTTAAACTCCTAATCTCAAGTGATCTGCCCACCTCAGCCTCCCAAAGTGCTGGGATTACAGGCATGAGCCACCACGCCCAGCTGGTATTTTTTATAAGTGACTCGATATATTATGTATTCAGTTTATTTGAACCTCTCTTGAACCTGATAACATTTTCAGCCCTTTCCATCCCTTAGGGCAACATATTCCAAGAGCTCCAATCCAAGGTGGATTAGAACCACAGAATTTGTAAAATGGAGAATTCAGGAGTCGTCTAGTTTTTTCATTTTATACATGAGAGGTGAAACTCAGAATGGTACAGCAATTTGCCAGTGCTTGAGTATGCATATTTTTCCCCAAACCCATCTACATTCCAACTTGGAGGGATGCCCTTTAAACAATCTTTCTGCTTGTGCTCACCTTTAACTTCCCCTCAAGGGTTCGAGAACGCTTGAAGCCTGAGTTCTTGGTCTCAGCCTTGATGGCACTGATGGCTCCTGACTTCACCAGCTGCTTTGCCTGCTCTGTTGCTGTGGCTGTGTCCATGACAGGCTGCTCTGATAGTGCTGGAGAGACAAGGGGAAGAGGCATTATGTTGGCCAAGCCATGATGAAGGTCAGCTCCATGCTGCCCACTTCCAGTCCATCCCCATTTCCCCTGTCACTCACAGCGTTTGACACCACCTTGGCTGGTTGTGCTGCTGCTACTTTGCTTCTTCAGAGCCAGCAATGCCTTTTTCTGGGAACAAGGGTGAGAAGAGAGAGGTAAGTGAGGGCCAGCCCCTAGCCGGTTCCTCTCCTAAGGCCCCTGGGCACATCACTCCAGGGACCGTCTTTCTTGATGCCCTCAGAGTGGTACACTGATGTGCTCTGCCTCTTGCCTCTGGTCCCCTAGATCATGTATGATGCTGGAAATTCCTAATCTAACCAAACCACGGAACCCAGAGGTTTTCCAGAGTGTTACATTTTTGAAGTTGAAGACAAATAACTCAATCATGGACTAGAATCCTAGGATATAAGCTGCAAGTAAGTATAAGTTTATGTGCCTTTCCTGGAAGCTTCATCCATCTATTTCCTGCATATTGAATGAGGCCCAGCCATGACTTCGTAACAGGGATATCCAGGAGGCTAATGCATTGTTCCTACCCTCAAGAAGCTTACAGTCTGAGAAATAAAATACATTGAGTTAGCAATACAATTATAAGAGGTGCAGATTATTCATAGCTGAAAGCTAGTAAGATTTTCTGATGTTTAATGGCTATTAAACTAGGCCCTCTCCCGTATCTCTGCACAACACAGAGAGGAGAAGGGTATTTTAGAAAAAGAAAACAGGGTGGCAAAGATGCAGAGATAAGAAGGCTTTGGGAATGCATCTTTTGGAAGTAGTGAATAGTTCTACTTTACTAGACAAGGCTGCCAAACTAAGGTTTTGAGGCTTTTTTATAGACAATGTGAAGCCATTTATGGTTTTTGAGAAACAGAGGGAGCAGAATTTTGTGTTTTCAATGGATCATTTGAACAGGAGTGAAGAAGTCTGTTCAAAAAAAAAGACTGAGAAATTTGTTGAGAGACCATTACAATGGCCCACATGAATGTCAATAAAGCCCTGCTCGGGGGAATGCACAGTGAAGAATAAACAGGAAAAATTACTTCAAAAGAAGAAACAATAAGACTTGGCAAAGGTTTGACTATGCAAATAGTGGGGAAGTCAGAGTTTTGAGTCCAAACATGTGGCAGAATTGGTGTAGTCAATCTTATTTGGAAGATCAAGAATAGAAAGATGATAGCTTCAACACTGAGTATCTGAAGTTTTTCAGTATAACACTGGATAGAACTGGAAAAAACAAACTTGGGGATCATCAGCTCTTAAGCGGTACTAAAAGCCATGGGAAAGGAAGACAATCCATGGCAAATTGCATAGAAAAGACAGAAGGTCCACACCAAGGCTTGGGAAAGCCCACCTCTCGAAGCTACACTGTGAGGTGATATGTCTCTAGGTATGGGCCAGAAAAACTTCCCCATTCGCTCACACTCACCCCATATCTTCTCAGAGTGCAGAGTCTGTGAAAGGTTAGGCCATGTCCACACACAGTCCCTCACCTTTTTCTTGAGCTTGTTGAATTTCTTCTGCAGAGCCTCCTCTTCCTCGCTCAGTCCGGGGGGTATCACCAACATGGTGGCTCCTAGTTCAGGGGCAGGGCCCAAGACATCTTTCTCCACTGTTACCACCCGGGGTTCACACGCCGTCCACACTGTACCCAACCCCACCCCTTCAGGTCTGCCTACTCTTGTCTTTGGCTTTCCCTACCCCTTGCTTAAACCAGGCTGCTGTCCAAGCTCCCGCTGGTCGGGATCATCCAGCATTCCCTCCTGTCTCCAGGGATCACAGACACCAGCACCTTTAGGTACCATGTGGTTCAAGGAGGGACAAATATCCACTCCGTCGGAAAGACGATGGCACCCGACCCCCCTACCCTCGCTAGGGTAAGGACAACCGCGGGGTTTGAACGGCAGAGAAGGCGGTGGAGCCAGCGTAGCGCCCGCAGAGCAACGCAAAGAGGAAGAACAGAGAAACGGCTATGAGAAAAAGGGCCGAAGAGTGAGAAGCAGAGGGCCTTACCCGAGGGGGCGGCAACCGGGGGCCCCACGGTCTCCGGCCGCGCCCGCGCTGGCCGCTGATAGCGGGCTCACAACGATGACGTAGCGAGGAGCGGAAAACGCGGTAACCAAGGCGGCCCCAGGCGCGCACTTCCGCCCGGCCTTCCACCGGTCCAGGTCTGCCCCTCCGCAGCGATAGTTCACGCTCTCGGCGGGGCTGTACCGGAAGTTGCCTCTACTTCCGCCCGTTCCGGGGCGGGGCTTACTTCGCAGCGACTACTTGCCGCACTTCCGGGCTGCCAGGCAGCTGCTGTGGCTCCAGGATGATGGAGACAGAGCGACTTGGTGAGGGGGAGGGGAGGGAAATGGAACGGAGTAGCCGATATGGAATGAACTTTGACCCCTGACTTTTGACCTTTCCCCGTAGTGCTACCCCCTCCAGATCCCCTGGACCTACCCCTTCGGGCCGTGGAGCTCGGATGCACGGGGCACTGGGAGCTGCTGAACTTGCCTGGAGCTCCAGAGAGTAGCGTGAGTGACTTTTGACCCTAACCTTTGACCCGCATTGAGTCCAAACCTCCTTCACCCTCCTCACAGTAGGATCTAGCTTAACCTTGTTCATCTGTGCCTGTACTCCTGTCCATCCCAGCCTGAAGGGGTGCTGGACAGATTACAGCCCAGTGTACCTGCAGTACATGTGAGGACAGAGCAGAAAGGGCTGGGGATATTTTTGCTTTGAGAGCTGCTCTTTCAAATGTGGCATTTCTCCGTGGAGCTCCCTTCTGTATCCAAGCACCAGGGCACTTGGTGACTGAGATGATAGGCTTTGAGCCTCCAACCTTTCATCCTTAGGTCTGGGACCCCTTTTTCTAAAATCAGTGAGTCTCCAATTTCAGTGTGCTTCATGATTAGCCAGGGAGCTTTTTAAAAATGCACATTCCTAGGTCCAGCCTCCATGTTTCTGAAATCCAAAATCTGCCCCAGGTAATTCAGTAGCAGGTAGTTTTTGGCCAAGCCTGATTGTCCTAGTCTGTTTGACACATCTGCCATTTCTGATCTGAACACAAGTCCCATCATCTCTTTTGTCTGCATTTTATCCTCTTTCCTTACCTAATGCCTCTCATCTTGCCCTTGTTTCAGCTTCCCCATGGCCTCCCTCCTTGTGCCCCAGATCTGCAGCAAGAAGCAGAACAGTTGTTTCTGTCATCCCCAGCCTGGCTGCCTCTGCATGGTGTGGAGCACTCAGCCCGGTGAGGAGTCTGGAGGGGCTTAGACTAGGGTGATGGGTTCCTGAAGGAAGCTGGGACAGAGGAAGAAAGAAGACCCAAAAGTTACTATTTTTCTCTCCAGAAAATGGCAGAGGAAGACGGATCCCTGGTCTCTTTTGGCTGTCCTGGGAGCCCCAGTCCCATCCGACCTACAGGCCCAAAGACACCCAACCACAGGCCAGATACTGGGTTACAAAGAGGTAGGAGGTCAGGGGTCATGAGAAACAGTTGGGGAGAAGGGGAGGTGGTCAGAGACAAGCTCAGCCTCATTGGGGCTCTGATCTCTTGCCTTAGGTCTTGCTGGAGAACACAAATCTCTCGGCTACAACCTCCTTGTCTCTTCGCCGGCCTCCAGGGCCAGCCTCCCAGTCCTTATGGGGAAATCCAACTCAGTATCCCTTCTGGCCAGGTGACTCTTGTGGAGATGGGATGGTAGAAGAGGGTGTCTTTAATCTCCAGGGAAGGGTTCCCCACCTATCTCGTATTACCCTCATCCCATGAATCCCTGTCTGTCCTGTCTCTTCCCAGGGGGGATGGATGAACCCACCATAACAGATCTGAACACACGGGAGGAGGCTGAGGAGGAGATAGACTTTGAGAAAGGTAAGGTGGGGCTCTGAGTCTGAGCCTTGAGGAGGAAGAGCCCAGGCTATCACTGGGCTACTGCTAGCCCTCCCATGTTTTTGAGAAAATTAGAAAAAGATATTCTGTCCATAACAACCTTTACTGTCATCTGCTGGGAAATTTCTACAACAACCTTTACTGTCATCTGTTGGGAAAGTGTCATAGCAAACATCCCTATCTACAGCATCTGTCCTGTAAATGGTATCTTTTAGGTTTATATAATGTACACAATTTGTTCACCAGTGTGCAGTGACCTGATTTCATGTCCCTATCCTACAGATCTTCTTACTATTCCACCTGGTTTCAAGAAAGGCATGGACTTTGCACCAAAAGGTTAGTTTTAGTTTTTGAGTGGGGTGTAGGAGAAGTCATGTCCTTCTCCTAAGGAACAGAGATGGACATGACAAGGTTGACCTTGTTGGCTTGCTCCTCAGATTGTCCAACTCCAGCTCCTGGACTACTAAGCCTTAGCTGTATGTTGGAGCCTCTGGATTTGGGTGGGGGTGACGAGGATGAGAATGAGGCAGTGGGACAGCCAGGAGGTCCCAGAGGGGACACTGTTTCAGCCTCTCCCTGCAGTGCTCCCCTGGCCCGAGCAAGCAGCTTGGAAGACCTAGTGTTGAAGGTTGGTGGTTCTGTGTAGTGGAGGCAAGAAAGAGCCTTGCCACCAGGATGTGGGCTGGCTAGGATGGGTCTGAGGGGAAGAAAGGGACATCTTTTGGGAGGAGTGCTAATTGAGAGCCCTCTGGTTGTATCTTTATCACTGCTACCCCTGACTCTTCCAGGAAGCGTCCACAGCTGTATCCACCCCAGAGGCCCCAGAGCCTCCATCTCAGGAGCAGTGGGCCATCCCTGTGGACGCCACCTCCCCTGTTGGTGATTTCTATCGCCTCATTCCCCAGCCAGCCTTCCAGGTACTTTGGCCCCATCTTCACACGCTCCTCTACCTCTTTCTGGGTCACACTCCCAGCCGACCCCTTGTCTCCTCTATTGGCCAGAGGTCAGATCCATCCCAGGCCAGTCTTGGTACTCAGTCCCAGCCTCGGCTGGCTCCGGCCTTCATCCGCCCGCCCTGCGTGCTCCATGAGCAGGAGGCAGCAAGGCCCCGCTCCTTTCTTCAGCTCCTGTCTATTTCTCTCTCCCATAGTGGGCATTTGAGCCAGATGTGTTTCAGAAACAGGCCATCCTGCACTTGGAACGGCATGACTCTGTCTTTGTCGCAGCTCACACATCTGCAGGAAAAACAGTTGTGGCTGAATATGCCATTGCCCTGGCCCAGAAACACATGACACGGTATGAGTTCCTTTGCCAACCTCCCCCTTCACCAGCCAGCCCCATTTTCTCCTGCATCCTTTGAAAATCTCATCTCTTCCCCCACCTCTCTAGCTCATCCTTTAAGTGAGAGGTTCAGGGCTAAGACTGAGACAAGAGCCCAGAGAGAAATGAAAAGACATGGTGGGGAGAAAGTTTAGAAGAATGACCTGGGTTAGTTTAGGAAGGGGTTGGGGACAGAATTTTTCTGGGGTTATATCATGCAGGAGAATGTAAGGGCAGTTTGGGTGAAGAAGAGGAGCACCTGAGCTTCTGGGGCATGCTTCCACGAGGGCTCCATGTGGGAGAGGAAGTGCGGGCCATGAGTCTGCGGAGGGACTGGCTAACTTCATGCTCTCTTCCCAGCACCATCTACACTTCGCCCATCAAGGCCCTGAGCAACCAGAAGTTCCGGGACTTCCGAAACACATTCGGGGATGTGGGGCTGCTCACCGGGGATGTACAGCTGCATCCGGAGGCCTCCTGCCTCATCATGACCACAGAGATCCTTCGGTGAGAGATGGACACTCAATACAGGGGAGTTTTGGCTGGGAAGATGTGGCCGTTGTGGAGAGTGTGCTGTCTGAGGAGGGGGTGGAGACGAGCCACTGGGGAGTCAATCCTTGGCCTCTTCTCCCCAGCTCCATGCTGTACAGTGGCTCAGATGTTATTCGGGACCTGGAGTGGGTCATCTTTGATGAGGTTCACTATATCAACGATGTCGAGGTAAGGGCCATGGGCTCCCCAGAACCCGGCAGTCCTCTCCTTTGGGACCAGTTGAGCGTCTCCCTTATTCCACACACTCAGGGCCCCTTACTGCTTTCTTTACCCCCATATGGAATCCTGTGCCTCTTTATGGGCAGAAGGGCGGCCCCTGCCCTCATGTGACCTCCCTTCCCTCTCTGTGCCCAGCGTGGGGTCGTGTGGGAGGAGGTGCTTATCATGCTACCTGACCACGTTTCTATCATCCTTCTGAGTGCCACCGTCCCCAACGCCCTTGAGTTTGCTGACTGGATTGGGTGAGACGTGTGTCCCGGGTTGCCTGGGTGAAGGGGGCTACAGTACTCCTTGATTCGGGTGGGGGACTAAGTCTACCACAGCAAGGAGAGCGGTCAGGCCTTAGGGGTGATGCTGGGGAACATGTCCCACCTGGTGGCTGTGGGATCCCCTTTGGGTCCAGATTACTTTGCATGTTGAAATGGGATGAGATGTTGGGGGATAGCCTTCCATTCTGGGTCTCAGAAAAGACTGGGTAAAGTTGGAGGGGTAGGGAAGGGGGTGGGGATGTGGGTTCCTTCCCACGTTCCCACCCCTGACCTGCTTCCCTCTCCTTTCTTCAGGCGGCTGAAGCGTCGTCAGATCTATGTGATTAGCACTGTAACCCGCCCCGTGCCCCTGGAGCACTATCTTTTCACAGGGAACAGCTCCAAGACCCAGGGGGAGCTCTTTTTGTTGCTGGACTCCCGAGGAGCCTTCCATACAAAAGGGTAAGCCTCGAGATGGGGGAAAGAGTTAGGGCTGGGCCCCCAGCTGGACATTGTGGCTACCCCTCCCTGTGCCCCAGGTACTATGCAGCTGTGGAGGCCAAGAAGGAGAGAATGAGCAAACACGCCCAGACCTTTGGGGCCAAGCAGCCCACACATCAGGGGGGCCCTGCACAGGTGAGAACTGGGAGGGTTTTGTACCTGCCAGCACCTGTTTTTCCTCCTATCTTTTTTTTCCCCTTGTCCCCCAGGGGTTTTGACTTGAGCTTTGAGCACTGCCCCAGTTAACACTAGCTCACCTCTCATTGGTTCAGGAACTCAACCTCTGCTCCTTCCCCTTCCCCTTCCTTCTCCAGGACCGCGGAGTGTACCTGTCCCTCCTGGCCTCCCTCCGCACACGTGCCCAGTTGCCCGTGGTGGTGTTCACCTTCTCCCGGGGCCGCTGTGATGAGCAGGCCTCAGGCCTCACCTCCCTTGACCTCACCACCAGTTCGGAGAAGAGCGAGATCCACCTCTTCCTGCAGCGCTGCCTTGCTCGCCTCCGTGGCTCTGACCGCCAGCTGCCCCAGGTGCGTCTGTGTGCGTCTGTGTGCGTGCATGCACACATTTGGCAGACTGGTGGGGATAGGGTGTTCCGAGACTCCATCCCTGACCATGGGCCTCCTCCCACCAAAGGTCCTGCACATGTCAGAGCTCCTGAATCGCGGCCTGGGTGTGCACCATAGCGGCATCCTGCCCATCCTCAAGGAGATCGTGGAGATGCTCTTCAGCCGTGGCCTGGTCAAGGTGCATGTGGTGGTGGAAAGGGACTCCTCAGGGTGCTTGTTGCCCACTTAGGGGCTGCCCAGAGGGCAGAGGGGCAGAGGTTTAGGCAGGCCAGTGCTGTGGTTAAGAATCTGGGCTCTGGATTCAGACTACCTGGGTTTGAATCCCAGGTACACCATGTATTCACAGTATCATCCTGGACCAATTATTTAACCTTCCTGAACTTTAGGTTTCCCATCTTAAAATGGGGATGCATAAGATATGAATACGTAGGTCTCAGAAAAGAAACCCAGGAAGCTAGCAAGCATTCGAAAAGTTATTAGTAATCAGAAATATACAAATTGAAGTACTCACAAGATACGACTTTACAGCTATTAGACTGGTAAAATTTAGGAAACTAGTTCATGCCGAGTGTTGCCAGAGATATAGGAGGTTGTAGGGTTCTGGGAATCCTTTACGGGATGCCTAGCCAGTTTGGAATGCACGCTGGCACTATTTAGACAAAATAACTATATTGGCCGGGCATGGTGGCTCACACCTGTAATCCCAGCACTTTGGGAGGCTGAGGTGGGTGGATCACAAGGTCAAGAGATCGAGACCATCCTGGCCAACATGGTGAAACCCTGTCTCTACTAAAAATACAAAAATTAGCTGGGCATGGTGGCAGGTGCCTGTAGTCCCAGCTACTTGGGAGGCTGAGGCAGGAGAATTGCTTGAACCCAGGAGGCAGAGATTGCAGTGAGCCAAGATAGCACCGCTGCACTCCAGCCTGGGCAACAGAGGGAGACTCCATCTCAAAACAAAAACAAACAAAGAAACAAACAAAAACTATATCATACTCTGAGCTTATATTTCATTCCTGGGTATATATCACAAAGAAATTCTCACCCTGGTCTGTGAGAGAACATGTACACCCATCCTTTGTTTGTGGTGGCATGGTGTTGGTAGTACCAGGGTGCCCTTCACTGGGAGAGAGGGAAGGTTAGTGTGGGGGATGCACCCATAGAGTGTTCTGCAGCAGTTGGAAGCAGTGGGTTAGATGTGGCCACAGGAACATGGACAGATGTTGAAACACTAGGTGGAGAAAAAGAAGCAAAAAAAAATCAGATATATAACCACTTTTTATATGAATTATAAACTACAAGCTCACAAAAGAAGACATGTTCTATAAGATCATATTTATATAAAAAGATATTTGTTGGATACATTGGAATGATTGCAGTCAGGGATGGGAATGGGATATGAAGGTAAAAGTTAAGAAATAGAAATAAGTAGCTACATAAGTAAAATGAGGAAAACAATAATACCTGCCCTATAGATTTGCCTGGAGAGTTCAGTGAGATCCCATAAGTAACAACTGGGATGGTGCCTTATGCCTACAAAGTAAGGTGGGCTTGGCCAGGGCTGGGGGTGTGTGTATGTAGAGCCTTTGCTGATCCTTTCTGTTCTCCTCTGTCCCAGGTCTTGTTTGCCACAGAGACCTTTGCCATGGGAGTAAACATGCCTGCTCGTACAGTAGTGTTTGACTCCATGCGCAAACACGATGGCTCCACCTTCCGGGACCTGCTCCCTGGGGAGTATGTGCAGATGGCAGGCCGGGCAGGGCGGAGGGGCCTGGACCCCACAGGCACCGTTATCCTGCTCTGCAAGGGCCGAGTGCCCGAGATGGCAGACCTGCACCGCATGATGATGGTGAGCGGGCCAGCATGCTCGGCAGGGCCCCAGCTCCAGGACCTTGCTGGATTCTGTCTTCGATTCTCCTCTCTTCTTTTTCTTCTTCCTTTTTTTTTTGGAGACAGGGTCTTGCTCTGTTACCTAGGCTGGAGTGCAGTGGCACAATCTCGGGTCACCGCAACCTCTGCCTTCCAGGCTCAAGGGATCCTCCCACCTCAGCCTCCCAAGTAGGTGGGATTCCAGGCACATGCCACACAGGCCTGGCTAATTTTTTTTTTTTTTTTATGCTTTGTAGAGATGAGGTTTTGCTATGTTGCACAGGTTGGTCTTGAACTTCTGGGCTCAAGCAGTCTGTCTGCCTCAGCTTCCCAAAGTACTGGGATTATAGGTGTGGGCCACAGCGCCCAACTTCCTCCGACTTTTTTGTTTTGCCTGGGAGAAGCTGAGGTAGGAGTGAGTGAATCCAAGGATGAGATTGGAGCCCATCTCTTCCAGTTTTCTCCCATGTGAATATGGAGCTAGATGGGGCCTTTGAGTCCATTTATTTCAGTTTGCTCCCTTATGTTACAGAAGAGGTGAGCAAGTGGTTTGTCCAAGGCCCCATGGTTGCAGAGCTAGGACCGGATCTGACGGGAGTAGGCCCAGTCCAGAAGACTGGCTGGGGTTCAGTAGGTCCCACCCTGATCTCAGTGACTTCTGTGACCTGACTCCAGGGGAAGCCGTCCCAGCTGCAGTCCCAGTTCCGCCTCACGTACACTATGATCCTCAACTTGCTGCGAGTGGATGCCCTCAGGGTGGAGGACATGATGAAGAGGAGCTTCTCTGAGTTTCCCTCCCGCAAAGACAGCAAGGTAAGGAGCCTGGGGTAACCAGTGTGTGGAGCAGGAGGTTGGCCAAAGACAGGCTGGGAATAGGTAGGCATCCAGAGGCCAGTGTGTTGAGGGTGGGGAGTGTGACAGATTGGGCCTGGAGACTCCCCTTTCACAGCTTCCCCTGCTCCCACCCAAGGCCCATGAACAGGCCCTGGCTGAACTGACCAAGAGGCTGGGAGCTTTGGAGGAGCCTGACATGACTGGCCAACTGGTCGACCTGCCTGAATATTACAGCTGGGGGGAGGAACTGACAGAGACCCAGCACATGATCCAGGTGAGCAAGTGTGAGTGCTGAGGAGGTGATAGGAGAAGGGAAGAGAAGATCGTGTTACTCTAGGTGCTACTAAACTTAGTCCAAGTGTCTGTCCCTGTGATGCCTCCTCCCATCTGTCCTTTGCTCTTCAGCGACGCATCATGGAGTCTGTGAACGGGCTGAAGTCTCTCTCAGCAGGAAGGGTGGTGGTTGTGAAGAATCAGGAGCATCACAACGCATTGGGAGTGATCCTACAGGTGAGGGTGATGGGAATTTGGACTCCAGAGGGTGGGAGGGAGCAAGCCCTCTCTCCATTTTCCCCACTTGGCCAGGGCAGGTTGCGTCATCATAGGGCCCTCATTTTCCCCTCTTGCCCTCCTTTTCACCCTCTCCCTTCCCATCACCACATCATGCTCACTCCTTCCTCCCACCACCCCAAGAAGTCTGCTCTGATCGCTTGACTTGGTTGCCCCTCTCTACTGGTGAGCTCTGCATGGTTGCTTCCTGATTCCTGCCCAAGGGTGGGTATCTGGTCTCTGCCTTTGATGTCTACTCATCACACCCCCCTCTCCTGGCCTCTCTGACCACCCCCAGGTCTCCTCGAACTCCACCAGCAGAGTATTCACAACCCTGGTCTTGTGTGATAAGCCCTTGTCCCAGGACCCACAGGACAGGGGGCCAGCCACTGCAGAGGTGCCCTATCCAGATGACCTCGTGGGATTCAAGCTGTTCCTGCCTGAAGGTGAGAGTGTGGCAGATGTCTGTTTTCTGCCAGCAGTATAAGCAGGATGCCTGGGTCCATGGCAATGTCTGCCCTGCTCTCCCCTTTTCACAGGGCCTTGTGACCACACCGTGGTCAAGCTCCAGCCAGGAGATATGGCTGCCATCACCACCAAGGTGCTCCGGGTGAATGGGGAGAAGATCTTGGAGGACTTCAGCAAGAGGCAGCAGCCAAAATTCAAGTCAGAGATGCTAGGGAGGCCCTTCTCCTCCAGAGGGGCACGTAGAGGCAGGGAGGGGCAGTGGTCTGGGAGTTTCCTCCAGCCTGAGGGAGACCATGAAGTGGTGGGGTTGTAGTGAGGGGGCTCCCCCAGCCTAAGGGAGACTGTGAAGTGGAGGTTGTAGTAAGAGGGCTTCCACAGCCTGAGGGAGGCTTCTGGGGGAGAGAAGATCTTACCCCAGATCTTAAGATCTGCTCCCTCTTCAGGAAGGATCCTCCCCTTGCAGCCGTGACCACTGCTGTCCAGGAACTGCTGCGTCTGGCTCAGGCCCACCCAGCCGGACCTCCCACCCTCGACCCTGTCAATGACCTGCAGCTCAAAGATATGTCAGTTGTAGAGGGTGGGCTCCGGGCCCGGAAGCTGGAGGAGCTGATCCAGGGGGCTCAGTGTGTACACAGCCCCCGTTTTCCTGCCCAGGTAGGACCCTGGGTGGTAACTCCCAAGCTGGGAGTAGGGGCTTTTCCTCTGTGGTCCCCTGTAGACTGACCGCCCCCATCTCAGCCCTTGTCCTCAGTGCACCCCTGCTAAGGGGCAAGGAGAAGGCTGACGGGTGGCTCTCTGCAGTACCTGAAGCTGCGGGAGCGAATGCAGATACAGAAGGAGATGGAGCGGCTGCGCTTCCTACTGTCGGATCAGTCATTGCTGCTGCTTCCTGAGTACCATCAGCGAGTAGAGGTGGGTGGGGCAGTGGTTGGGGCAGGGGGGCTAGGGGACAGCAGTGTGTCCAATGCCCACCCTTTTTCTTGCAGGTGCTCCGAACCCTGGGTTATGTGGACGAGGCGGGCACTGTGAAGCTGGCAGGGCGGGTGGCTTGTGCCATGAGCAGCCATGAGTTGCTCCTCACTGAGCTCATGTTTGACAATGCACTGAGCACCCTGCGGCCTGAGGAGATTGCTGCCTTGCTCTCTGGCCTGGTCTGCCAGAGCCCTGGGGACGCTGGGGATCAGCTCCCAAACACCCTCAAGCAGGTAGGGGACACCACCCCTTTCTCCCTGCCAGGGCTGTGGCATTCCTGACCTTCACCTTCAGGTAGTCCCCCAGGTGACCCCCTCCAGCCCTGTAAGTGCCCCAAGGATGGAAAATGGCTGCCTTCTTGATCTGGTCCTTCCCTGTCCTGGAGCAGGAAGGCAGGCCTTAACCTCTCCTTCTTTCCTGCAGGGAATAGAACGTGTCCGGGCTGTGGCCAAGCGGATTGGTGAGGTCCAGGTGGCTTGTGGCCTGAACCAGACGGTGGAGGAATTTGTGGGGGAGCTGAATTTTGGGCTGGTTGAGGTTGTATATGAGTGGGCCCGGGGCATGGTGAGTACCTGAGGTTTGGGATTTTGCAGACGGCTGGCTGGGGAGAACCTGCCCAGGCTGAGTGCATCCAGTCCTCACCCTACTTTCCCCACAGCCCTTCTCCGAGTTGGCAGGGCTCTCAGGGACCCCTGAGGGCCTGGTGGTCCGCTGCATTCAGCGCCTGGCTGAGATGTGTCGCTCACTGCGGGGGGCAGCCCGCCTGGTAGGAGAGCCTGTGCTGGGTGCCAAGATGGAGACAGCGGCTACCTTGCTACGGCGGGACATCGTATTTGCGGCCAGCCTCTACACCCAGTGAATGCCCCATGTAAAAACATGATGATAAAACAGCAAAGCACTGTTGTGTGCTTGAGTTGCTGGACAGGGATGACTCAGCTAAGAAGACAGCGAGAGAACCTCTTAGAAATATGCTTTTATTATCTGCACACAGAGATATGACTGCCTCCCTCTAAAGCATTACTATTTGGGAGAGGGAGTCTTGGGGGGTGATGGGAGGTCCTGAGTCATAGCTTCCACATACCATATGGGCAGGAAGGCGTAAGGTGCATCTTGGTGTACAGACACGGTGACTGGGCCGCCAGGCTCCCAAGAGAAGAGATGAACGAGCCTGGGGGGCAGATGGAGGCATCAGTTGAGGGCCAGAGGCTGGATCCTGGGATCCAGAGGGGAGGGACAGAGCTGAATGCCTCACCTGGGGTCATCCTGGACAACCGTGCTCTGGGCAAAGCTAAGGAAGGCGGCACAGAAGTTCATGCACACAGAGGGATTCCAGCCGTCACGGTCATTCTGGAGCAGGCAGAGGAGGAGGCAGAAGATGGGCAGTGGGGGTGGTGGGAGGAGAGAAGGCAGGCTGTTGCCCTGGATGCTAGACCTGTGGTCTTGGTGTTTGGGGATACGGGTGGGAGCTGCAACATCGTTCCCTTACCCTGACATATTCAAACATCTTCATGGTAGGAAAGGTCTTGAGGGAAGAGACAAAACCGTCTGGGTTACGGAAGCCAGCAACAACATTCGGGACCCCTGGGAGGAATGACTGAGCCCACCATTTCAGGAGCTTGTGTCTGACAGGAAAAGCAAGGGATCAGTGGGACCCCTCGTGCACCCTCCATTCTGCCTTCACCCTCCTCCCCAAGTCCCTTTCCCAGCCTTCAAGCCTAAGCTCTCGCCCTGCCCACCCCGATCCTGAACCTGTAGAAACTCCTCCATTGGCCAGGGCTGTGCATCTCCTTGGAGGTCTTGAGCTCCACATAGCAGGTTGGGGGCTGTGTGGATGGGGCTTGGGGGTCTGTGCAGTCTACCTCCCCTGAGAAGAGCAGAGGGTGGCTTCCCAGGCGGCTGCGTAGCACAGAGCAGAAGGCCACGTTGGTGTTAACCTCCCCAGAGGGGTCTGGGGAGCTTCCAGGTTTGTCTGCACAAGGAGAGAAGCAGCAGCAGGCGTGGGGGGCTCTCAACCTCTGGGAAGGGGAAGGGGGCTATGAAGCAGGGGCAACTCACCTGCACACATGTACTGCTCAAATTTGTATCCCATGTACATAAGCTCCCGGAGGAGCGGTGGCCGAGCAAGCCTCTGGGCCCGAGCGTTCGGTGTCTCCACTTCACTCAGGTATAGTGTTCCCTGGAACCGGGAGGCTGCCAGCTGCCAGCCCTCCTGCCGCTCATACGGTGTCGTCAGCAGTTTTGTCAGGTGCCCCCGCCACGTCACTATGGCCTCTGCCAGCCAGCCTGGACCCCTGAGAGGCAGGAGTTACAGGCTGAAGGTCTGACACAAGCATTAGTGAGATGCTCCCCTCGAAGAATAGTCTTGTTTCTTCTAAGGACTGATTCTCACCCCGGCTTTGGCTCTCCTAATTTTAGAGGGTAGGTACGGGTCTCCAGATATACTGCCTACCACGCTTTGCTCACCCCTCCAACCGGCCTCGGTGTTCCAGGAGCCAGCACAGCAGGTGGTCCAGCCTTTCCTGGACCTCCTCGTCCCGGGGCTGGTATCGATCCGGGTATCCGTCTCTGAGGTCAAAGTTGGGGCCTGGACCGTTAGTGGGGGGTGGGCTATAGTAGCGCAGGGCTCGGGCATCTCCATGGTACTGGCGTTGAGCATCCAGGGAGAAGCAGCCCAGTTCCGAAGGGCGCCGGTAGAAAGGAAAGGGCCCAGAGTAGAGGGCAGGGTCTGTGGGCAGAGAAGGTGCTGGACGAGGTAGTTTGTTCCGAGGCTCAGCTACCTCTGTCTTCTCAGCTCCTCTCTTGGTCCCCCTGGGATCCATGAGGTCCTAAGACAAGCAGGGGTACAGAGTTTCCATTCTACAGAGGAGGCCTGGAGAAGGATGACTGGTTTAGGACTAAGCGAGCCACCTGATCGCCAGGCTCTGGCCTTGAAACATTCAGGCCCCTCAGACGCCACCGCGGCCAAGCTCTCATCCTGCCTCTTTCCTTGCCCTTCACCCACCCTCCCTCCAGGTCCTCCAAATGCAGTGAGGTTAGGAAGGACGTCTGCGCTCAGATCAAGAATCCAGTTACCTCAAAGCTCCCCAACTTCCACCTCCGCAGAGCTATGACGTCATGGCAGGCACGCCAGAGGCCGAAGGATGCAAAAGTGGTTTTCTGCTTTCGATGATGCAATCATTCAGCGACAGTGGCGGGCAAACCCCTCCCGGGGCGGGGGAGGTGTGAGCTTCACGAAGGAGGTTGACACCAACGTGGCCACCGGCGCCCCTCCACGCCGCCAACGAGTCCCCGGGCGTGCGTGCCCTTGGAGGGAGCCAATCCGCGGCCGGCGTGGGGCCCGGCCTGGCGGAGGTGATGCTGGTATGTGCGTCGCCACCGCCCCTCCCAGCACTGACGGGCCTGAGGGACGACAAGTTGACGCTCCTTTCGTCATCACCTGGTCTAGGAGGGACGCCCGGGGAGACCGTACGTCACTGCTCTGCGCCGGAAGACCCTATTTTCAGGTTCTCTTCCCTCCATTCCTACCCCTTCCCCGGTACCATAAAATCCCGGGATATGAGCTGGAAGAGGCATCACCTGATCCCGGAGACCTTTGGAGTTAAGAGGCGGCGGAAGCGAGGGCCTGTGGAGTCGGATCCTCTTCGGGGTGAGCCAGGTAACCATGGCAACCCCGGGGGTGGGGCCTCGCTTCCGGTAGCCGAGAGTTTTGTTAGAACCGCGTCCCCGCCCCAGTTCCCTGTCCGTGAGCCGATTTATCTGCCCAGGGTCGGCGCGCGCGGCTGTCTCAGAACTCATGCAGCTGTTCCCGCGAGGCCTGTTTGAGGACGCGCTGCCGCCCATCGTGCTGAGGAGCCAGGTGTACAGCCTTGTGCCTGACAGGACCGTGGCCGACCGGCAGCTGGTGAGGGGCGTCGGTGCGACCGCCGGAAGCCCCTTTCCTAACTCCTGGAATTCCCTGTCACTCAGTCACTCCGCCAGCCGTTCAGCAAGCATTAGGCCTTTCAGGCGAGGGCACTGTGCCAGGCACTGGGGTGCCACAGAGACCCTGTTAAAAGTCCCGCAGGTAGTACAGGGCATTTCAAATCATGGAGGTAGAAGAACGAGGCTTTTGGGGAAACCGAGTCATGGGGCATGGTTCGAACATACAGCGCTGGGAGTGCAGTCAGACGTCAGATCATGACAGGCCTTGTACATCAGTGTTGTTTCCATCTTACACTGAGGCGATGGGCTGGTAGAGAATATCATAGAGAGAGGGAATGGTGTATTGGAGATAGTGGATGAGGCAGGGAGGTCAGCTAAGAAGATACTGCATCTGAGAAGTGGTGAAGGCCTAAATTAGGTCAGTGCAGTAGGGAGGGAGAGGAGAGTGAGGAAGAGGGAGGAGTCCAGGACAACTCAGACTTTCCAGATGACTGCGTGGCTGGTGGTATTAGGAGCACATTTAGTTGTTGGACTACAGATAATGTGTTTAATTTTATACAAGTTGAGTTGATGGTGCATGTGGAGCATCCAAAGACAAAGGTATTAGACAGTTGGATATGAGAGTTGGAGAGAATTCTGGGCCAGTGATAATAGAATTACAAGTCATGGAGGTGTGAATAGCAAGTGGTTAATTCTGTGATGTGGTGAGATCCAGTAGGAAGAGTGGGTAGAGGAGTGATTTCTAACCTTTTTGTAATCTTTAGAAGGTGATAAAAGCTATGGCTATCTCTCTCCAGAAAAATGCACGTTTGCCACATATACATAGGGTGTATGTATAGTTAGGGGGGAAATATTTTACTAATCCTGCGAGGTCCGTGGTTAAGGACTCCAGGTTTAGAGTGGAAGTTAATAGGGTCAAATCCACAATGCTGGGAAACACCATCATTTAAGGCAGTGTTACTGAATATATGAGCTGAGTTATTATGCCTGTGTCAAAATTACGTGGGCTGCTTGTTAAAAAAAATACAGGTTCCTGGGACTCATCCAAGGTTAATGAATTACGCTCTCTTGGGGCGGGATTTGGGACTCTACATTTTTGAACTGCCTCAAGTGCTTTTTAAGTGTGCCTTAAAATTTGAGATCCACTGACATAAAGGGAAAGCAGAAGAAGAGGAATCTGTGACAGAGGCAGAGAGGGACTTGCCTGAGTTAAGAGGAACCCAGAGGCCGGCGCGGTGGCTCACACCTGTAATCCCAGCACTTTGGGAGGCCGAGGTGGGTGGATCTCTTGAGCTCATGAGTTTGATACCAGCATGGGCAACATGACATAACCCCATCTCTACAAAAAATACAAAAATTAGCCAGGCGTGGTGGTACGCGCCTATAGAGCTACTGGGGAGGCTGAGGTGGGAGGATTGCTTGAGCTGGGGAGGCGGAGGTTGCAGTGAGCTGAGATAGCACCGCTGCACCCCACCCTGGGTGATAGAGCTAGACTTTGTCTCAAAAAAAAAAAAAAAAAAAGTAACCCAGGAAGAGGCCTACTGTGAAAGTAAAGAGATTTTTGAGAAAGTGAAGTAGTTGGCAGTATTAGAACCTGTGATTCAAGACAGTGGTCTAAGAAGAGGGAAGAGGTAAAGTAAAATATAAACTGAAATCTAGGCTGAGTGTGGTGGCTCATGCCTGTACTCCCACCACTTTGGGAGACTGAGGCAGGAGTATAGCTTGAAACCAAAAGTTTGAGACCAGCCTGGGCAACAAAGTGAGACCCCATCTTTACTAAATAACTGAGATCCCATCTCTACTAAATAAATAAATTAAAACACAAAAATTCTTAGCTGGGCATGGTGGTGTGCACCTATTGTTCTAGCTGTTTGGGAAGTTGAGGCAGAAGGAGTGCTTGAGCCCAGGAATTTGAGGCTGCAGTGAGCTATGATTGCACGACTGCACTCCAGGCTGGGTAACAGAGGGAGACCCTGTCTCTAAAAAAATGAAAACAACAACAAAAAAACCCAGAACTGAAATCTGTCCATTGGATTTAGCAGGTAGAAGGTTAATAGTGATCTTTCAAGAAAAGAGGAAAGAAAAGGAAGGCAGTCTAGCACTCACTTGAGGTGAGCTAGTCTCCCTGACTAGGTCTCCCGTGAGGAAGCATGCCAGATGGAACCACTCCTTAAGGAGTATTTGTTGATTTTAATGTATTGGTGTTAGCTTTTGTTTTTAAAAACCTTTAAAAGTTGCAGAATGAAAATATAAACATATATAATTTAAATGATGTTTATAAAGCAGATACCTATCTAGCCACTCCCTAGGTCAAACTATAGAATATGACCAGTATCCCACATATATCCCTCTCTGATCAAAATGTCTCTGATCAGAATGTCCCTGGGAGGTGACTGCTGTGGTCATTGTTGCCTTAGTTTTCCCTTTTTTTTTTTTTTTTTTGAGGTGGAGTGTCGCTCTGTTGCCCAGGCTGGAGTGCAGTGGTGTGATCTCAACTCACTGCAACCTCTGCCTCCTGGGTTCAAGCAATTCTCCTGCCTCACTGTCCTGATTAGCTGAGACTACAGGCACGCGCCACCATGCCCAGCTAATTTTGGTATTTTTAGTAGAGATGGGGGTTTCATCATGTTGGCCATAATGGTCTTGATCTCCTGACCTCGTGATCTGCCCTCCTCGGCCTCCCAAAGTGCTGGGATTACAGGCATGATCCACCGCACCCGGCCTAATTTTGTATTTTTATAGGGATGGGGTTTCACCCTGTTGGCCAGGCTGGTCTCAAACTCCTGACTCAGATGATCTGCCTGCCTCGGCCTCCCAAAGTGCTGTTTTTTTTTTTTTTAATTGTCTTTTTGATAATTCCACTATTTTTTTTTTTTTTTGAAAAGTCTCCCATGTCTACCTCTTTCCACACAGACACGGCAACCATCCGATTTCTCAATCTTTTCCCCACCTTTTCCCGCTTTCTAGTCCACAAAACCACCATTGTCATCGTGGCCCGTTCTCAATGAGCTGTTGGGCACACCTCCCAGATGGGGTGGTGGCCGGGCAGAGGGGCTCCTCACTTCCCAGCAGGGGCGGCCGGGCAGAGGCGCCCCTCACCTCCCGGACAGGGCGGCTGGCCGGGCGGGGGGCTGACCCCCCCACCTCCCTCCCGGACGGGGCGGCTGGCCGGGCAGAGGGGCTCCTCACTTCCCAGTAGGGGCGGCCGGGCAGAGGCGCCCCTCACCTCCCGGACGAGGCGGCTGGCCGGGCGGGGGGGGCTGACCCCACCACCTCCCTCCCAGACGGGGCGGCTGGCCGGGTGGGGGGCTGACCCCCCACCTCCCTCCCGGACGGGGCGGCTGGCTGCGTGGGGGGCTGACCCCCCCACCTCCCTCCCGGACAGGGCGGCTGGCCGGGCAGAGGGGCTCCTCACTTCCCAGTAGGGGTGGCTGGGCAGGGGCGCCCCTCACCTCCCGGACGGGGTGGCTGGCCGGGCAGGGGGCTGACCCCCCCACCTCCCTCCTGGAGGGGGCGGCTGCCGGGCGGAGATGCTCCTCACTTCTCAGACGGGGCGGCTGCCGGGCGGAGGGTCTCCTCCCTTCTCAGACGGGGAGGCTGGGCAGAGACCCTCCTCACCTCCCAGACGGGGTCGCGGCCGGGCAGAGGCGCTCCTCACATCCCAGACGGGGCGGCGGGGCAAAGGCGCTCCCCACATCTCAGACGATGAGCGGCCGGGCAGAGACGCTCCTCACTTCCTAGATGGGATGGCGGCCGGGCAGAGACACTCCTCACTTTCCAGACTGGGCAGCCAGGCAGAGGGGCTCCTCACATCCCAGACGATGGGCGGCCAGGCAGAGACGCCCCTCACTTCCCAGACGGGGTGGCGGCCGGGCAGAGGCTGCACTCTGGGCACTTTGGGAGGCCAAGGCAGGCGGCTGGGAGGTGGAGGTTGTAGCAAGCCGAGATCCCGCCACTGCACTCCAGCCTGGGCACCATTGAGCACTGAGTGAACCAGACACCGTCTGCAATCGCGGCACCTCCGGAGGCCGAGGCTGGCGGATCACTCGCGGTTAGGAGCTGGAGACCAGCCCGGCCAACACAGCGAAACCCCGTCTCCACTAACAAAATACGAAAACCAGTCAGGCGTGGCGGCGCGCGCCTGCAATCGCAGGCACTCGGCAGGCTGAGGCAGGAGAGTCAGGCAGGGAGGTTGCAGTGAGCTGAGATGGCAGCAGTACAGTCCAGCTTCGGCTCGGCATCAGAGGGAGACCGTGGAAAGGATAATTCCACTATTACTTGTCTTTTGGGGTTTGTTTTTATTCTCTCTTTGAGTTTTGTTTCCTTATGCGCCCAGTTACTTTTGAAAATGTTCTGGGCAGATTTGCCTAGATTAATAAATGCCCTCCATGTTCCAATTACTTTTTTTTTTTTGAGACAGTGTCTTACCCTGTCACCAAGCTGGAGTGCAGTGGTATGATCTTGGCTCACTGCAACCTCTGCCTCCTGAGTTCAAGTGATTCTCCTGCCTCAGCCTCCCAAGTAGCTGGCATTACAGGCACCTGACACCACGCCCAGCTAATTTTTTTTTTTTTTTTTTTTTTGAGACGGAGTCTCGCTCTGTCACCCAGGCTGGAGTTCAGTGGCATGATCTTGGCTTACTGCAAGCTCTGCCTCCTGGGTTCACCCATTCTCCCGCCTCAGCCTCCCGAGTAGCTGGGACTACAGGTGCCCGCCACTATGCCTGGCTAATTGTTTTTTTTTTTGTATTTTTAGTAGAGATGGGGTTTCACCGTGTTAGCCAGGATGGTCTTGATCTCCGGACCTCGTGATCCACCCGTCTCAGCCTGCCAAAGTGCTGGGATTACAGGCATGAGCCACCGCATCTGGCCTATTTTTGTATTTTTAATGGAGACCGGGTTTCATCATGTTGGCCAGGCTGGTCTTGAACTTGAACTTCTGACCTCAAGTGATCCACCCTTAGCGTCCCAAAGTGCTGGGATTACAGGCATGAGCCACCGTGCCCGGCCCCAGTTATTTTTATTTTTATTTTTTGAGTTAGAGTCTCACTCTGTCACCCAGGCTGGAGCGCAGTGGCATGATCTCGGCTCACAGCAACTTTCTGGGTTCAAGCAGTTCTCCTGTGTCAGCCTCCTGAGTAGCTGGGACTACAGGCACACATCACCACGCCCGGCTAATTTTTGTAGTTTTAGTAGAGACGGGGTTTTACCATATTGGTCAGGCTGATATTGAACTCCTGACCTCAGGTGATCCACCCACGTCAGCCTCCCAAAGTGCCGGGATTACAGGCTTGAGCCATCTCGCCCGGCCTACTTAGATGTTATATTAGTGGTAATTCCTGTTATCCTGTGAGCTCTTTAGTGTCTAAACAATTTTTTTTAAGAGATGGGGTCTCACTGTGTTGCCCAGTTGCAATCATATCTTACTGCAGCCTCAAACTCCTGGGTCAAGTGATCCTCTTGCCTTAGTCTCCCAAGTAGCTAGGACCATAGGTGTCTGCCCCCACGCCTGGCTGTTTTTACATTTTTTGTAGAGATGTGGCGGGTGGGGGGGTCTCACTGTGTTGCCCAGACTGGTCTCGAACTCCTGTCCTCAATTGATCCTGCTACCTCAGCCTCCCAAAATGCTGAATTACAGGCATGAGCCACTGTACCTGGTCTTAAACAATTTTAAAATAACATTTTTATCCAGGATTTTAGTTAATTTTCAACAGGTGGATTAGTTCTTGCTGTATTCTCGTAAACAGAAGTCCTGGTTTATTTTTATTTGTTTTAAACATTGAATCCCATACTCCTCCCCACCTTACCCTACCCAGAATTTAGACTGTTAATGTTTTGAAGCCACAGCCTGCATCTTAATCACTATTTTATCTTAGTGCCTGGTCTTAGAAATTATATTGACTCTTTGATAGACCATATATAAGGCAGGTGGATGAGAATGTGGGTAGCTAGTTGGAAAAGGCTGCTTGGTCATTTGCTTGATTATTTTCTCACACAGTTTTTCCTTTACTAAGAGAAAATGCCCCCATATTGGCAAACAAAATCTCCCTGCCTGAGAGCGCCCAGAGTATAGCAGAGCATCTTACCCTGATACGCCTCTTTTCACTCTCTTCTCTGTGGAGACAGAAGGAGCTTCAAGAGCAGGGGGAGATCAGAATCGTCCAGCTGGGCTTCGACTTGGATGCCCATGGAATTATCTTCACTGAGGACTACAGGACCAGAGTATGTGACTGTGTGCGTCAGGGGTGCTGGGGGGAGGGCACAGGTTGGGGGAGACAGGGAACTTGGGAAACAGAAATAAAAACAAAAGAAAGAATTTCCCTGCCCCCACATCCCATGGAGAGGGCACAGGGCCCTGGTAAATAGTAATATGAGGGAGAGAGACAGGAGGGAAAGAGGGAGGAGTGAGAGGGTAAAGAGGGGGGGAGAGGAGGGGGAGGAGGAGGAAGGAAGGAGGGGGAGGAGGAGGGGGGGAGGAAGAGGGGGAGGAGGATGAAGAGGAGGAGGAAGAAGAAGGGTATGAGAGGTGGAAGGATCTGAGCAAGAGGTAAGACAGGAAGAGAAATGCTGTCCTGGGGGTGGAGGTTGGTAGAGAGTGAGGGTGGGGATGGACCATGTCTCTCATCTCTGCTTGTAGGTCCTCAAGGCCTGTGATGGCCGACCGTATGCTGGGGCAGTGCAGAAATTTCTAGCTTCAGTACTTCCAGCCTGTGGGGACCTTAGTTTCCAGCAGGACCAAATGACACAGACCTTTGGCTTCAGGGACTCAGAAATCACGTGAGACTTGTGGAACCAACCAAAGTCAGGCATCTGGTGCTTCCCTGCCTCCCTCCAGTTCCATCCAGCCTGTCCTCCTGTTTTTTTGGTGAACCTGCCAGAAAAGCTGCCAAAAAGCTGACTCTTCTTGTTAATAAAATGACCCAAGTTTGTATTCCTCCCCACAAGAGAGGAGGCCTATCTTACCTGGGCCTTAGAAAGAGCCCTGAAATAGAATTCAGTTCTTGGTGGCTTATCAAAAGCACACAGGGGCCTGGCAGGAAGTGTAAAAGCTTGATGTTAATCATACTGGGACTAAGAGGATAGAGAATGGTAGGAGCTGGGATACCCCTAAACATTCACATTAAAACAAAAAAAACCCAAAGCTAAAAAACAACTGGGCAGGAGCTAAATAAAAATCTAATTTTGAGAGGCTGTATCTGGCTCAGGCCTCCTACTTTGTAACCCATGGAATATGTGAAAGCATTTGAAAAACTATAGCACTGATCTCACATGGGCAGACACACTCTCAGAGAGATGTGGTGGGAGCCATGGCGCAGTCTGCCTAGGCAGTGGCAGGAGCGCAGAAGACTCTGATTCCTCTCCTCGGTCCTAAGACCGAATGTGTGTCAGGACATGTGGTCAGGGAAGAGAAGCTATTTAACTGAACCAGTAATAGTAGCAGGAAAAGAAAAAGTGGAGGGAGGGCAGTCCAGGTAGGGGGCCTGGAACAAGCAACTGCACCAACAGAGGCAGTTGGTGCGAGCACAGAACCACCCCAGGCTGGGATTTTGTTATCCAGTCTCTCTTGCATGGTTGCCCGTGTTTCTGGAGACTTGTGTAAACATTAATGGATGAGGAGGAGAGATGGTTCTCAGAGCCCAGCCCTCATCTCTGCTGGCTTCCCACTGCCCTCAGGCATCTGGTGAATGCTGGAGTCCTCACCGTCCGAGATGCTGGGAGCTGGTGGCTAGCTGTGCCTGGAGCTGGGAGATTCATCAAGTACTTTGTTAAAGGTATCCCATCTGCAGCTCAAGCCTGCAGCCCCTCACCTTTTGGTGGCTCCTCAGGCCTCTAGGCCTTATTCACCTTTCCCCTTTCCTGTGCCACTTCTCCTCTAGGGCGCCAGGCTGTCCTTAGCATGGTCCGGAAGGCAAAGTACCGGGAACTGCTCCTATCAGAGCTCCTGGGCCGGCGGGCGCCTGTCGTGGTGCGGCTTGGCCTCACCTACCATGTGCACGACCTCATTGGGGCCCAGCTAGTGGACTGGTGAGTCTTTCCCTGGCCTCTGGCAGATTATGGAGCAATGACCCAAAGTGGGATTTCCTCCCAGCTCATGCTTAGTTTCCTAGTGAAGGCCAGTGGCTCTCATTCTTCTCTGGAACCCGGGAGCACCCCTTCCCAAGTTCTAAGTTCTCCTCACAGCTTGAGCCTAGGCGTCTGGCTCCAGCCTTGTCTTTCTCCTGCACAGCATCTCTACCACTTCAGGAACCCTCCTCCGCCTGCCAGAGACATGAAGATTCTGCTCATCATTGCTCAGCTCCTCAGAGTGGGCCGGGAGGGGACTAGAAGAGCTGCATGATGGTGGCTGAGACAGGGTCACCTTGGGAAGGCTTGGGAGCCAGGATGAGTGTCGGGCTCTCGTGTGTGCAAAAGGTCAGATGTGACTGCTGCTGTTTGCCTGGTTTCTGACCCAGTGGTGGGGTTTGAGCAATGCTTCTCTGCCCTTCCATGGAAAGTGGAACCAGAAATGGTGCCAAGGCTGTGGCTGTTCCCTTTCGTGTAAAATGGTGCTGTTATTACTCTGTCTTGAAATAGGAAGGTGGGATTTCTGGGGAGGCTGGTGAAGGAGGGCAGGGTTCTTTTCTCTACGTGTCATGTTAAAATTGCCAAATAAAGTACCTCTGCCTGTGATATTTTCTGGATGTCCTTTATTTACTGTGACGTGTGTTTGGGTGCCTTGTTTAGGGGTAGAGGTGAAGTCTGAGCTTTGCCTCATTCAGAGAGGAAAGGGGTCAGGGGTTCACTCTGACGTTCAGGCCATTCTCCCTGTGGAGTGGTGAGGGTGTACCTAATCTCCTAAACCACGGAATTTCTGTTAGGGCCTAAAAAAGCAAAAGCCTAGTATAGTTCAATTTGTGTTGGAATGAAAGTAAGAGACAAGTGTCTTAGAAGCCTGTCATTGTTTTGTGAGGGCCTTTAAATATCCTGTACTCGTGGGCCATGTTGGGCCCTTGTACGCCCAGGTATACATGAGCTTGTGTGCACCTATACCCTGATACAGATATACCTGGTAGGGGGAGGTGCTCAGGCACTGGAATGAGAGGAGTTAACGGGGAAGGACAGGGTTATTTCTGGGCCAAGATTCAGAGTTTCCCATGGACACCCAGGTGTCCGGGGTGCCCCCACAACTCTGGGCCTGAGGCCAGTTGCACTTCTTGGCTGTCACGTGGTTTCCCAGCTTAGCTGGGCTGGGGGAGGAGCAAGGTCCAGAGTCAACTCTGCCCCGAGGCCTAGCTTGGCCAGAAGGTAGCAGACAGACAGACGGATCTAACCTCTCTTGGATCCTCCAGCCATGAGGCTGCTCTGGGGGCTGATCTGGGCATCCAGCTTCTTCACCTTATCTCTGCAGAAGCCCAGGTCCTGGAGGCGGGATGCTGGGTGCTTGGATTGGGGCAGGGCTGGCATCGGGACCCGATTCAGGAGTGAGGGAGAGCAGGGGTGGAGGTGTCAGAGCGAAGTCTGACTGCTGATCCTGTCTGTTCTCCCCAGGTTGCTCTTGTTCTCTCCTTCTGTGGTTCATCTGGGGGTCCCCCTATCGGTGGGGGTGCAGCTCCAGGATGTGCCCCGAGGACAGGTAGTGAAAGGATCAGTGTTCCTGAGAAACCCATCTCGTAATAATGTCCCCTGCTCCCCAAAGGTGGACTTCACCCTTAGCTCAGAAAGAGACTTCGCACTCCTCAGTCTCCAGGTAACCAGACCCCATGCCCTCCTGCTGCTTGTGGGGGCCTCCTGCCCTGTTCCCATCTGTCTTGTAAGTGTCATCATCTTCCCACTGGCCTCCTCCCCTCCTGTCTTCCCACCCTGGCATTCTCCTTCCACGTTTCTCCCTTGGTCTCTGTCCTTTTTGGTCAGCTGTCTCTTGCTCTGTGACCCGCTCCCTCTCCCTCTCCCTCTCCTGACAGGTGCCCTTGAAAGATGCGAAGAGCTGTGGCCTCCATCAACTCCTCAGAGGCCCTGAGGTCCAGCTGGTGGCCCATTCGCCATGGCTAAAGGACTCTCTGTCCAGAACGACAAACATCCAGGGTATCAACCTGCTCTTCTCCTCTCGCCGGGGGCACCTCTTTTTGCAGACGGACCAGCCCATTTACAACCCTGGCCAGCGGGGTGAGTCTCAGCCCCAGGGCCTCAACCTTTAACCCCCTCCGAGCCCTCTCAGGATGAGTTTGGTGCCCCCTAAGTGAGATAACCTGAAAGAAAGTGCCACACAGAAGGGGTGCTTAGGAAACATTTGTCCCCTGCTCCCTCTGTGGAGTTTGACCCACCCTCCCCTTGCACATGGACCCCTGCTCACCTCTCTCCTCCTCCACTCCCAGTTCGGTACCGGGTCTTTGCTCTGGATCAGAAGATGCGCCCGAGCACTGACACCATCACAGTCATGGTGGAGGTGAGTCCCCGACCTCTGGCCTTCCTGATCCTGGCCACTGATGTGACCTCCTGCCTGTGAGCACTTCTCCCCTTGCAGAACTCTCACGGCCTCCGCGTGCGGAAGAAGGAGGTGTACATGCCCTCGTCCATCTTCCAGGATGACTTTGTGATCCCAGACATCTCAGAGTGAGCGCTCCCAATGTGGGGGCTGCCCCCAAGCTACACCACCCCAATTCCTGTTAGGCTCTCCACCTCCCACACAGAGGCACGTCCCCAGATGCCCTGACCCTCAGCCTCCTGAGCCTCTGGTTAACCCCCACAGTCCTCTTCCCAGGGAAGCAGGCTGCTGGCTCTCCGTGCCCCACTGTACAGATGGGCTGAGCCCCTTCCTTGTCCATTCTCAGGCCAGGGACCTGGAAGATCTCAGCCCGATTCTCAGATGGCCTGGAATCCAACAGCAGCACCCAGTTTGAGGTGAAGAAATATGGTGAGAGCTGGAAACTGGAGGGACAGGCAGCTGCTTTCCTGAAGGAAATAAGGGTGGAAGGAGAGGTACTGGGAGCAGCTCAGGGCAGGGAGATATGGGTGCCACAGCCCTGAGCAGAGGGGAGTCTTTGAGCTGGAGTCTGACCTGCCTATCCCTTCACCCTGGGTCAGTCCTTCCCAACTTTGAGGTGAAGATCACCCCTGGAAAGCCCTACATCCTGACGGTGCCAGGCCATCTTGATGAAATGCAGTTAGACATCCAGGCCAGGTAATACCTCCCTCCCCACCTCTGCCCACCAGCACCGGGTCCTGCTCCCTACTCAGTATGAATGGGCTCCTGCTTCCCTGCCCTCGGGCCATTATTCCCCCCAGCCCTTGGCCCACCCTCTTCTCTCTGCCACGACAGGTACATCTATGGGAAGCCAGTGCAGGGGGTGGCATATGTGCGCTTTGGGCTCCTAGATGAGGATGGTAAGAAGACTTTCTTTCGGGGGCTGGAGAGTCAGACCAAGGTAGGAAGGAGAATAGGGGCTGGGGAGGGGAAGGGGCAAGGGAGGTGAGGTGGGAGACTCAGTCTCACCCTATGTCCTGTTTCTTTCTATGCCCCAGCTGGTGAATGGACAGAGCCACATTTCCCTCTCAAAGGCAGAGTTCCAGGACGCCCTGGAGAAGCTGAATATGGGCATTACTGACCTCCAGGGGCTGCGCCTCTACGTTGCTGCAGCCATCATTGAGTCTCCAGGTGGGTGACTTTCCCTTATTGTAACCCCAGACCCTTGCCTCTGACCTCTGAGCTAACCCTCTGTCCTCCGGCACCAACACCACCCCACTTCTCACATCTCATCTCAGACTCAAAACCAGGAAACACCCAGGAGACCTGGTTTCTCTCCAACTCTGTCTCTGTGACTCGGCCCTTTTCCCTGGCTGAGTTTATTTATTTCTTTGCTCGTTCTGCTCATTCCTTCACTCCTCCAGTGGACATGTGTTGTTCAATGCCCCGTGCTAGGCCTCAGCATGCACAGACATGTTGGGGACCAGCCTCAACGCCACCCGTAGGGTTCCTGAAGTCCATTGGTGACACAGGAATGAGAAGAGACAGGTTAAGAGTTCATAAAGAGTGGGGGCCAGGGGGCCAATTGCAAAATGGAGGCTGCAAAAGGCTCAGAGCTCTGGTCTCCACACTATTTTTTGAGTACAGTCACTCAGATCTAAGAAGCAGATGTTCAGGGAGAAACAGTGAAAGGGAGGCAGTGGGTCATAGGCGTAATCTATAGCAATAGAGTTTTAAATGAATCTCCTTTGTGCTCAAACAGCATGTCTTTAAATTATCGGAGAGTAGCTGGTGGAAGTGGGCTTAGCTAGAAGACTGCATGTCTGTCCAATGCTTCAAAGGAGGGTCTTTCTCCTTGAACAGAGTGTTTACAGATAAGACAGGGGGTCTCACTCTGAGCATGGGAACATGATGGCAATTAGGAGGCTTTTCTTCTCAGAGGCCTCTTGTGGCTTTCCACAACTTATTGTCTCATATTTTTATGGACAGTTTATACAGGCACCCCACAAGTCCTTTTCCCAACATGCCCCCCTCCCTTTTTTTTTTTTTAACCGCTATTGCTATTATGGCTTATTTGTGGTGTTTGGTCTGTTTTCAGAAGTGTCTTTTGCATCTGTAGACTAAAAGTAAACAGCATAAACAGATACACATTAAAGTAAAATTTGTAATAGTTGATCCTTTAATGGTCTTAATCTGTTTAAGAGGATTTATGTTTGAAAGTCCGTCAGTAGCTCCAATGAGAATGTCAGTCTCAGGCAGGAGGGTTAAATGAGCCTGAGATGCTTTAAAAACCTGTTTTTTTAAAATTTGGTTATATTTAATGTTAAATTTTTATTTTTTTCTTTTAGATGATGTCTAACTTTTTAAAAATGATGTTTAGTAGTATTATACGAATGGGGAGTTATGTAGAAATTGGAAGTATTTCAATTACATTGTACTTCTAATTGATGTTTTAAGTTTATTGTACGATCTTCCATTTAAATAACAGTCTGTCTAAGATCATTTGTTTGATTTGTCAATTGTTGGTCTATTTGGGTCTGAGAATTCCACAATTTTGAGGAATTTTTTGTTAACTATTTATATATTTTGTAGTTTGAACAGAGGAGTGTAAAGCAATTCCAGCAGCCGCAGCAGTAGCTGTGACTGCAATAAGGCCCATAAGACTGTTATAAGGGTAAAAATAAATCTCTTTGTTTTGGTAAACACTTTTTTTTAAAACATTTTTGTGACAATATGAATGGAAGGAGAGGCTTTCTAAGGTCTATTGAGGGAAACCAGTATCCAAACTCCTTTCTTAGTTTTTATCAGTAACACAGATGTTTTTACACCGAACGTGGAATTAATACAGGTGAAAAGGTGACAGTTTTGACAAGTAATAGTTTGAGAATTAGGTCGAATGTCAATATTTTTGACCATTAACATAAAAGGAGGGTTGACACAACTCTGAATGGGCACTGTTTTGTTGGAAGAAAACTGATACGCAAATTGAAGTTTTTAACCTTTTTTTTTTAAAGATAATATATTTTTTTCTAAACTTAAATATGAGATTGGGCCATTATTAACTTTCATAATTTGGAGTGTTTAGGGCCTATTATTGGATTAATTATTTTGGGATGTGGGCCAGCTGTACTAAAATTGGTCCAAATTATGGGAAAATGAGCACGTTTTTCAGTGTAAGTAGTGTTACCTTTTTGATAGTATAGTTTCTGTTTTAGTTTTGTCTTGTATTTATTATTTTGATGGGTACAATTAACTGTAAAGGTCCCCTCAGGGGACCAATTAATGACAATTTCATAGGAATTATTTTGTAGTACCATAGTGTGATCAGAGATGTAATTTTTTTTAATTAATATTTTTAAATTATTTGACCATTGTTAAGGTTGTTGGCACCTCTTTTTTGGGGGCTTAAACTGTTAATTGAATTGAACTCTGTGAATGATCCGGGCTCCATCCAGAAAATAAATGATAGGATACTGGTCTTTGATTATGACCTGGAATTTTAACTAGTCAATGTTGTCGGTAGCCTTTTAGGCAACCGATAGTTGGCCTTATGTAAAGAGGGGGGAACTGATAACCTATGGACACATTTATTAACTTTTTTTTTTTTCCTTTGGGTGAGAGGGCCCATGAGTATTTGTAGGCTTAGGGATCCAAACGCTATTATTAACATAAACTTCAACTGGGGGTTTTAACCATGTGACAGGCCTAATTAAAGGCAGGAATGGGACACATGCCCAATAGGTATAATTTTGGGCTGTTGTAGCCACAGGTTTGTTAGGCGAGGAGGTCACTGTTTTTATTTTGGCTTTGTATTCTAGGATTAGTAAATAACAGAAGACAAACATGAGTATAATTAGTAACTTTTTTTTTTAGTAAAAGAGTGACCTGTAGTGTTACTTGGCATCTTAGTTTACTATATGTTATTAATGAGGAACCCCACTGGGGGTATGTTAATTTATTCTAGCTAAGCAGTTATGTTATTAGAAGCTGAGAAGGGGGTGTTTGTTAAAGTAACAGGGCAGAAGAAAGGCGGATTTAAGATACGAGCTTAATACAGTGTAGCAGGTATAGGTAGTAGGCAAAGTGAGAGAATTAAAAATGAATAAATTATTTGGCTTAGACTTTTGTTTTTTTAGTATAATGTCTGAGGCCTGTGTTGTTTGTGGAAGTCGCATTGTTGAGGCTGTAGTTCCTGTAGGGTCTTTTTTAGGCTGGTTCAAATGTTTTTTTATTTTTTAATTTTTTATCCTTTGATGAGGATGTAGTCTTTAGGCTGGTACTGGAAATTTTAGGAGTGGCGTCTGTGTTAAGAGACTTTTTACAATTTTTAAAGAGCAGGTTAGTGTTTTAAGAAAAACTTGTGTTTTATTTTAATGTTTAGTTTATAGAAAACTGGATGATATCTTTTTAACTTTAGTAAATACGTTTACACACGGAATTTTTTACAATTATCATTTTAAAACTTGTTTAGATCTTTAAAACAAAATTAAACAACCTTTTTTGTATAAATTTTTTATAACTTTTTTTATGACTTTTACAGACAATTTTTAACATGTCTTAACTTTTTATGTTTTATAATTTTTTTACTAAAGGTACATTTTTATAACTTTTTAAATTTTTTTACTTTTTTGTATTTTTTTGATTTTTGTCTTAGTCTTTTTTTTACTTTTATTTTTTTAAATGTGTAATAATTAGATGAGTGTTGGTAACAATGGATGTATGTACATATTTTAGTTTTTAAAATTTAGGGATGTGTTTAACATCTGTTTGCCAGAACTGACTAGGTTCCAATTCTTTACGGTTAACACCTATTGAAGGAGGGTATGTGCCTGTGAGCTGGTAATCTGGGCATTGTGGGATAATTTGTTTAGCCAGCCTCTGTGTAAGTTGAAATTATTTAGATAAGTTTCTCCAATTTTGGTGGAATAATCGATGTGATTGGGTGGCTTGGTCAAGCAGTGATGTCATAACCTGAAGGTCTGCTTGATTATTGCCGTAAGCCAATGGGCCAGGCAGAGAGCTGTGGGCTCGAATGTGTGTAATAAAAGTAGGATGTGTACCTTGGTCTAGTAATTGTTGAAGTTGAAGAAAAAGACCACACAGAGTGGGCTCCAGAGCAAACTTAAGGCTGTAATAGTTTTTAAATAAATACACAGAATAACCTTAGCTCTCTGAATGTTAGTAAATTCAGATCAAGTGATTGGATTATGTGGTCTCCACCAGACTGTTGCTTTTTCATGTTTACCAGACCCACCAGTAAAAACAGCTATGGCTCCTTCCAAAGGGGCATCACAAGTAATTTTTGGAAGAACCTATGTAGTTAATTTTAAGAATTGAAAAGTTTTTAGGATAATGATTATTAATACATCCAACAAATTTTGTTAAATTAATCTGTCATGTAACTGAGTTAATAAATGCCTGTTTAACCTGATTTTTATTTATTGGAACTATAATTTTTATTGGGCTCAGTGCCACAAAATTTAATAATTCATATATGAGCCTGTCCAATTAGAATTGCCATCTGATTTAAGTATACTGTAAGTGCTTTTATGGTATTATGTGGCAAAAAGGACCATTTAACTAAATCATCATTTTGAACAATAACCCCCATTATTGTGTGGTTAGTGTGAAGTAGGGAACACAATGAATTATAAAGGCAAGTCTGAGTCAATCCTACTGACCTGGGCTTGCTGAATTTTGTTTTCAATTACTGATAACTCTTTCATGGCCTCGGGTGTTAGTTCTCTGTTACTGCGTAAGTTGGTATTTCCCCTCAATATTGAGAAGAGATTAGACATAGCATAAGTAGGAATTGCTAAATTGGGCCAAATCCAATTAATATCTTCTAACAATTTTTGAAAATTATTTAAGGTTTTGAAAGAATCTCTTCTAATTTGAACCTTTTGAGGCTTAATGGCTCTATCCTGTACTTGTATTTTCAAATACTGAAAAGGAGTGGTTGTTTGAATTTTGTCAGGTGCTATAAGTAATTCAGCATTTGTAATTGTCTTTTGCAAAGATTAATAATATTGAATAAGTTGGTCTCTACTTTTTGCTGCACAAATCTGGAAACTGATCTCTAACAGGCTGGATAGTTCTGCCTACAAAAGTTTGACAAACTGTGGGACTATTTAACATACCCTGGGGCAAAACTTTCCAATGATATTTGGCTGCAGGTTTTTTGTTATTAACGGCAGGAATGGTAAAGGCAAATTTTTTGAAATCTGCCTCTGCTAAAGGAATTGTAAAAAAGCAGTCTTTTAAATCTATAATAACAAGCGGTCAGTCTTTAGGGAGCACAGTGGGGGATGGGAGCCCAGGTTGTAAGGCTCCCATCGGTTGAATTACAGCGTTGACGCCATCTACCGGACTTTTTCTTAATTACAAATACTGGGGAATTCCAAGGAGAGAAAGTGGGTGAAATATATCCTTTTTTTAGTAGTTTATTTTATAAAGCACCCCCAACTTTTCCTTAGGGAGCGGCCACTGTTCAACCCAGACGGGGCGCCGGGTCATCCATTTTAAGGGAAATTGCTCCTTCACTGTAATAACTGTAGGGTGAACCTGAATTGCCCCATCTCCATAATGAACTGTGGGTCGGGCAATAATGGGCACGGTGAGCCAAGTCTCGGGCTCCCTCCCCCTGCACCCACTCGGCTGAGGAGGAGGTGGCCATTCTGGACATTTCTCTACAGGAACCGTGGGCTGAACAATTTTTTGAGTAGGTTTAGGGAGACTGGGGAGATTGGCATAAATCATCTTCAGACTCTCCTTTTTGTTAGTACTCGGTAGAGGTGGTTCAGAGTTCTGATTATCAAACTCCTCTCTCTCCTCCTCTGACTCAGCCTCATTATCTGTCTGAAAAGGCTCCAGTGCTGCATGCACCAATGACCAAAGCGACCAAACAGGCAAAGGAATTTCCTTTCCTTCTCTATATGCTCTTTTAAGGTCCTTTCCAACTCCTTCTTAATGTTTTAATTTCAAAGTTTCCTGTTTTGGGAACCAAGGGCAAAATTGTTCCATAGCATGAAACAAATCCATAAGATTTTCCGTATCAACTTTTACCCCACCATGCATGCTTGAAGAGCTGCCGTAGGAAGCTCAAATACGTGGTGTACTTACTTTCAGTTTTTCCCATTGTGTCCCTAGCTTTCTCTGGGCGCCCCGCTTACCTGTAGAGGTTAAAACTTTTATGTCCTTGGGAGTCCTTTGTTCGTTGGTCCTCTGTTTCACATGCTTGAGCGTTTCCTCACCAGATTCTTTTGGGCCCCACGTTGGGCGCCAGAATGTTGGGGACCAGCCTCAACACCACCTGTAGGGTACCTGAAGTCTGGTGGTGACAAAGGAATGAGAAGAGACAGGTTAAGAGTTCATAAAGAGTGGAGGCCAGGGGGCCAATTGCAAAATGGAGGCTGCAAAAGGCTCAGAGCTCTGGTCTCCACACTATTTATTGAGTACAATAACTTAGATCTAAGAAGCAGATGTTCAGGGCAAAACAGTGAAAGGGTAGCAGTGCGTCACAGGCATAATCTACAGCAGAAGCGCTTTAAATGAATCTCCTTTGTGCTCAAACAGCATATCTTTAACTTATCGGAGAGTAGCTAGTGGGAGTGGGCTTAACTAGGAGCCTGCACGTCTGTCCACATTCCAATGCTTCAAAGGAGGGTCTTTCTCCTTGAATACAGTGTTTACAGATAAGAGAGAGCAGGTCTCGCTCTGAGCATGGCAATTAGGAGGCTTTTCTCCTCAGAGGCCTCTTGTGGCTTTCCACAACTTATTGTCCCATATTTTTATGGCCAGTTTATACAGGCACCCCACAAGTCCTTTTCCCAACACAGACAGGAATACGGCAGCCTGTGCCCTGGGAGCTCACTGTCTTGTGGGAGGGAACCACTCAAGCCACTCCCCACTTGTCCTCCTGTCCCTCTCTTCTTGGGCTCTGTCCCCCACCTCTCTCTGTCCTTTGTCTTGCAGGTGGGGAGATGGAGGAGGCAGAGCTCACATCCTGGTATTTTGTGTCATCTCCCTTCTCCTTGGATCTTAGCAAGACCAAGCGACACCTTGTGCCTGGGGCCCCCTTCCTGCTGCAGGTTTCTTCCAGAGGGGAAGGATGAGTAGGGAGGATGTGGTAGTTAGGAGGGCTCAGGGTCTGACCACTCTCTTTTGCCTGCCCTCCTTTACCTGCCTAGGCCTTGGTCCGTGAGATGTCAGGCTCCCCAGCTTCTGGCATTCCTGTCAAAGTTTCTGCCACGGTGTCTTCTCCTGGGTCTGTTCCTGAAGTCCAGGACATTCAGCAAAACACAGACGGGAGCGGCCAAGTCAGCATTCCAATAATTATCCCTCAGACCATCTCAGAGCTGCAGCTCTCAGTAGGACTCCTCGGACCCCTGGGAGATGGTGGGGGAAGGGGAGGAGGGTGAGCTGGGGTCCCAAGGATCCATGGCCTGACTTGGGGGGAAGGTGGGGTACTTGGCTCTGAGCTACTACCCTATTCGCACCTGACCCCCTCTCCAGGTATCTGCAGGCTCCCCACATCCAGCGATAGCCAGGCTCACTGTGGCAGCCCCACCTTCAGGAGGCCCCGGGTTTCTGTCTATTGAGCGGCCGGATTCTCGACCTCCTCGTGTTGGGGACACTCTGAACCTGAACTTGCGAGCCGTGGGCAGTGGGGCCACCTTTTCTCATTACTACTACATGGTGTGCATGAGCTGGGGAGTCACGGAGGGCTGGGGTGCAGGGAAGAGCCCTCTGGGTGGGGCTGGGGGGGTTCAAGGCTGAGGCTGTCCCATGAAGAGGCAACCACTCTTGTCCCTCCCATTCTTGGCCCAGATCCTATCCCGAGGGCAGATCGTGTTCATGAATCGAGAGCCCAAGAGGACCCTGACCTCGGTCTCGGTGTTTGTGGACCATCACCTGGCACCCTCCTTCTACTTTGTGGCCTTCTACTACCATGGAGACCACCCAGTGGCCAACTCCCTGCGAGTGGATGTCCAGGCTGGGGCCTGCGAGGGCAAGGTGACCGGGGTCAGGAGAGATGGCACTTGTGCCGAGGGGGTTGAGGACAGGGTGATTGCCAACAGGGCATGGATTTAGCTTGGGGGCAGTGAGGATACCGGGACTGAAGGAAGCTCTCCCACTCTGACCGCCCCCACCTGCCGCCCCTGCCAGCTGGAGCTCAGCGTGGACGGTGCCAAGCAGTACCGGAACGGGGAGTCCGTGAAGCTCCACTTAGAAACCGACTCCCTAGCCCTGGTGGCGCTGGGAGCCTTGGACACAGCTCTGTATGCTGCAGGCAGCAAGTCCCACAAGCCCCTCAACATGGGCAAGGTTTGTCCAGACCCTCTCCACAGCTCTCTCACCCCTCCATGGCTCATCCCCCTGCTTCCCTGAGCCTTGGGCGCAGCCCCTGGATCCCACTGAGGCTCCCCACAGTCTCTTCCCCACTTGGCCCTGTGGTCTCCATCTCCTGGCTCTGTATCCTTTCCTATCCCCCCATGTGCTGCCCTCTCACCTGTGCCGAGTGCTCAGTCCTGCCCCTCAGCCACACTTGGCTCCTAGCATTCCTGCCTTTCTTGCAGGTCTTTGAAGCTATGAACAGCTATGACCTCGGCTGTGGTCCTGGGGGTGGGGACAGTGCCCTTCAGGTGTTCCAGGCAGCGGGCCTGGCCTTTTCTGATGGAGACCAGTGGACCTTATCCAGAAAGAGTGAGAACAGAGAAGGAAGGGGAGTGGGTGGCGGGAAGATAAGGAAGGAGGAAGGGCCTGAGGGGACCAGCTGGAAGAGTCCGGGCAGGAAGGGCTGGGCAGGGGAAGGGGAGGAGGGGAGGAGGCCGAGTGCCTGACGGCTGGACTGCAGCCTTTCTCTCTACCAGGACTAAGCTGTCCCAAGGAGAAGACAACCCGGAAAAAGAGAAACGTGAACTTCCAAAAGGCGATTAATGAGAAATGTGAGTTGCGGGTGCCTAGGCAGTAGCTTGGGCTCTCCACCTGGGATCCGGGTTGGGGGTCTGCCTCTCTGCCCCTCGGCTCCTTGCTGAACCCACGTGTGGTATTTGGGGCCAGAGATCCGAATTCCGGGATTACGAGTGGAAGGTGGGCAGCTCTCTCCAGCAGCCTCTCTTATGTTGCTGGTCTCAAGGGGTCGGGGCGGGGGCTGAGGTGTATGTCCTTTTTGTCCTCTCATGCTCACCCCCACCTGGCCCTGCAGTGGGTCAGTATGCTTCCCCGACAGCCAAGCGCTGCTGCCAGGATGGGGTGACACGTCTGCCCATGATGCGTTCCTGCGAGCAGCGGGCAGCCCGCGTGCAGCAGCCGGACTGCCGGGAGCCCTTCCTGTCCTGCTGCCAATTTGCTGAGAGTCTGCGCAAGAAGAGCAGGGACAAGGGCCAGGCGGGCCTCCAACGAGGTGAGGGGCTGGGTGGGGCTAGGGCACAGGTGGCGGCGCTTGGAAAGGCAGAACGGTCCCCTCCTCACTCCCGTCCACCGTGGTCCCCCAGCCCTGGAGATCCTGCAGGAGGAGGACCTGATTGATGAGGATGACATTCCCGTGCGCAGCTTCTTCCCAGAGAACTGGCTCTGGAGAGTGGAAACAGTGGACCGCTTTCAAATGTGAGAGTGTGTGCCGGCCCGGCCTTTTCTCTGTGCTGTGTCTCGGGGCCAGCCGGGGTAGACGGGCCTTCTCTGCCTTTCCCTACACAGATTGACACTGTGGCTCCCCGACTCTCTGACCACGTGGGAGATCCATGGCCTGAGCCTGTCCAAAACCAAAGGTGATGTCACCCTGTCTGGGCCTCAGGTGACCCTGCTTCCATTTCCCTGTACCCCAGCTCCCTGTTCCCTTTGCTCTTAGTGTAGGAAGAGGGTCCAGTGATCTGGGGAGGTCTGTGCCAGCGTGCAGCTGGCGTGGGCCAGAGGGCAGAGGCGGACTGAGACAGAGCTGGGTCACCCCCACCCCTCCCTCCTGTGGCCCTGAAGCTTTGATGGCCCCTCTGATCTCTGCCCCTGTGCCCACGCTTCCTTTCCCTCAGGCCTATGTGTGGCCACCCCAGTCCAGCTCCGGGTGTTCCGCGAGTTCCACCTGCACCTCCGCCTGCCCATGTCTGTCCGCCGCTTTGAGCAGCTGGAGCTGCGGCCTGTCCTCTATAACTACCTGGATAAAAACCTGACTGTGAGGCCCCATAGGAGCCTGAGCATACAGGAGTTGGGGGAGCCAGGGCCCAGTGAGGGGTGGGGAGGCTAACCGGGCCAGGACTCTGGCCATCCTCGTTTTCCTGCCCTCAGGTGAGCGTCCACGTGTCCCCAGTGGAGGGGCTGTGCCTGGCTGGGGGCGGAGGGCTGGCCCAGCAGGTGCTGGTGCCTGCGGGCTCTGCCCGGCCTGTTGCCTTCTCTGTGGTGCCCACGGCAGCCGCCGCTGTGTCTCTGAAGGTGGTGGCTCGAGGGTCCTTCGAATTCCCTGTGGGAGATGCGGTGTCCAAGGTTCTGCAGATTGAGGTGAATGGAGCACCCCTGAATATAAGTCCCCGGGCCCCCAGCTTTGTCCTCCACCCTCAGCACTCTCTCTGCTGGCCAGGCCAGGGGCCCAACACCCAAACCAATGCCTTGGTCTGTTCCCATCTTCTACAATTCTGATCCAACTCTGTCCCTGGAGTTGAAACTCAAAGTTCTGGGGGAGTCTGCGCTAGCAGGGCAGGCTGTAGTCCTGTGTGACCTCACAACCATGTTTTCCCTGAGACAGAAGGAAGGGGCCATCCATAGAGAGGAGCTGGTCTATGAACTCAACCCCTTGGGTGAGTGACCCTCTACCTCCAGCCATTGGTTTCCTAAGTGGGTACAGGTGGTGGGGGATGTGGACAGCAGGACAGGCTGCCAACTTCCCCCATTTCCCCAGACCACCGAGGCCGGACCTTGGAAATACCTGGCAACTCTGATCCCAATATGATCCCTGATGGGGACTTTAACAGCTACGTCAGGGTTACAGGTGGGAGTGCCCTTTAGTCCCTTCCCAGTGGCCACCTTCGGATTCATGTGGGACTTGTGGATCCCTGCTTGGTCCCACTCCCCGTGAGCCTCTGACACAGAGTCCTCAGACCTCCACCCTCTCCCTCCCATGTAGCCTCAGATCCATTGGACACTTTAGGCTCTGAGGGGGCCTTGTCACCAGGAGGCGTGGCCTCCCTCTTGAGGCTTCCTCGAGGCTGTGGGGAGCAAACCATGATCTACTTGGCTCCGACACTGGCTGCTTCCCGCTACCTGGACAAGACAGAGCAGTGGAGCACACTGCCTCCCGAGACCAAGGACCACGCCGTGGATCTGATCCAGAAAGGTTCTGGGTGCAAGGGCAAGCAGGAGGGGGGCCAGGAAAGGACAGTTACTGGAAGATGGACAGCCCAGGAGGCTACAGAGGGAAAGAAAGGGGGCCCCTGATGAGGATGGGGAGCATGGCCTTGGGCTCAAACAGCAGAAGGGTGAGTGTCACCTGAGCGGCCACCTCTCCTCTCCAAGGCTACATGCGGATCCAGCAGTTTCGGAAGGCGGATGGTTCCTATGCGGCTTGGTTGTCACGGGACAGCAGCACCTGGTGAGCTTGGGAGAGTGGTTCCAGGGTTCTGAGGGGGTCAGGGCTGGGGCAGGGGTGGGACAGAGCTGGTATGATGGGAGGGTGGATAACCAGGCACCTGGGGGCGTGGGCATAATGAGAAGCAAGTCCTTATCCCCAACCCTCCTTTCCTGCCCTCCAGGCTCACAGCCTTTGTGTTGAAGGTCCTGAGTTTGGCCCAGGAGCAGGTAGGAGGCTCGCCTGAGAAACTGCAGGAGACATCTAACTGGCTTCTGTCCCAGCAGCAGGCTGACGGCTCGTTCCAGGACCCCTGTCCAGTGTTAGACAGGAGCATGCAGGTGCGGGCATGCTGGGGCTGGCCCGAGAAGCGCCTGTCGGAGGACTCTCTTTGCCCCTTCCCCCTCCTGTTTGACATCTTTTCTCCCCTTACTAGGGGGGTTTGGTGGGCAATGATGAGACTGTGGCACTCACAGCCTTTGTGACCATCGCCCTTCATCATGGGCTGGCCGTCTTCCAGGATGAGGGTGCAGAGCCATTGAAGCAGAGAGTGGTAAGTTCAGTGGCGTTTCTGCCCTCTGCTGGCCCCCAGCTCTCTCCCTTTTTCCTCAGGAACCCAGGGGTCCAGGCCCAAGACCCTCCTCCCGTTTTCTTCCAGGAAGCCTCCATCTCAAAGGCAAACTCATTTTTGGGGGAGAAAGCAAGTGCTGGGCTCCTGGGTGCCCACGCAGCTGCCATCACGGCCTATGCCCTGACACTGACCAAGGCGCCTGTGGACCTGCTCGGTGTTGCCCACAACAACCTCATGGCAATGGCCCAGGAGACTGGAGGTGAGGGGTGAGGCGCTCCTGGCAGTGAGCCTGAGGCCCAGGGGACCTTAGGATCCCTGAGTGTGCCCAGAGGGAGAGGCTGGATGAAGACTCAGAGGAGGAATGAAGTTATAAGCAGGGGTGGGTTGGGGGAGACTCAGGAGAGCCCAGCAGGGGGTGGCTAAGGGCCAGGGGACCAGGCTCTTCTCCCTGCCTTCCTGTTTACTCGTGGTCTCCCTTCACTTTCAGATAACCTGTACTGGGGCTCAGTCACTGGTTCTCAGAGCAATGCCGTGTCGCCCACCCCGGCTCCTCGCAACCCATCCGACCCCATGCCCCAGGCCCCAGCCCTGTGGATTGAAACCACAGCCTACGCCCTGCTGCACCTCCTGCTTCACGAGGGCAAAGCAGAGATGGCAGACCAGGCTTCGGCCTGGCTCACCCGTCAGGGCAGCTTCCAAGGGGGATTCCGCAGTACCCAAGTAGGGGCCGTCCCCGGGCTCTGGCGGGGGTGGGTAGTCCTCAGACCAAGGGCTTGCTTGAGTCCTGGCTCAACCTCCCTAGGACACGGTGATTGCCCTGGATGCCCTGTCTGCCTACTGGATTGCCTCCCACACCACTGAGGAGAGGGGTCTCAATGTGACTCTCAGCTCCACAGGCCGGAATGGGTTCAAGTCCCACGCGCTGCAGCTGAACAACCGCCAGATTCGCGGCCTGGAGGAGGAGCTGCAGGTGAACCACTCCCTGGTGAACCACTCCCTCGCCTGGGTAGCCAGGACACCTGGGCCTCGTGGCCAGGCCAGAAGCCGTCCCCACCCTCCCACCCGTGGAATCCCCGCAGCACTTCTTCCTGGGGTCTTCGGGGGAAGACTGACTTCCTGGCTGTGTGACCTGGAGCTCTGAGCTTCAGTTTTCTCACTTGTAGAGTAACATACACAGAGTTCACCCTACAGGGTCGTTAGAAGGCTGAAGTGAGATAATTCATGTGCTGGTATAAACTTTGTGGAAATGTGAGGTGGGGAGAGGAGGTGGGGCTGTTTTGAGGAAGGAGATAAGTTATTGGAGCCGCAAAAACAGGTTTGCTTGTGCCCTTCTAACATCGCCTTCCCTTTTCTGTTGCTGAAGTTTTCCTTGGGCAGCAAGATCAATGTGAAGGTGGGAGGAAACAGCAAAGGAACCCTGAAGGTGAGGGCCAGGGAAGGGGTGGGGCCAGGCACTGGTGGAGGAGAGGGTGTGGAGTGAGAGGCCTGTGGGCAGAGGCACATGGTCCGGGGAAGGAGGCAGACACCTCAGGGTTGGTGTCCCGTGCTTCCGTCCTGGGTGTTTTTCCCCCTGCTTGCTTTCGCTTGCTCTCCCCATCTCTGGGTACCTGTTGTTTCCTTTACCCGCCTCAGTGCTGGTGGCTCCGAATCCCACTCCTCAGCCCAGGCCTCTTCCCTGAACCATGGGCCCCACTCGTCCCACTCCCACAGCACCTCAGACGAGGCATGTCCCAAAGCCCTTCTTCATTCTGTGTCTCTTGTCTGGCTGGTGGGAGCCCCTCCCAGCCAGGAGCCCAGCCACTACTCTAGAGGCCGTGTTAGTGGCCCCTCTCCCAAGCCTGTCCTTATGTCCCTAGTGACTCCTCCTCTGCTCCCCTGCTGCCTGTGGCCCTTGGTGCTGCATCCTAGATTCTGTGCTGAGACGGCCTTCTCCCTACCTGGAACTTCTCTCTACCTCCTGTCTCCCCTGTCTGATCCACTGTCCACACGGCAGTGACACTGACCTTCCAAAAGCCCCAGCCAGATCAGCCTTGGGGAAAAGTCACTCCCCGCTGCCCACGGCTCAGATGGCTGGGCCTCTGCCCACCCCTCCGGCCAGACAGCTCTCCTTGTCTACACAGATCCCCTTGCCTTTCCTGTCCTTCCCTGCTTCTTGGCCCACAGGACAAGCTCTTTCTTCTCCTTCAAGCCTTGGCCAGAAGCCTTTCCTGAGCTTTTCAGTCCAGCCTCTTCCCAGCACAGTCTGGAGTGTTGGCCTCTGGGGGCAGGCCCCTGCTTCTTTACCTCTCTGTCTCGCCTGACGCCTGTGGCGAATGTGGTGCCACTCGTGTGTGTGGACTGTGCAGTGACGGGGAGGAAAAGGGGCTGAAGGCCTCAAATCCTGTAGCCCAGGGAGATGCCCTTAGGTATGGCACCAGAGAGGTCTGTGGCCTCACATGTCCCACGTCCTCTCCCTGCCCCTTGCTGAGCCAGGTCCTTCGTACCTACAATGTCCTGGACATGAAGAACACGACCTGCCAGGACCTACAGATAGAAGTGACAGTCAAAGGCCACGTCGAGTACACGAGTGAGTGTGGGGGTTGGGAGGCCTTGGGGCCAGGCAGGGGCTGGCGCAGGGAGCCGGGTGGCCATCCCAGCCCTCCTCACAATGCTTCCCTGTGCAGTGGAAGCAAACGAGGACTATGAGGACTATGAGTACGATGAGCTTCCAGCCAAGGATGACCCAGATGCCCCTCTGCAGCCCGTGACACCCCTGCAGCTGTTTGAGGGTCGGAGGAACCGCCGCAGGAGGGAGGCGCCCAAGGTGGTGGAGGAGCAGGAGTCCAGGGTGCACTACACCGTGTGCATCTGGTGGGCGCCGGGAGCTGCCCTGGGCCAGGGGAGGGAGGGCAGGACCCAGGCTGGGGCTGGGCTTCTGGAGCCCGCGCAGGCAGAACCTGGACGACAGCTCACACGTCTCCACAGGCGGAACGGCAAGGTGGGGCTGTCTGGCATGGCCATCGCGGACGTCACCCTCCTGAGTGGATTCCACGCCCTGCGTGCTGACCTGGAGAAGGTGTGGTCAGCCACCCAGGGCAACCCCCTCTGTCCCAGGTACTGAGCCCTGTCATGTGCAGGGCCTGTGACCAACTCCCCTTTTCCACAGCTGACCTCCCTCTCTGACCGTTACGTGAGTCACTTTGAGACCGAGGGGCCCCACGTCCTGCTGTATTTTGACTCGGTGAGTGGGGAGAGATGAGGCAGGAAGGGACTCGATGGCACCGGGTTTACTGAGTATGCGTTAGGAGGTTTCTCAGGAGACAGCTGTGTCAGCGGCTGGTGCTCTTGAGAACTTGTGATGTCATCAGAGAGAAGGACAAGAATGTGAGCCCGTGAGACACAGCAGAGTAAGGGGCAGACCTGCAGGCGGCAGGGACCGATGCCAGTCAGCAGGGACCCTCAGGGTTTGAGAGGGAGTCTTTCCTAATGCTGGTTTTATTCAGCTTGAGGGGCTGCCTTTGTTTTTTTGTTGAACTTCCTATCTTTTTTTTAATATTAAAGCGTATTTTCCTTTACAAAGTGATGGTGGCCATAGATGATAGTTGTATTTGTCTTTTCACGACCTTATTTGGCTAAAATAGTTATCAACCCTCTTACGGCTCTCAAAACATTTTTATTTATTTATTTAGTAAAGACAGGGTCTCGCTCTGTTGCCCAGGCTGGTCTTGAACTCCCGGCCTCAAGCGATCCTCTGGCCTAGGCCTTTCAAAGTACCGGATTTACAGGCCAGAGCCACCATGCCCGGCCTTCAAAAAAAGTTTTGGAACATTTACTGTAACCTCTGGGAGAAAATGTGAGAAAGGTGTGGTGGCTGTCATTAGCCAGCTGTTTGTAGGTCAGGGAGACCCCTACCCAGTGTGTGCAGAGGGGCCAGCCCCCATCAGCTGGGGAAGCCTGGCTGACACATCTGGGTTGAACACAATAGAAAACACAGAGCCAACAAGATTCCCGGATAGGGAGCTGACGGTGCAGCAGCCTAGCTCAGGAGGGACACTGGCACGGCACCGTGTGGACTGGGCCCGCGTGGGCACGAGGAGGGGTCAGGCCTGGGACCTGAGTCGGGGGGTCAGGCAGGATGACAGAACCTGCAGTTAGGTTGTGGCAAATAAAGGAGGACCCAGTTGTATCCATGACAAAGATGAGGCCGCGAGGAGGGCGAGTGGGTTTGGGGGCAGGCAGAGTGCCTTGGAGAACTTACAGGTCCTGCCACAATCCTAATGCAAGGATGGAGCTGCAAGTTCAGTTTGGGAATCATCAGCCTGGATTGGTTTGGTGGAAGCCAGGGAGTGGTTGAGACCCCCACAGGGGAGCTCTGAGGAAGGAAGTTCCGAAGGAGGGAACGTAAGAAATGACCAGGTCAGAACCAAGGGTGGTCCAGAAGCTAACCCTTAGCTTAGGGACAGTTTCACAGAGAACACGTCCATGATGCAAGACTCTGCTGAGGGCCTGGAGCAGTGAAGACTGGGGCAAGGTCACCCTCTGGGAAGTGAAGTCACCAGAGACCTTGCGGAGCAGCTTTGAGAGTTCTCTGAGTAGGAAGGTAACAGAATGTGAAGGACACTGGAGAGAAGGCCAATAGGAAGCAAACAAAAACAGGCCAAGGAAACCCAGTACAGGGGGCTGCAGGGCCCAGGGAGTGGGTCCCTCATCTCTCCTCCCCACGCTTGGCCAGGTCCCCACCTCCCGGGAGTGCGTGGGCTTTGAGGCTGTGCAGGAAGTGCCGGTGGGGCTGGTGCAGCCGGCCAGCGCAACCCTGTACGACTACTACAACCCCGGTGAGCACTGCAGGACACCCTGAAATTCAGGAGAACTTTGGCATAGGTGCCCTCCTATGGGACAATGGACACCGGGGTAGTGAGGGGGCAGAGAGCCCTGGGGCTCCCTGGGACTGAGGAGGCAGAATGGAGGGGCCTGTGCCCTAACTCCTCTCTGTTCTCCAGAGCGCAGATGTTCTGTGTTTTACGGGGCACCAAGTAAGAGCAGACTCTTGGCCACCTTGTGTTCTGCTGAAGTCTGCCAGTGTGCTGAGGGTGAGACTGAGGGCCTGGGGCGGGGCAGTGGAGGCGGGATGGCCGGGGCCCCCCCCACACTGTCTGATGGGTTCCCCAACTTCAGGGAAGTGCCCTCGCCAGCGTCGCGCCCTGGAGCGGGGTCTGCAGGACGAGGATGGCTACAGGATGAAGTTTGCCTGCTACTACCCCCGTGTGGAGTACGGTCAGTCTTCCCACCGAGGCCCTGGCCTGACCCTCCCTCGGGGACCGGCCGTTTTGGTCTCTCTGGGTGTAGCCTGCTCCTCTTACAGGTCATGCACGCAGCCTGTTTGCTCTGACACCAACTTCCTACCCTCTCAGCCTCAAAGTAACTCACCTTTCCCCCTTCTCCTCACCCCCTCTTAGGCTTCCAGGTTAAGGTTCTCCGAGAAGACAGCAGAGCTGCTTTCCGCCTCTTTGAGACCAAGATCACCCAAGTCCTGCACTTCAGTATGAAGCAAACCGGAGAGGCGGGCAGGGCTGGGGGGAGACAGGGAGGCTGAGGTGTGGCCGAGGACCTGACCATCTGGAAGTGTGAAAATCCCCTTGGGCTGTCAGAAGCCTTGGGCTTGGCCATAAATAGGGAGGCAGTGGCACCTCTCCATGGGGGTGGCGAAGGTGGAATGAGAGGATCTACACAGAGTCCCCAGCCTGGGCTCACCCTGCACCTTCTCTTCCCCTCTGACCACTTTTGCGCACGTCATCCCCGCAGCCAAGGATGTCAAGGCCGCTGCTAATCAGATGCGCAACTTCCTGGTTCGAGCCTCCTGCCGCCTTCGCTTGGAACCTGGGAAAGAATATTTGATCATGGGTCTGGATGGGGCCACCTATGACCTCGAGGGACAGTGAGTCATCTGGTCCCCTCAGTCTCTTGTCCTCCCCATGCCTCGCCACCTAGGCCTTGCCCCTCAGAAGCCAGATGCCTGTGCTCTCCGTTTCCACCTGCCATCCTCCCGAGCCCTGCTGACTGCCCCTTTGCCCCCTGCAGCCCCCAGTACCTGCTGGACTCGAATAGCTGGATCGAGGAGATGCCCTCTGAACGCCTGTGCCGGAGCACCCGCCAGCGGGCAGCCTGTGCCCAGCTCAACGACTTCCTCCAGGAGTATGGCACTCAGGGGTGCCAGGTGTGAGGGCTGCCCTCCCACCTCCGCTGGGAGGAACCTGAACCTGGGAACCATGAAGCTGGAAGCACTGCTGTGTCCGCTTTCATGAACACAGCCTGGGACCAGGGCATATTAAAGGCTTTTGGCAGCAAAGTGTCAGTGTTGGCAGTGAAGTGTCAGTGTGTGTTGCTAGGGCTGAGAGCAGTGCCCCTGCCCGATGCAGTTCTGGGCAGGCCAGGTTGACATAACCTTAGACTCTCTGAGCCCTGATGACCCTTGGGCTGTTCAGCTCTGCTAGAACCTCCCAGATGACCCGCTAGGAGTCTAGTGCTTCACAGGACCACCCCGAGCAGAACTGGGACCCAAGAGCCTGCACCCCAAGGACCAGAGTCCATGCCAAGACCACCCTTCAGCTTCCAAGGCCCTCCACTGCCCGGCTGTCGCCAGTCACCACGGCCTCAGACAGGGCTTGTGCTCAGCTGACACCTGTGACACAGCTCTTCTGCCTCATGAGCTGTTGTCCAGCTACACCTCCCCGACTCTGTCCTCGTGCTGCTGGCGGTTCTGAGGTCTGCAGATTTTAGCTGAGTTCCGGGCTGTTGAAAGCCTGCTGACGCTTGGTTCTGTTATCAGTGGAATGAGGTGACTTTCCCGGAGTTGTGCAATCCTCAGGTCCGGCAGTGTCTTCTTCCAGTTACTGGTTTCAAACAAGCCAAAAGTCTGACTTTGGTGTGTTTGTGAATCCTCTGAGGAAGCCGCTGTTCTCCTGGGGTCTCCCCTTCCCACCGGACCTGCCTAACTTTCCCCCATTTAGTGGCACACCTGGGGTCTTCAGAGATGACTCCGCGTCTGTCCAAAGAAGTTTGGTGAGATCAGTTTCCGTAGAGGTCATGACAGTTCAGCAGCCTGCCATCCAGTCATTCGACAGAAATTCGGGAATCTTTCACTTCATGCCATGCCCTGTGCCAGGTGCCAGAGATACAGCTGCTCACTCCAGGGCTCATCGCTGGGGAGACAGATAAGAGGACGGGCAGTCCCCACCCTCTGTGAAAGATGTGATGTCAGGGAGCAGTGTGGTCCTGTGGGGCATCTAACCAAGTCAGGGGCATTGCCAGGCAGGGACAGGGAAGGCTTCCTGGAGCAGGTGGCCTCCAAGTGGGGCTCTGAAGACTGAGAAGGAGCCAGGAAAAGAGCAGGGGTAGATGAGGGCATCTGGGGCAGAAGGAGAATATACAAAGGCCCAGAGGCCGGGGGCAGGACAGGGTACCTTTGGGGACATTGCATGTAATTGACCACATTCGGAGTTTGGATTTGGAAGTGGTGGAAGAGATGGAGATGGTGAGACAAGTAGTAAGCACGTCAGCCTTCCAGGTGCGCTCCTTTCCGATGAGCACTGTCTTATCCCACGTAACTTTGAGAAGTTTGGGCCTTTCCCACTGTGGCAGAGGTTTCCTGAGGCTCTTGCATACATGGCCCTATGGTTGCTCATCAGATCTTTCTCCCAGTAGCTGCTCAGCATGGTGGTGGCATAAGCCCATTTTCCGGAGCCAGGGATTCAGTTGCAGCAAGACCTGGCCCGGTCTGGGAGGTCAACCATGAAGAAGGCAGTAGCTGTCATTGCCCAACCCCAGAAATCCCAATCCTGTTTTCTCCCTCTCAGTCCTGATCATGGATTCAGCAGCAGCGAACTCGCCAATGTAGTGGGTGGCACAGCCAGGGTCTTGACTCTGGCTCTGCAGTAGCACAGTCTGGAAAAGCTCTGAGGGGAGAGAGACCCCCACTGGTCCGAGGGTCTGGCACAGAGCCAGAAATGGGGGGGAAGGTATGGGGCTGGGTCGCCTCTGACCTCTCAGGTACCATCCAGGAGGCCCTGGCCTCTCACTGAACCCGGCCACTCCTCTTTGGCATGGCCTCTTCCCAAATCCCCAAACTGCCTCCTTACTCACAAAAGTGGTCTCTGAGTGTCAGTCCAGTGGGACCCCCACCCCTTATGGCTTCAGTTCCCCAAATAGGGCTGGACCCTTGATCCTGATCCAGCTGTGGCTATCCAGCCCCTTCCTGGGGACTTTGGACTTTGAGGGGGGGCATGCCCAGTTGTGCTGGGAATCCATACTTTCCCTGGCTGGAGTAGAACCTGTGGACTGTAGTCCTGAGGGCAGTCATGTTCTGCCTGTGCCTGGAAACACAAGAAACTTGACTGCAGAGAGAAGAAAGAGGAGAGAGGAACAGAGCGAGGAAACTGCCCGTCTCCGGGGCTTTTTCTGTTCCCTATCCTTGGCTTTCTAAGACCAGTGGGGTCCCCTCCTCTGCTTCTTTTTCCTGAGTTCTGTGAAATTCCCCAATCCTTACTTTTTGTCTCAAACCAGCTCAAGGTGGGCTGTTTTCCTTTCAACCAAAGAAAGGTGCTCCTGGTGGCTAAAGGTACATATTCGACAGCTAGATTTCCAGGCTGGAATCCTGCCCTCCACAACATGCGAACAATACCCGTGTTGCATATAGAGCATGGCTGTGAAGAGTTGAGTGAGTGCCCACAAAGCACTTAGAGCAGTGTCTGGTACATGCTATTACTCCGCAGCGGGAAACCACTTCCTCCTTTGTCTTCTGGGCACTTTTGTGAGTGAAAGGAGGCACTAATAACAATCACACTGGGATACCTGTATATACTGGAATGCCCCAGGCAAACCAGGCTTAAACTGTATTACTCTATCTGTAGCTTAAACTAACAAACAAACCCACACAAATCACATTTTGTTCTTCAGGCGATTCAGGAAGGCCTATTAGGCAGGGACTGCCATTTTCTCTCTGAGACAAACATCATGCCAGTAAACTGGCCCACGGTGGGGTGGCAGAGGGAGAGGGCCCAGGTCGGGGCGGACACCCTTGCCTGCACGGGTGATGTGGAACCAGAAAGCTGACTCTGGATGCAGGAAAAAGGTCAGGGTTGCATTTCCCTTCCTTGCTTCTCGATGGGTGATTAATTTTTTTTGAAATACGGACGTCCCAAGGCCAATGAGACTGGTGTCATTCCAGAAAAGGGCCACTCTGTGGGTGGGTCGGTGGGAAGGCACCTGAGGGTGGGGTCAAGGGAGGCCCCAAAACAGTCTACACAGCAGGAGGGATGGCTGGGGCTCTTGAGCTATAAGTGGCACCTCAGGGCCCTGACGGGCGTCTTGCCATGCTGCTCCTGGGCCTGCTGCTGCTGCTGCCCCTGCTGGCTGGCGCCCGCCTGCTGTGGAACTGGTGGAAGCTCCGGAGCCTCCACCTCCTGCCTCTTGCCCCGGGCTTCTTGCACCTGCTGCAGCCCGACCTCCCCATCTATCTGCTTGGCCTGACTCAGAAATTCGGGCCCATCTACAGGCTCCACCTTGGGCTGCAAGGTGAGAGGCTGATCTCGCTCTGGCCCTCACCATAGGAGGGGGCGGAGGTGACGGAGAGGGTCCTCTCTCCGCTGACGCTGCTTTGGCTGTCTCCCAGATGTGGTGGTGCTGAACTCCAAGAGGACCATTGAGGAAGCCATGGTCAAAAAGTGGGCAGACTTTGCTGGCAGACCTGAGCCACTTACCTGTAAGGGCCGGGGGCATTTTTTCTTTCTTAAACAAATTTTTTTTTTGTTAGAGATGGGGTCTTGCTATGTTGCCCAGGCTGGTCTTGAATTCCTGGTCTCAAGTGATCCTCCCACCTCGGCCTCAAGTGGGAGCCACCTTCGGGGGCTTCCCCAATCCTCCAGGTCACTGGAAGCTCTTGGGGGGCATATCTTCAGGAGAAGAAGCAGGTGTTGAGGAGGCAGAAGAAGGTCAGGCCCTCGGCTTCCTTGGTCAGTTCCCACCCTCCAGCCCCCAGCTCCTCCTGCAGACAAGCTGGTGTCTAAGAACTACCCGGACCTGTCGTTGGTCTCTGCTCTGGAAAGCCCACAAGAAGCTCACCCGCTCAGCCCTGCTGCTGGGCATCCGTGACTCCATGGAGCCAGTGGTGGAGCAGCTGACCCAGGAGTTCTGTGAGGTAAGGCTGGGCTCCTGAGGCCACCTCGGGTCAGCCTCGCCTCTCACAGTAGCCCCCGCCCTGCCCGCTGCACAGCGGCCTGCTGAACTCACACTGTTTCTCCACAGCGCATGAGAGCCCAGCCCGGCACCCCTGTGGCCATTGAGGAGGAATTCTCTCTCCTCACCTGCAGCATCAACTGTTACCTCACCTTCGGAGACAAGATCAAGGTGCCTCACAGCCCCTCAGGCCCACCCCCAGCCCCTCCCTGAGCCTCTCCTTGTCCTGAACTGAAAGTACTCCATCCTTTCCTGGCAGGAGGACAACTTAATGCCTGCCTATTACAAATGTATCCAGGAGGTGTTAAAAACCTGGAGCCACTGGTCCATCCAAATTGTGGACGTGATTCCCTTTCTCAGGGTGAGGACCTGGAGCCTAGACACCCCTGGGTTGTAGGGGAGAGGCTGGGGTGGAGGGAGAGGCTCCTTCCCACAGCTGCATTCTCATGCTTCCTGCCGCAGTTCTTCCCCAATCCAGGTCTCCGGAGGCTGAAGCAGGCCATAGAGAAGAGGGACCACAACGAGGAGAAGCAGCTGAGGCAGCACAAGGTGGGGACTGTGTGTGGACGGCCTCCCCTCGGCCCACAGCCAGTGATGCTACCGGCCTCAGCATTGCTATGAGGCGGGTTCTTTTGCATACCCCAGTTATGGGCCTGTTGCCACTCTGTACTCCTCTCCCCAGGCCAGCCGCTCAGCCCGCTCCTTTCACCCTCTGCAGGAGAGCCTGGTGGCAGGCCAGTGGAGGGACATGATGGACTACATGCTCCAAGGGGTGGCGCAGCCGAGCATGGAAGAGGGCTCTGGACAGCTCCTGGAAGGGCACTTGCACATGGCTGCAGTGGACCTCCTGATCGGTGGCACTGAGACCACAGCAAACACCCTCTCCTGGGCCGTGGTTTTTTTTGCTTCACCACCCTGAGGTGCGTCCTGCGGACAAGCAAAAGGCTCCTTCCCAGCAACCTGGCCAGGGCGGTGGGCACCCTCACTCAGCTCTGAGCACTGTGCGGCTGGGGCTGTGCTTGCCTCACCGGCACTCAGGCTCACTGGGTTGCTGAGGGAGCGGCTGGAGGCTGGGCAGCTGTGGGCTGCTGGGGCAGGACTCCACCCGATCATTCCCCAGATTCAGCAGCGACTGTAGGAGGAGCTAGACCACGAACTGGGCCCTGGTGCCTCCAGCTCCCGGGTCCCCTACAAGGACCGTGCACGGCTGCCCTTGCTCAATGCCACCATCGCCGAGGTGCTGCGCCTGTGGCCCGTTGTGCCCTTAGCCTTGCCCCACCGCACCACACGGCCCAGCAGGTGACTCCCGAGGGTTGGGGATGAGTGAGGAAAGCCCGAGCCCAGGGAGGTCCTGGCCAGCCTCTAACTCCAGCCCCCTTCAGCATCTCCGGCTACGACATCCCTGAGGGCACAGTCATCATTCCGAACCTCCAAGGCGCCCACCTGGATGAGACGGTCTGGGAGAGGCCACATGAGTTCTGGCCTGGTATGTGGGGGGCCGGGGGCCTGCCATGAAAATGTGGTGGAGGCTGGTCCCCGCTGCCGCTGAACGCCTCCCCACCCACCTGTCCACCCGCCCGCAGATCGCTTCCTGGAGCCAGGCAAGAACTCCAGAGCTCTGGCCTTCGGCTGCGGTGCCCGCGTGTGCCTGGGCGAGCCGCTGGCGCGCCTGGAGCTCTTCGTGGTGCTGACCCGACTGCTGCAGGCCTTCACGCTGCTGCCCTCCGGGGACGCCCTGCCCTCCCTGCAGCCCCTGCCCCACTGCAGTGTCATCCTCAAGATGCAGCCTTTCCAAGTGCGGCTGCAGCCCCGGGGGATGGGGGCCCACAGCCCAGGCCAGAACCAGTGATGGGGCAGGACCGATGCCAGCCGGGTACCTCAGTTTCTCCTTTATTGCTCCCGTACGAACCCCTCCCCTCCCCCCTGTAAACACAGTGCTGCGAGATCGCTGGCAGAGAAGGCTTCCTCCAGCGGCTGGGTGGTGAAGGACCCTGGCTCTTCTCTCGGGGCGACCCCTCAGTGCTCGGCAGTCATACTGGGGTGCGAGAGAGGTGGGCAGCAGCTCAGCCTCCCCCCGCTGGGGAGCGAAAGTTTCTTGGTCTCAGCTTCATTTCCGTGAAGGGCACCGAGAACTCGAAGCCCTTCCAGTGGTACCAGCTCACTCCCTGGGAAAGGGGTTGTCAAGAGAGAGTCAAAGCCGGATGTCCCATCTGCTCCTCCCGTTCCCCTTAAGGAGGTGGCTCCCAGCACTCAACCAACCTCCCCGCAGAGCTCCCTTCCTGACCCTCTGCCGCAGAGGATTGAGGCTTAATCCTGAGCTGGTCCTTTCCAGCCAATAAATCAACTCCAGCTCCCTCTGCGAGGCTGGCATGATTGTTCCATTTCACCCAGCCGCTCAGTCCCTTGCCTGTTACACTGTGGGGCTGAAACCTAGGCAGGCCGAGCCCCAGCCACCCCAGCTCTGAGCCGCCTCCCCACCCCTCACCTGATGGTCCACTGTGCTCCCGTAGAGCCCGTTGAGGTTGGCGTAGTGGCAGTTCCTGTACCACCAGGCCCCTCGGTAGGAGACAGCGCAGGAGATGAGCAAGCTGTTGGGGTCCCGATCACGGGCAGAGAAGACACTGCCGCTGTGGTAGCTCATGGAGTCCCCTGGGCAGGGTGGAGGAAGGAGCCATGAGGGCCTCCCCTCCCAGCCTCACCCTCCCAGCCTCACAGCCTCTGCTTACCTGCGGTGCCGTGGTAGCCCTCCAAGTGGAGGCGGTAGTACTCCGCAGCCGAGTCTACGTGGAAGGAGTCGTACTGGGCGAACACAGCCTCGTCCCCAGCCCGCAGGTCCACGCGCATGGAGTAGTCACCTGCCTGTGTCAGGCTGTGCAGGGCCTCATTGCCTGGGGGTGGGATACGTGCCCTCATCAGGGTCCTGGTGTCCACAGGGCCCCCATCCCCATCCGTAGTTCCCCAGTCCCTGTGAGGCACTGACCCAGCCAGAACTCTCCAGAGATGTTCCCAAAACCATGGGCATAGTCCTCCCAGTCCCTCCAGAAGTCTGTCTGTCCATCCATGCGGCGCTGGAACACCTGGGAAGCAAGTGGGGGCACCATCAGCCTCTGGCTCCCGGGGCAACAGCCCCTTGCCCTGCACAGACCCCTGGGCTTCCCAATGCCACCCACCAGCCAGCCGCCCCCATCAGTCTCCATGTCCCAAAACACGTTCAGGGGCCGCTCCCGGTTGCCGTTGAGGAAGATGGTGCTGGTCCTGGAGGCACCGGCTCCGTTCTGCATCTCCTCCCCGCAGTCCCTGGGGAAGGGGATCCGCAGCCCACCTGGGAGAGGAGAGCAGGGGCCAGTCCTTTTCCAAGCCTTAGGCCCTGGCTGCCCACCCAGCCCCCGGCCCCGGGCCCGTGCGTCCAGGTACCCGTGGTGAAAGAGGTGGACACGGGCGGCAGGAGGCTCTGGCCCCACATGGCCTGGAGCCGTGCATTGTAGGAGGTGGAGGGAAAGAGGCCAAGGAGCTGGTGAGATGTGATCCCTCCTGGGAGCAGGATCTCCTGTGGGACAGACAAGGGGGGGTCAGGGGAGAGGGAGGTGGAGACCCTCCGGGAGGGCCAGAGGCAGCACCTCCTGGAATCACCCAGGGAGGGGAGTTGGGTCAGTGGGGCCGGGGCACCTGGTTCTGTCCACCAGGGGTGTGGAAGCTGAGCAGGTAGCCTGCGGGCCGGACTGGGGGCTCAGTCCAAGTGAGCAGGGCGGTGCGGGGGGTCACTTCCTTGGCCTCCAAGTCCCGAGGGGCCTCTAGCCCTAGGAGGGAAAGCAGGAAGAGGAGATGGGGATGAGGCCCAACCTGGCTCCCTCTACCTCCTCTCCCTGTCCCACACACCCCACAGACCCTACCTGTGGTGAAGGTGATGCTGGCTGGGGAAGTGAGGTTGGGGCCCCGCAGGCCACGCACTGTGGCGGTGTAGTTGGTGTGGAGGACAAGGTCATGCAGGGGGTAGTCCACCGCGCTGCCTGGGGTCTCCGCCTGCAGAGGCGGGGCTGGGAGTGTAGAGAGGGGCATCAAGGCCTGCCCCCTCCATCCTCGGCCAGAGTCCAGCCTCCCCCCTGCAATCCCCACCCTGAACAAGTCCCCTCCAGAGGCCTCAGGCCTGCTCACCCCCAGGGGCTGTGACCTGGACGTCATAGGTGTCCACAGGATTCTGGGGGGGCTTCCAGTGCAGCACGGCGAATCCCTCGGTCAAGTTCAGTGCACGCAACTGTGTGGGACCGTCAGGAACTGGGGGAAGGGGAGGGGCTCAGAAGGGTCCCCGCGGCTCTCTCTACTCCGTGCCTCCCCAGACTCCACTGGCCTCCCGTCCGCAATCGGAGCCTCCACCACCTCCCTTTCACCCTCCTCGTTCTCTCTCAACTCCCACCCATGCCGTTTTCTTGACTCCCACCTGGAGTTTCTGGGTCCGGGCCCGGCCGTCCACCTGCACACTCTGAGGCTCCCCTGAAAACGTTGGGGATCGAGGGTTACCCAGGGAACCCCAGGGCGGCTGGAGGGTGGGCAGAGTGCAGGGGGGAGAGGAAATGCGAGGCGATGAGCACATGGCAAAGGCACCACCTCCGTCCGCCAGCTGGTAGGAGACTTTGAAGCTGTCCGCCCGGGATGGTGGGGGCATCCAGTTGACCTTGGCTGAGGTCTCCCTGATTTCACTGAATTGGAGGTCACGGGGGCTCTCCAGAACTGCAGAGGGGTCAAGGAACAATGACGCAGGCAGGGGCAGGGAGGCTCCTCCCTGCGAGTCCCCCCCTCGCCTCTGCTCCAGCACAGGCTCACCACCCCTTTTCCTCTAGTCCCCAGGAATGGAAGTCGCTCTGCAGATTCCTCCAGGCCCACCACCAACTCGCCCACCCCCACCGCTGGCTGAGGCACTAGGTCCCCCCCGTGAAGTACAAAGACCCCCACTTTGGGGCAGAGTGTGTGTGGGTCCTTACCTGGGCTGAGGGTGCGGGCGGTTCCCTGGATGCTGTCGGCCTTGTGGGGTCCTCGCAGCCCATACAGTGTCAGGCTGTACAGAGTCCCGGAACGCAGGTCCCGGAGCACGGCCGAGTGCCGCGTCCCCGGCACCATCAGCTCGCGCTGCAGCAGTGGACGCGGATGCGGCTCCAGAGTGCTTGGTGATGGAACCCCAAAGCGGAGCAGGAAGGAGTCGAAGGCCCCCGGTGGGGCCTCCCAGTTGAGCCTCAGTGAACTGGTGGTCACGTCAGTCACAGACAGCTGGGACAGGCGGGGCCTTGACTCCTCTGAGGTCTGACCAGCAGGAGCCAGCCCTGCACGGAGTGGGTGGGGGAGAAGGGATTGGAGACAGAAGCACACCAGCTTGGTGACCCAGAGCACGTCCCTTCCACCCCCCTCCCTGCCCCCGTTTCTCTATCTGTAACCAGGGACTTGCAGCCACAGGGGGGTCCTGTGGGGCAGAGCTAAAGGCCACTCGCATCCAGCCCATCCATCCTCTCTCCCTGGTACCCGCCTCACGCTCTTTCCCTGCGACCACCCCTTCTGAGCCCCCGTTTCTCCCTTCTGAGTCCTAGGCTAGAGGCCGGAGACGCCTGGTGGTACCTGTGGTGCCCTCAGCTGAGAGGGGCCCCAGGCGCTTCCCTTCATGGAGGCCATAGAGGAGGAACCTGTAGCGGGTGCTGGGCTCCAGGCCTGAGATGAGGATCTTGCTCTGGTCGCCGTCCACGAGCAAGGCCTGGGGCTGCCCATTCGTGTCCTCATACTGGACCACGAAGGAATCAAAGGGGCCCTGGGCCACGCTCCACGAGAGGCGCATGGAGTCTGGGGTTGTGTCGGTCACGGTCAGCACTCCTAGGCGGGGCTCTTCAGGAGGCTCAGGGGCCTCTGGGGCTAACTCTGGGGCTGGTGTGTCCTCTTCTGGGGCTGCGTGGGAGAAGCCCAGGGGAGAATCTGAGTGAGGGGCGCCATGGGGTGCTCCATTTTTATCTTCCAGGCTTGGCCCAAGGCTGAGGTGGGAAGTTTATAGGTCCAGGCCCAGTCAGACAATGAAGTCGCTGTGGCCTCGTGACTCCTGCGAGCTCCCGCGCTGTCTGAGTCAGGTGCTCGCTTCCCCCTTCCACACCCCGGTGTCCTGCCGAGCCCACCTCGAGATATCACAGGCTCTGGCCCCACCCATGCCGGGATACATTCACTGAGCTTGAGGAGTGTGGTGCTCCCTTCTGAGAGAAGCTGAGGGTGGAACTGGCTGGTTGAGGTGACTGGCAAATCCCACCAGCCGTGCCGTGGTCAGGCCTGTCTGAGGTGGGCATCAGCGAGCTCTGGAAGAGGAGCCTGTACCACAAATGCAGCCACTGCTGTTGGTTTCTGTGTCCCCGCTCATTTTGTTTTCCAGTGATGTTCCTCTTAAGAAAATGCTCCTGACTCATCCACGGCAGGGAGGTTTGCCACTATCTGGACAAGGCCACCCTTCGGGGAGGCGACAGCAGCCCCAGCGAGTAATGAGGAGCAGCGGCAGTGACGGGGCAGAGTCGGGGCTGGGAGATTAGAGAGCCCCTCCCAGGGCCTTTCCCTCCCGCCTGGCCTGGCTCCTGCTCTGGACTCCTTGATGGATGTTGAAGCCCACAGGGCTGCAGACTCCTCCTCCTTCCTGGGCACAGGCCAGGTCACCCCACTCCGGCCTGCCCACTCCTGCAGTCATCTTTGTCTTCAGACCAAATGCACAAGTACTTTGTTAAAGGTATCCCATCTGCAGCTCAAGCCTGCAGCCCCTCACCTTTTGGTGGCTCCTCAGGCCTCTAGGCCTTATTCACCTTTCCCCTTTCCTGTGCCACTTCTCCTCTAGGGCGCCAGGCTGTCCTTGGCATGGTCCGGAAGGCAAAGTACCGGGAGCTGCTCCTATCAGAGCTCCTGGGCCGGCGGGTGCCTGTCGTGGTGCGGCTTGGCCTCACCTACCATGTGCACGACCTCATTGGGGCCCAGCTAGTGGACTGGTGAGTCTTTCCCTGGCCTCTGGCAGATTATGGAGCAATGACCCAAAGTGGGATTTCCTCCCAGCTCATGCTTAGTTTCCTAGTGAAGGCCAGTGGCTCTCATTCTTCTCTGGAACCCGGGAGCACCCCTTCCCAAGTTCTAAGTTCTCCTCACAGCTTGAGCCTAGGCGTCTGGCTCCAGCCTTGTCTTTCTCCTGCACAGCATCTCTACCACTTCAGGAACCCTCCTCCGCCTGCCAGAGACATGAAGATTCTGCTCATCATTGCTCAGCTCCTCAGAGTGGGCCGGGAGGGGACTAGAAGAGCTGCATGATGGTGGCTGAGACAGGGTCACCTTGGGAAGGCTTGGGAGCCAGGATGAGTGTCGGGCTCTCGTGTGTGCAAAAGGTCAGATGTGACTGCTGCTGTTTGCCTGGTTTCTGACCCAGTGGTGGGGTTTGAGCAATGCTTCTCTGCCCTTCCATGGAAAGTGGAACCAGAAATGGTGCCAAGGCTGTGGCTGTTCCCTTTCGTGTAAAATGGTGCTGTTATTACTCTGTCTTGAAATAGGAAGGTGGGATTTCTGGGGAGGCTGGTGAAGGAGGGCAGGGTTCTTTTCTCTACGTGTCATGTTAAAATTGCCAAATAAAGTACCTCTGCCTGTGATATTTTCTGGATGTCCTTTATTTACTGTGACGTGTGTTTGGGTGCCTTGTTTAGGGGTAGAGGTGAAGTCTGAGCTTTGCCTCATTCAGAGAGGAAAGGGGTCAGGGGTTCACTCTGACGTTCAGGCCATTCTCCCTGTGGAGTGGTGAGGGTGTACCTAATCTCCTAAACCACGGAATTTCTGTTAGGGCCTAAAAAAGCAAAAGCCTAGTATAGTTCAATTTGTGTTGGAATGAAAGTAAGAGACAAGTGTCTTAGAAGCCTGTCATTGTTTTGTGAGGGCCTTTAAATATCCTGTACTCGTGGGCCATGTTGGGCCCTTGTACGCCCAGGTATACATGAGCTTGTGTGCACCTATACCCTGATACAGATATACCTGGTAGGGGGAGGTGCTCAGGCACTGGAATGAGAGGAGTTAACGGGGAAGGACAGGGTTATTTCTGGGCCAAGATTCAGAGTTTCCCATGGACACCCAGGTGTCCGGGGTGCCCCCACAACTCTGGGCCTGAGGCCAGTTGCACTTCTTGGCTGTCACGTGGTTTCCCAGCTTAGCTGGGCTGGGGGAGGAGCAAGGTCCAGAGTCAACTCTGCCCCGAGGCCTAGCTTGGCCAGAAGGTAGCAGACAGACAGACGGATCTAACCTCTCTTGGATCCTCCAGCCATGAGGCTGCTCTGGGGGCTGATCTGGGCATCCAGCTTCTTCACCTTATCTCTGCAGAAGCCCAGGTCCTGGAGGCGGGATGCTGGGTGCTTGGATTGGGGCAGGGCTGGCATCGGGACCCGATTCAGGAGTGAGGGAGAGCAGGGGTGGAGGTGTCAGAGCGAAGTCTGACTGCTGATCCTGTCTGTTCTCCCCAGGTTGCTCTTGTTCTCTCCTTCTGTGGTTCATCTGGGGGTCCCCCTATCGGTGGGGGTGCAGCTCCAGGATGTGCCCCGAGGACAGGTAGTGAAAGGATCAGTGTTCCTGAGAAACCCATCTCGTAATAATGTCCCCTGCTCCCCAAAGGTGGACTTCACCCTTAGCTCAGAAAGAGACTTCGCACTCCTCAGTCTCCAGGTAACCAGACCCCATGCCCTCCTGCTGCTTGTGGGGGCCTCCTGCCCTGTTCCCATCTGTCTTGTAAGTGTCATCATCTTCCCACTGGCCTCCTCCCCTCCTGTCTTCCCACCCTGGCATTCTCCTTCCACGTTTCTCCCTTGGTCTCTGTCCTTTTTGGTCAGCTGTCTCTTGCTCTGTGACCCGCTCCCTCTCCCTCTCCCTCTCCTGACAGGTGCCCTTGAAAGATGCGAAGAGCTGTGGCCTCCATCAACTCCTCAGAGGCCCTGAGGTCCAGCTGGTGGCCCATTCGCCATGGCTAAAGGACTCTCTGTCCAGAACGACAAACATCCAGGGTATCAACCTGCTCTTCTCCTCTCGCCGGGGGCACCTCTTTTTGCAGACGGACCAGCCCATTTACAACCCTGGCCAGCGGGGTGAGTCTCAGCCCCAGGGCCTCAACCTTTAACCCCCTCCGAGCCCTCTCAGGATGAGTTTGGTGCCCCCTAAGTGAGATAACCTGAAAGAAAGTGCCACACAGAAGGGGTGCTTAGGAAACATTTGTCCCCTGCTCCCTCTGTGGAGTTTGACCCACCCTCCCCTTGCACATGGACCCCTGCTCACCTCTCTCCTCCTCCACTCCCAGTTCGGTACCGGGTCTTTGCTCTGGATCAGAAGATGCGCCCGAGCACTGACACCATCACAGTCATGGTGGAGGTGAGTCCCCGACCTCTGGCCTTCCTGATCCTGGCCACTGATGTGACCTCCTGCCTGTGAGCACTTCTCCCCTTGCAGAACTCTCACGGCCTCCGCGTGCGGAAGAAGGAGGTGTACATGCCCTCGTCCATCTTCCAGGATGACTTTGTGATCCCAGACATCTCAGAGTGAGCGCTCCCAATGTGGGGGCTGCCCCCAAGCTACACCACCCCAATTCCTGTTAGGCTCTCCACCTCCCACACAGAGGCACGTCCCCAGATGCCCTGACCCTCAGCCTCCTGAGCCTCTGGTTAACCCCCACAGTCCTCTTCCCAGGGAAGCAGGCTGCTGGCTCTCCGTGCCCCACTGTACAGATGGGCTGAGCCCCTTCCTTGTCCATTCTCAGGCCAGGGACCTGGAAGATCTCAGCCCGATTCTCAGATGGCCTGGAATCCAACAGCAGCACCCAGTTTGAGGTGAAGAAATATGGTGAGAGCTGGAAACTGGAGGGACAGGCAGCTGCTTTCCTGAAGGAAATAAGGGTGGAAGGAGAGGTACTGGGAGCAGCTCAGGGCAGGGAGATATGGGTGCCACAGCCCTGAGCAGAGGGGAGTCTTTGAGCTGGAGTCTGACCTGCCTATCCCTTCACCCTGGGTCAGTCCTTCCCAACTTTGAGGTGAAGATCACCCCTGGAAAGCCCTACATCCTGACGGTGCCAGGCCATCTTGATGAAATGCAGTTAGACATCCAGGCCAGGTAATACCTCCCTCCCCACCTCTGCCCACCAGCACCGGGTCCTGCTCCCTACTCAGTATGAATGGGCTCCTGCTTCCCTGCCCTCGGGCCATTATTCCCCCCAGCCCTTGGCCCACCCTCTTCTCTCTGCCACGACAGGTACATCTATGGGAAGCCAGTGCAGGGGGTGGCATATGTGCGCTTTGGGCTCCTAGATGAGGATGGTAAGAAGACTTTCTTTCGGGGGCTGGAGAGTCAGACCAAGGTAGGAAGGAGAATAGGGGCTGGGGAGGGGAAGGGGCAAGGGAGGTGAGGTGGGAGACTCAGTCTCACCCTATGTCCTGTTTCTTTCTATGCCCCAGCTGGTGAATGGACAGAGCCACATTTCCCTCTCAAAGGCAGAGTTCCAGGACGCCCTGGAGAAGCTGAATATGGGCATTACTGACCTCCAGGGGCTGCGCCTCTACGTTGCTGCAGCCATCATTGAGTCTCCAGGTGGGTGACTTTCCCTTATTGTAACCCCAGACCCTTGCCTCTGACCTCTGAGCTAACCCTCTGTCCTCCGGCACCAACACCACCCCACTTCTCACATCTCATCTCAGACTCAAAACCAGGAAACACCCAGGAGACCTGGTTTCTCTCCAACTCTGTCTCTGTGACTCGGCCCTTTTCCCTGGCTGAGTTTATTTATTTCTTTGCTCGTTCTGCTCATTCCTTCACTCCTCCAGTGGACATGTGTTGTTCAATGCCCCGTGCTAGGCCTCAGCATGCACAGACATGTTGGGGACCAGCCTCAACGCCACCCGTAGGGTTCCTGAAGTCCATTGGTGACACAGGAATGAGAAGAGACAGGTTAAGAGTTCATAAAGAGTGGGGGCCAGGGGGCCAATTGCAAAATGGAGGCTGCAAAAGGCTCAGAGCTCTGGTCTCCACACTATTTTTTGAGTACAGTCACTCAGATCTAAGAAGCAGATGTTCAGGGAGAAACAGTGAAAGGGAGGCAGTGGGTCATAGGCGTAATCTATAGCAATAGAGTTTTAAATGAATCTCCTTTGTGCTCAAACAGCATGTCTTTAAATTATCGGAGAGTAGCTGGTGGAAGTGGGCTTAGCTAGAAGACTGCATGTCTGTCCAATGCTTCAAAGGAGGGTCTTTCTCCTTGAACAGAGTGTTTACAGATAAGACAGGGGGTCTCACTCTGAGCATGGGAACATGATGGCAATTAGGAGGCTTTTCTTCTCAGAGGCCTCTTGTGGCTTTCCACAACTTATTGTCTCATATTTTTATGGACAGTTTATACAGGCACCCCACAAGTCCTTTTCCCAACATGCCCCCCTCCCTTTTTTTTTTTTTAACCGCTATTGCTATTATGGCTTATTTGTGGTGTTTGGTCTGTTTTCAGAAGTGTCTTTTGCATCTGTAGACTAAAAGTAAACAGCATAAACAGATACACATTAAAGTAAAATTTGTAATAGTTGATCCTTTAATGGTCTTAATCTGTTTAAGAGGATTTATGTTTGAAAGTCCGTCAGTAGCTCCAATGAGAATGTCAGTCTCAGGCAGGAGGGTTAAATGAGCCTGAGATGCTTTAAAAACCTGTTTTTTTAAAATTTGGTTATATTTAATGTTAAATTTTTATTTTTTTCTTTTAGATGATGTCTAACTTTTTAAAAATGATGTTTAGTAGTATTATACGAATGGGGAGTTATGTAGAAATTGGAAGTATTTCAATTACATTGTACTTCTAATTGATGTTTTAAGTTTATTGTACGATCTTCCATTTAAATAACAGTCTGTCTAAGATCATTTGTTTGATTTGTCAATTGTTGGTCTATTTGGGTCTGAGAATTCCACAATTTTGAGGAATTTTTTGTTAACTATTTATATATTTTGTAGTTTGAACAGAGGAGTGTAAAGCAATTCCAGCAGCCGCAGCAGTAGCTGTGACTGCAATAAGGCCCATAAGACTGTTATAAGGGTAAAAATAAATCTCTTTGTTTTGGTAAACACTTTTTTTTAAAACATTTTTGTGACAATATGAATGGAAGGAGAGGCTTTCTAAGGTCTATTGAGGGAAACCAGTATCCAAACTCCTTTCTTAGTTTTTATCAGTAACACAGATGTTTTTACACCGAACGTGGAATTAATACAGGTGAAAAGGTGACAGTTTTGACAAGTAATAGTTTGAGAATTAGGTCGAATGTCAATATTTTTGACCATTAACATAAAAGGAGGGTTGACACAACTCTGAATGGGCACTGTTTTGTTGGAAGAAAACTGATACGCAAATTGAAGTTTTTAACCTTTTTTTTTTAAAGATAATATATTTTTTTCTAAACTTAAATATGAGATTGGGCCATTATTAACTTTCATAATTTGGAGTGTTTAGGGCCTATTATTGGATTAATTATTTTGGGATGTGGGCCAGCTGTACTAAAATTGGTCCAAATTATGGGAAAATGAGCACGTTTTTCAGTGTAAGTAGTGTTACCTTTTTGATAGTATAGTTTCTGTTTTAGTTTTGTCTTGTATTTATTATTTTGATGGGTACAATTAACTGTAAAGGTCCCCTCAGGGGACCAATTAATGACAATTTCATAGGAATTATTTTGTAGTACCATAGTGTGATCAGAGATGTAATTTTTTTTAATTAATATTTTTAAATTATTTGACCATTGTTAAGGTTGTTGGCACCTCTTTTTTGGGGGCTTAAACTGTTAATTGAATTGAACTCTGTGAATGATCCGGGCTCCATCCAGAAAATAAATGATAGGATACTGGTCTTTGATTATGACCTGGAATTTTAACTAGTCAATGTTGTCGGTAGCCTTTTAGGCAACCGATAGTTGGCCTTATGTAAAGAGGGGGGAACTGATAACCTATGGACACATTTATTAACTTTTTTTTTTTTCCTTTGGGTGAGAGGGCCCATGAGTATTTGTAGGCTTAGGGATCCAAACGCTATTATTAACATAAACTTCAACTGGGGGTTTTAACCATGTGACAGGCCTAATTAAAGGCAGGAATGGGACACATGCCCAATAGGTATAATTTTGGGCTGTTGTAGCCACAGGTTTGTTAGGCGAGGAGGTCACTGTTTTTATTTTGGCTTTGTATTCTAGGATTAGTAAATAACAGAAGACAAACATGAGTATAATTAGTAACTTTTTTTTTTAGTAAAAGAGTGACCTGTAGTGTTACTTGGCATCTTAGTTTACTATATGTTATTAATGAGGAACCCCACTGGGGGTATGTTAATTTATTCTAGCTAAGCAGTTATGTTATTAGAAGCTGAGAAGGGGGTGTTTGTTAAAGTAACAGGGCAGAAGAAAGGCGGATTTAAGATACGAGCTTAATACAGTGTAGCAGGTATAGGTAGTAGGCAAAGTGAGAGAATTAAAAATGAATAAATTATTTGGCTTAGACTTTTGTTTTTTTAGTATAATGTCTGAGGCCTGTGTTGTTTGTGGAAGTCGCATTGTTGAGGCTGTAGTTCCTGTAGGGTCTTTTTTAGGCTGGTTCAAATGTTTTTTTATTTTTTAATTTTTTATCCTTTGATGAGGATGTAGTCTTTAGGCTGGTACTGGAAATTTTAGGAGTGGCGTCTGTGTTAAGAGACTTTTTACAATTTTTAAAGAGCAGGTTAGTGTTTTAAGAAAAACTTGTGTTTTATTTTAATGTTTAGTTTATAGAAAACTGGATGATATCTTTTTAACTTTAGTAAATACGTTTACACACGGAATTTTTTACAATTATCATTTTAAAACTTGTTTAGATCTTTAAAACAAAATTAAACAACCTTTTTTGTATAAATTTTTTATAACTTTTTTTATGACTTTTACAGACAATTTTTAACATGTCTTAACTTTTTATGTTTTATAATTTTTTTACTAAAGGTACATTTTTATAACTTTTTAAATTTTTTTACTTTTTTGTATTTTTTTGATTTTTGTCTTAGTCTTTTTTTTACTTTTATTTTTTTAAATGTGTAATAATTAGATGAGTGTTGGTAACAATGGATGTATGTACATATTTTAGTTTTTAAAATTTAGGGATGTGTTTAACATCTGTTTGCCAGAACTGACTAGGTTCCAATTCTTTACGGTTAACACCTATTGAAGGAGGGTATGTGCCTGTGAGCTGGTAATCTGGGCATTGTGGGATAATTTGTTTAGCCAGCCTCTGTGTAAGTTGAAATTATTTAGATAAGTTTCTCCAATTTTGGTGGAATAATCGATGTGATTGGGTGGCTTGGTCAAGCAGTGATGTCATAACCTGAAGGTCTGCTTGATTATTGCCGTAAGCCAATGGGCCAGGCAGAGAGCTGTGGGCTCGAATGTGTGTAATAAAAGTAGGATGTGTACCTTGGTCTAGTAATTGTTGAAGTTGAAGAAAAAGACCACACAGAGTGGGCTCCAGAGCAAACTTAAGGCTGTAATAGTTTTTAAATAAATACACAGAATAACCTTAGCTCTCTGAATGTTAGTAAATTCAGATCAAGTGATTGGATTATGTGGTCTCCACCAGACTGTTGCTTTTTCATGTTTACCAGACCCACCAGTAAAAACAGCTATGGCTCCTTCCAAAGGGGCATCACAAGTAATTTTTGGAAGAACCTATGTAGTTAATTTTAAGAATTGAAAAGTTTTTAGGATAATGATTATTAATACATCCAACAAATTTTGTTAAATTAATCTGTCATGTAACTGAGTTAATAAATGCCTGTTTAACCTGATTTTTATTTATTGGAACTATAATTTTTATTGGGCTCAGTGCCACAAAATTTAATAATTCATATATGAGCCTGTCCAATTAGAATTGCCATCTGATTTAAGTATACTGTAAGTGCTTTTATGGTATTATGTGGCAAAAAGGACCATTTAACTAAATCATCATTTTGAACAATAACCCCCATTATTGTGTGGTTAGTGTGAAGTAGGGAACACAATGAATTATAAAGGCAAGTCTGAGTCAATCCTACTGACCTGGGCTTGCTGAATTTTGTTTTCAATTACTGATAACTCTTTCATGGCCTCGGGTGTTAGTTCTCTGTTACTGCGTAAGTTGGTATTTCCCCTCAATATTGAGAAGAGATTAGACATAGCATAAGTAGGAATTGCTAAATTGGGCCAAATCCAATTAATATCTTCTAACAATTTTTGAAAATTATTTAAGGTTTTGAAAGAATCTCTTCTAATTTGAACCTTTTGAGGCTTAATGGCTCTATCCTGTACTTGTATTTTCAAATACTGAAAAGGAGTGGTTGTTTGAATTTTGTCAGGTGCTATAAGTAATTCAGCATTTGTAATTGTCTTTTGCAAAGATTAATAATATTGAATAAGTTGGTCTCTACTTTTTGCTGCACAAATCTGGAAACTGATCTCTAACAGGCTGGATAGTTCTGCCTACAAAAGTTTGACAAACTGTGGGACTATTTAACATACCCTGGGGCAAAACTTTCCAATGATATTTGGCTGCAGGTTTTTTGTTATTAACGGCAGGAATGGTAAAGGCAAATTTTTTGAAATCTGCCTCTGCTAAAGGAATTGTAAAAAAGCAGTCTTTTAAATCTATAATAACAAGCGGTCAGTCTTTAGGGAGCACAGTGGGGGATGGGAGCCCAGGTTGTAAGGCTCCCATCGGTTGAATTACAGCGTTGACGCCATCTACCGGACTTTTTCTTAATTACAAATACTGGGGAATTCCAAGGAGAGAAAGTGGGTGAAATATATCCTTTTTTTAGTAGTTTATTTTATAAAGCACCCCCAACTTTTCCTTAGGGAGCGGCCACTGTTCAACCCAGACGGGGCGCCGGGTCATCCATTTTAAGGGAAATTGCTCCTTCACTGTAATAACTGTAGGGTGAACCTGAATTGCCCCATCTCCATAATGAACTGTGGGTCGGGCAATAATGGGCACGGTGAGCCAAGTCTCGGGCTCCCTCCCCCTGCACCCACTCGGCTGAGGAGGAGGTGGCCATTCTGGACATTTCTCTACAGGAACCGTGGGCTGAACAATTTTTTGAGTAGGTTTAGGGAGACTGGGGAGATTGGCATAAATCATCTTCAGACTCTCCTTTTTGTTAGTACTCGGTAGAGGTGGTTCAGAGTTCTGATTATCAAACTCCTCTCTCTCCTCCTCTGACTCAGCCTCATTATCTGTCTGAAAAGGCTCCAGTGCTGCATGCACCAATGACCAAAGCGACCAAACAGGCAAAGGAATTTCCTTTCCTTCTCTATATGCTCTTTTAAGGTCCTTTCCAACTCCTTCTTAATGTTTTAATTTCAAAGTTTCCTGTTTTGGGAACCAAGGGCAAAATTGTTCCATAGCATGAAACAAATCCATAAGATTTTCCGTATCAACTTTTACCCCACCATGCATGCTTGAAGAGCTGCCGTAGGAAGCTCAAATACGTGGTGTACTTACTTTCAGTTTTTCCCATTGTGTCCCTAGCTTTCTCTGGGCGCCCCGCTTACCTGTAGAGGTTAAAACTTTTATGTCCTTGGGAGTCCTTTGTTCGTTGGTCCTCTGTTTCACATGCTTGAGCGTTTCCTCACCAGATTCTTTTGGGCCCCACGTTGGGCGCCAGAATGTTGGGGACCAGCCTCAACACCACCTGTAGGGTACCTGAAGTCTGGTGGTGACAAAGGAATGAGAAGAGACAGGTTAAGAGTTCATAAAGAGTGGAGGCCAGGGGGCCAATTGCAAAATGGAGGCTGCAAAAGGCTCAGAGCTCTGGTCTCCACACTATTTATTGAGTACAATAACTTAGATCTAAGAAGCAGATGTTCAGGGCAAAACAGTGAAAGGGTAGCAGTGCGTCACAGGCATAATCTACAGCAGAAGCGCTTTAAATGAATCTCCTTTGTGCTCAAACAGCATATCTTTAACTTATCGGAGAGTAGCTAGTGGGAGTGGGCTTAACTAGGAGCCTGCACGTCTGTCCACATTCCAATGCTTCAAAGGAGGGTCTTTCTCCTTGAATACAGTGTTTACAGATAAGAGAGAGCAGGTCTCGCTCTGAGCATGGCAATTAGGAGGCTTTTCTCCTCAGAGGCCTCTTGTGGCTTTCCACAACTTATTGTCCCATATTTTTATGGCCAGTTTATACAGGCACCCCACAAGTCCTTTTCCCAACACAGACAGGAATACGGCAGCCTGTGCCCTGGGAGCTCACTGTCTTGTGGGAGGGAACCACTCAAGCCACTCCCCACTTGTCCTCCTGTCCCTCTCTTCTTGGGCTCTGTCCCCCACCTCTCTCTGTCCTTTGTCTTGCAGGTGGGGAGATGGAGGAGGCAGAGCTCACATCCTGGTATTTTGTGTCATCTCCCTTCTCCTTGGATCTTAGCAAGACCAAGCGACACCTTGTGCCTGGGGCCCCCTTCCTGCTGCAGGTTTCTTCCAGAGGGGAAGGATGAGTAGGGAGGATGTGGTAGTTAGGAGGGCTCAGGGTCTGACCACTCTCTTTTGCCTGCCCTCCTTTACCTGCCTAGGCCTTGGTCCGTGAGATGTCAGGCTCCCCAGCTTCTGGCATTCCTGTCAAAGTTTCTGCCACGGTGTCTTCTCCTGGGTCTGTTCCTGAAGTCCAGGACATTCAGCAAAACACAGACGGGAGCGGCCAAGTCAGCATTCCAATAATTATCCCTCAGACCATCTCAGAGCTGCAGCTCTCAGTAGGACTCCTCGGACCCCTGGGAGATGGTGGGGGAAGGGGAGGAGGGTGAGCTGGGGTCCCAAGGATCCATGGCCTGACTTGGGGGGAAGGTGGGGTACTTGGCTCTGAGCTACTACCCTATTCGCACCTGACCCCCTCTCCAGGTATCTGCAGGCTCCCCACATCCAGCGATAGCCAGGCTCACTGTGGCAGCCCCACCTTCAGGAGGCCCCGGGTTTCTGTCTATTGAGCGGCCGGATTCTCGACCTCCTCGTGTTGGGGACACTCTGAACCTGAACTTGCGAGCCGTGGGCAGTGGGGCCACCTTTTCTCATTACTACTACATGGTGTGCATGAGCTGGGGAGTCACGGAGGGCTGGGGTGCAGGGAAGAGCCCTCTGGGTGGGGCTGGGGGGGTTCAAGGCTGAGGCTGTCCCATGAAGAGGCAACCACTCTTGTCCCTCCCATTCTTGGCCCAGATCCTATCCCGAGGGCAGATCGTGTTCATGAATCGAGAGCCCAAGAGGACCCTGACCTCGGTCTCGGTGTTTGTGGACCATCACCTGGCACCCTCCTTCTACTTTGTGGCCTTCTACTACCATGGAGACCACCCAGTGGCCAACTCCCTGCGAGTGGATGTCCAGGCTGGGGCCTGCGAGGGCAAGGTGACCGGGGTCAGGAGAGATGGCACTTGTGCCGAGGGGGTTGAGGACAGGGTGATTGCCAACAGGGCATGGATTTAGCTTGGGGGCAGTGAGGATACCGGGACTGAAGGAAGCTCTCCCACTCTGACCGCCCCCACCTGCCGCCCCTGCCAGCTGGAGCTCAGCGTGGACGGTGCCAAGCAGTACCGGAACGGGGAGTCCGTGAAGCTCCACTTAGAAACCGACTCCCTAGCCCTGGTGGCGCTGGGAGCCTTGGACACAGCTCTGTATGCTGCAGGCAGCAAGTCCCACAAGCCCCTCAACATGGGCAAGGTTTGTCCAGACCCTCTCCACAGCTCTCTCACCCCTCCATGGCTCATCCCCCTGCTTCCCTGAGCCTTGGGCGCAGCCCCTGGATCCCACTGAGGCTCCCCACAGTCTCTTCCCCACTTGGCCCTGTGGTCTCCATCTCCTGGCTCTGTATCCTTTCCTATCCCCCCATGTGCTGCCCTCTCACCTGTGCCGAGTGCTCAGTCCTGCCCCTCAGCCACACTTGGCTCCTAGCATTCCTGCCTTTCTTGCAGGTCTTTGAAGCTATGAACAGCTATGACCTCGGCTGTGGTCCTGGGGGTGGGGACAGTGCCCTTCAGGTGTTCCAGGCAGCGGGCCTGGCCTTTTCTGATGGAGACCAGTGGACCTTATCCAGAAAGAGTGAGAACAGAGAAGGAAGGGGAGTGGGTGGCGGGAAGATAAGGAAGGAGGAAGGGCCTGAGGGGACCAGCTGGAAGAGTCCGGGCAGGAAGGGCTGGGCAGGGGAAGGGGAGGAGGGGAGGAGGCCGAGTGCCTGACGGCTGGACTGCAGCCTTTCTCTCTACCAGGACTAAGCTGTCCCAAGGAGAAGACAACCCGGAAAAAGAGAAACGTGAACTTCCAAAAGGCGATTAATGAGAAATGTGAGTTGCGGGTGCCTAGGCAGTAGCTTGGGCTCTCCACCTGGGATCCGGGTTGGGGGTCTGCCTCTCTGCCCCTCGGCTCCTTGCTGAACCCACGTGTGGTATTTGGGGCCAGAGATCCGAATTCCGGGATTACGAGTGGAAGGTGGGCAGCTCTCTCCAGCAGCCTCTCTTATGTTGCTGGTCTCAAGGGGTCGGGGCGGGGGCTGAGGTGTATGTCCTTTTTGTCCTCTCATGCTCACCCCCACCTGGCCCTGCAGTGGGTCAGTATGCTTCCCCGACAGCCAAGCGCTGCTGCCAGGATGGGGTGACACGTCTGCCCATGATGCGTTCCTGCGAGCAGCGGGCAGCCCGCGTGCAGCAGCCGGACTGCCGGGAGCCCTTCCTGTCCTGCTGCCAATTTGCTGAGAGTCTGCGCAAGAAGAGCAGGGACAAGGGCCAGGCGGGCCTCCAACGAGGTGAGGGGCTGGGTGGGGCTAGGGCACAGGTGGCGGCGCTTGGAAAGGCAGAACGGTCCCCTCCTCACTCCCGTCCACCGTGGTCCCCCAGCCCTGGAGATCCTGCAGGAGGAGGACCTGATTGATGAGGATGACATTCCCGTGCGCAGCTTCTTCCCAGAGAACTGGCTCTGGAGAGTGGAAACAGTGGACCGCTTTCAAATGTGAGAGTGTGTGCCGGCCCGGCCTTTTCTCTGTGCTGTGTCTCGGGGCCAGCCGGGGTAGACGGGCCTTCTCTGCCTTTCCCTACACAGATTGACACTGTGGCTCCCCGACTCTCTGACCACGTGGGAGATCCATGGCCTGAGCCTGTCCAAAACCAAAGGTGATGTCACCCTGTCTGGGCCTCAGGTGACCCTGCTTCCATTTCCCTGTACCCCAGCTCCCTGTTCCCTTTGCTCTTAGTGTAGGAAGAGGGTCCAGTGATCTGGGGAGGTCTGTGCCAGCGTGCAGCTGGCGTGGGCCAGAGGGCAGAGGCGGACTGAGACAGAGCTGGGTCACCCCCACCCCTCCCTCCTGTGGCCCTGAAGCTTTGATGGCCCCTCTGATCTCTGCCCCTGTGCCCACGCTTCCTTTCCCTCAGGCCTATGTGTGGCCACCCCAGTCCAGCTCCGGGTGTTCCGCGAGTTCCACCTGCACCTCCGCCTGCCCATGTCTGTCCGCCGCTTTGAGCAGCTGGAGCTGCGGCCTGTCCTCTATAACTACCTGGATAAAAACCTGACTGTGAGGCCCCATGGGAGCCTGAGCATACAGGAGTTGGGGGAGCCAGGGCCCAGTGAGGGGTGGGGAGGCTAACCGGGCCAGGACTCTGGCCATCCTCGTTTTCCTGCCCTCAGGTGAGCGTCCACGTGTCCCCAGTGGAGGGGCTGTGCCTGGCTGGGGGCGGAGGGCTGGCCCAGCAGGTGCTGGTGCCTGCGGGCTCTGCCCGGCCTGTTGCCTTCTCTGTGGTGCCCACGGCAGCCACCGCTGTGTCTCTGAAGGTGGTGGCTCGAGGGTCCTTCGAATTCCCTGTGGGAGATGCGGTGTCCAAGGTTCTGCAGATTGAGGTGAATGGAGCACCCCTGAATATAAGTCCCCGGGCCCCCAGCTTTGTCCTCCACCCTCAGCACTCTCTCTGCTGGCCAGGCCAGGGGCCCAACACCCAAACCAATGCCTTGGTCTGTTCCCATCTTCTACAATTCTGATCCAACTCTGTCCCTGGAGTTGAAACTCAAAGTTCTGGGGGAGTCTGCGCTAGCAGGGCAGGCTGTAGTCCTGTGTGACCTCACAACCATGTTTTCCCTGAGACAGAAGGAAGGGGCCATCCATAGAGAGGAGCTGGTCTATGAACTCAACCCCTTGGGTGAGTGACCCTCTACCTCCAGCCATTGGTTTCCTAAGTGGGTACAGGTGGTGGGGGATGTGGACAGCAGGACAGGCTGCCAACTTCCCCCATTTCCCCAGACCACCGAGGCCGGACCTTGGAAATACCTGGCAACTCTGATCCCAATATGATCCCTGATGGGGACTTTAACAGCTACGTCAGGGTTACAGGTGGGAGTGCCCTTTAGTCCCTTCCCAGTGGCCACCTTCGGATTCATGTGGGACTTGTGGATCCCTGCTTGGTCCCACTCCCCGTGAGCCTCTGACACAGAGTCCTCAGACCTCCACCCTCTCCCTCCCATGTAGCCTCAGATCCATTGGACACTTTAGGCTCTGAGGGGGCCTTGTCACCAGGAGGCGTGGCCTCCCTCTTGAGGCTTCCTCGAGGCTGTGGGGAGCAAACCATGATCTACTTGGCTCCGACACTGGCTGCTTCCCGCTACCTGGACAAGACAGAGCAGTGGAGCACACTGCCTCCCGAGACCAAGGACCACGCCGTGGATCTGATCCAGAAAGGTTCTGGGTGCAAGGGCAAGCAGGAGGGGGGCCAGGAAAGGACAGTTACTGGAAGATGGACAGCCCAGGAGGCTACAGAGGGAAAGAAAGGGGGCCCCTGATGAGGATGGGGAGCATGGCCTTGGGCTCAAACAGCAGAAGGGTGAGTGTCACCTGAGCGGCCACCTCTCCTCTCCAAGGCTACATGCGGATCCAGCAGTTTCGGAAGGCGGATGGTTCCTATGCGGCTTGGTTGTCACGGGGCAGCAGCACCTGGTGAGCTTGGGAGAGTGGTTCCAGGGTTCTGAGGGGGTCAGGGCTGGGGCAGGGGTGGGACAGAGCTGGTATGATGGGAGGGTGGATAACCAGGCACCTGGGGGCGTGGGCATAATGAGAAGCAAGTCCTTATCCCCAACCCTCCTTTCCTGCCCTCCAGGCTCACAGCCTTTGTGTTGAAGGTCCTGAGTTTGGCCCAGGAGCAGGTAGGAGGCTCGCCTGAGAAACTGCAGGAGACATCTAACTGGCTTCTGTCCCAGCAGCAGGCTGACGGCTCGTTCCAGGACCTCTCTCCAGTGATACATAGGAGCATGCAGGTGCGGGCATGCTGGGGCTGGCCCGAGAAGCGCCTGTCGGAGGACTCTCTTTGCCCCTTCCCCCTCCTGTTTGACATCTTTTCTCCCCTTACTAGGGGGGTTTGGTGGGCAATGATGAGACTGTGGCACTCACAGCCTTTGTGACCATCGCCCTTCATCATGGGCTGGCCGTCTTCCAGGATGAGGGTGCAGAGCCATTGAAGCAGAGAGTGGTAAGTTCAGTGGCGTTTCTGCCCTCTGCTGGCCCCCAGCTCTCTCCCTTTTTCCTCAGGAACCCAGGGGTCCAGGCCCAAGACCCTCCTCCCGTTTTCTTCCAGGAAGCCTCCATCTCAAAGGCAAGCTCATTTTTGGGGGAGAAAGCAAGTGCTGGGCTCCTGGGTGCCCACGCAGCTGCCATCACGGCCTATGCCCTGACACTGACCAAGGCCCCTGCGGACCTGCGGGGTGTTGCCCACAACAACCTCATGGCAATGGCCCAGGAGACTGGAGGTGAGGGGTGAGGGGCTCTGGCAGTGAGCCTGAGGCCCAGGGGACCTTAGGATCCCTGAGTGTGCCCAGAGGGAGAGGCTGGATGAAGACTCAGAGGAGGAATGAAGTTATAAGCAGGGGTGGGTTGGGGGAGACTCAGGAGAGCCCAGCAGGGGGTGGCTAAGGGCCAGGGGACCAGGCTCTTCTCCCTGCCTTCCTGTTTACTCGTGGTCTCCCTTCACTTTCAGATAACCTGTACTGGGGCTCAGTCACTGGTTCTCAGAGCAATGCCGTGTCGCCCACCCCGGCTCCTCGCAACCCATCCGACCCCATGCCCCAGGCCCCAGCCCTGTGGATTGAAACCACAGCCTACGCCCTGCTGCACCTCCTGCTTCACGAGGGCAAAGCAGAGATGGCAGACCAGGCTGCGGCCTGGCTCACCCGTCAGGGCAGCTTCCAAGGGGGATTCCGCAGTACCCAAGTAGGGGCCGTCCCCGGGCTCTGGCGGGGGTGGGTAGTCCTCAGACCAAGGGCTTGCTTGAGTCCTGGCTCAACCTCCCTAGGACACGGTGATTGCCCTGGATGCCCTGTCTGCCTACTGGATTGCCTCCCACACCACTGAGGAGAGGGGTCTCAATGTGACTCTCAGCTCCACAGGCCGGAATGGGTTCAAGTCCCACGCGCTGCAGCTGAACAACCGCCAGATTCGCGGCCTGGAGGAGGAGCTGCAGGTGAACCACTCCCTGGTGAACCACTCCCTCGCCTGGGTAGCCAGGACACCTGGGCCTCGTGGCCAGGCCAGAAGCCGTCCCCACCCTCCCACCCGTGGAATCCCCGCAGCACTTCTTCCTGGGGTCTTCGGGGGAAGACTGACTTCCTGGCTGCGTGACCTGGAGCTCTGAGCTTCAGTTTTCTCACTTGTAGAGTAACATACACAGAGTTCACCCTACAGGGTCGTTAGAAGGCTGAAGTGAGATAATTCATGTGCTGGTATAAACTTTGTGGAAATGTGAGGTGGGGAGAGGGGGTGGGGCTGTTTTGAGGAAGGAGATAAGTTATTGGAGCCGCAAAAACAGGTTTGCTTGTGCCCTTCTAACATCGCCTTCCCTTTTCTGTTGCTGAAGTTTTCCTTGGGCAGCAAGATCAATGTGAAGGTGGGAGGAAACAGCAAAGGAACCCTGAAGGTGAGGGCCAGGGAAGGGGTGGGGCCAGGCACTGGTGGAGGAGAGGGTGTGGAGTGAGAGGCCTGTGGGCAGAGGCACATGGTCCGGGGAAGGAGGCAGACACCTCAGGGTTGGTGTCCCGTGCTTCCGTCCTGGGTGTTTTTCCCCCTGCTTGCTTTCGCTTGCTCTCCCCATCTCTGGGTACCTGTTGTTTCCTTTACCCGCCTCAGTGCTGGTGGCTCCGAATCCCACTCCTCAGCCCAGGCCTCTTCCCTGAACCATGGGCCCCACTCGTCCCACTCCCACAGCACCTCAGACGAGGCATGTCCCAAAGCCCTTCTTCATTCTGTGTCTCTTGTCTGGCTGGTGGGAGCCCCTCCCAGCCAGGAGCCCAGCCACTACTCTAGAGGCCGTGTTAGTGGCCCCTCTCCCAAGCCTGTCCTTATGTCCCTAGTGACTCCTCCTCTGCTCCCCTGCTGCCTGTGGCCCTTGGTGCTGCATCCTAGATTCTGTGCTGAGACGGCCTTCTCCCTACCTGGAACTTCTCTCTACCTCCTGTCTCCCCTGTCTGATCCACTGTCCACACGGCAGTGACACTGACCTTCCAAAAGCCCCAGCCAGATCAGCCTTGGGGAAAAGTCACTCCCCGCTGCCCACGGCTCAGATGGCTGGGCCTCTGCCCACCCCTCCGGCCAGACAGCTCTCCTTGTCTACACAGATCCCCTTGCCTTTCCTGTCCTTCCCTGCTTCTTGGCCCACAGGACAAGCTCTTTCTTCTCCTTCAAGCCTTGGCCAGAAGCCTTTCCTGAGCTTTTCAGTCCAGCCTCTTCCCAGCACAGTCTGGAGTGTTGGCCTCTGGGGGCAGGCCCCTGCTTCTTTACCTCTCTGTCTCGCCTGACGCCTGTGGCGAATGTGGTGCCACTCGTGTGTGTGGACTGTGCAGTGACGGGGAGGAAAAGGGGCTGAAGGCCTCAAATCCTGTAGCCCAGGGAGATGCCCTTAGGTATGGCACCAGAGAGGTCTGTGGCCTCACATGTCCCACGTCCTCTCCCTGCCCCTTGCTGAGCCAGGTCCTTCGTACCTACAATGTCCTGGACATGAAGAACACGACCTGCCAGGACCTACAGATAGAAGTGACAGTCAAAGGCCACGTCGAGTACACGAGTGAGTGTGGGGGTTGGGAGGCCTTGGGGCCAGGCAGGGGCTGGCGCAGGGAGCCGGGTGGCCATCCCAGCCCTCCTCACAATGCTTCCCTGTGCAGTGGAAGCAAACGAGGACTATGAGGACTATGAGTACGATGAGCTTCCAGCCAAGGATGACCCAGATGCCCCTCTGCAGCCCGTGACACCCCTGCAGCTGTTTGAGGGTCGGAGGAACCGCCGCAGGAGGGAGGCGCCCAAGGTGGTGGAGGAGCAGGAGTCCAGGGTGCACTACACCGTGTGCATCTGGTGGGCGCCGGGAGCTGCCCTGGGCCAGGGGAGGGAGGGCAGGACCCAGGCTGGGGCTGGGCTTCTGGAGCCCGCGCAGGCAGAACCTGGACGACAGCTCACACGTCTCCACAGGCGGAACGGCAAGGTGGGGCTGTCTGGCATGGCCATCGCGGACGTCACCCTCCTGAGTGGATTCCACGCCCTGCGTGCTGACCTGGAGAAGGTGTGGTCAGCCACCCAGGGCAACCCCCTCTGTCCCAGGTACTGAGCCCTGTCATGTGCAGGGCCTGTGACCAACTCCCCTTTTCCACAGCTGACCTCCCTCTCTGACCGTTACGTGAGTCACTTTGAGACCGAGGGGCCCCACGTCCTGCTGTATTTTGACTCGGTGAGTGGGGAGAGATGAGGCAGGAAGGGACTCGATGGCACCGGGTTTACTGAGTATGCGTTAGGAGGTTTCTCAGGAGACAGCTGTGTCAGCGGCTGGTGCTCTTGAGAACTTGTGATGTCATCAGAGAGAAGGACAAGAATGTGAGCCCGTGAGACACAGCAGAGTAAGGGGCAGACCTGCAGGCGGCAGGGACCGATGCCAGTCAGCAGGGACCCTCAGGGTTTGAGAGGGAGTCTTTCCTAATGCTGGTTTTATTCAGCTTGAGGGGCTGCCTTTGTTTTTTTGTTGAACTTCCTATCTTTTTTTTAATATTAAAGCGTATTTTCCTTTACAAAGTGATGGTGGCCATAGATGATAGTTGTATTTGTCTTTTCACGACCTTATTTGGCTAAAATAGTTATCAACCCTCTTACGGCTCTCAAAACATTTTTATTTATTTATTTAGTAAAGACAGGGTCTCGCTCTGTTGCCCAGGCTGGTCTTGAACTCCCGGCCTCAAGCGATCCTCTGGCCTAGGCCTTTCAAAGTACCGGATTTACAGGCCAGAGCCACCATGCCCGGCCTTCAAAAAAAGTTTTGGAACATTTACTGTAACCTCTGGGAGAAAATGTGAGAAAGGTGTGGTGGCTGTCATTAGCCAGCTGTTTGTAGGTCAGGGAGACCCCTACCCAGTGTGTGCAGAGGGGCCAGCCCCCATCAGCTGGGGAAGCCTGGCTGACACATCTGGGTTGAACACAATAGAAAACACAGAGCCAACAAGATTCCCGGATAGGGAGCTGACGGTGCAGCAGCCTAGCTCAGGAGGGACACTGGCACGGCACCGTGTGGACTGGGCCCGCGTGGGCACGAGGAGGGGTCAGGCCTGGGACCTGAGTCGGGGGGTCAGGCAGGATGACAGAACCTGCAGTTAGGTTGTGGCAAATAAAGGAGGACCCAGTTGTATCCATGACAAAGATGAGGCCGCGAGGAGGGCGAGTGGGTTTGGGGGCAGGCAGAGTGCCTTGGAGAACTTACAGGTCCTGCCACAATCCTAATGCAAGGATGGAGCTGCAAGTTCAGTTTGGGAATCATCAGCCTGGATTGGTTTGGTGGAAGCCAGGGAGTGGTTGAGACCCCCACAGGGGAGCTCTGAGGAAGGAAGTTCCGAAGGAGGGAACGTAAGAAATGACCAGGTCAGAACCAAGGGTGGTCCAGAAGCTAACCCTTAGCTTAGGGACAGTTTCACAGAGAACACGTCCATGATGCAAGACTCTGCTGAGGGCCTGGAGCAGTGAAGACTGGGGCAAGGTCACCCTCTGGGAAGTGAAGTCACCAGAGACCTTGCGGAGCAGCTTTGAGAGTTCTCTGAGTAGGAAGGTAACAGAATGTGAAGGACACTGGAGAGAAGGCCAATAGGAAGCAAACAAAAACAGGCCAAGGAAACCCAGTACAGGGGGCTGCAGGGCCCAGGGAGTGGGTCCCTCATCTCTCCTCCCCACGCTTGGCCAGGTCCCCACCTCCCGGGAGTGCGTGGGCTTTGAGGCTGTGCAGGAAGTGCCGGTGGGGCTGGTGCAGCCGGCCAGCGCAACCCTGTACGACTACTACAACCCCGGTGAGCACTGCAGGACACCCTGAAATTCAGGAGAACTTTGGCATAGGTGCCCTCCTATGGGACAATGGACACCGGGGTAGTGAGGGGGCAGAGAGCCCTGGGGCTCCCTGGGACTGAGGAGGCAGAATGGAGGGGCCTGTGCCCTAACTCCTCTCTGTTCTCCAGAGCGCAGATGTTCTGTGTTTTACGGGGCACCAAGTAAGAGCAGACTCTTGGCCACCTTGTGTTCTGCTGAAGTCTGCCAGTGTGCTGAGGGTGAGACTGAGGGCCTGGGGCGGGGCAGTGGAGGCGGGATGGCCGGGGCCCCCCCCACACTGTCTGATGGGTTCCCCAACTTCAGGGAAGTGCCCTCGCCAGCGTCGCGCCCTGGAGCGGGGTCTGCAGGACGAGGATGGCTACAGGATGAAGTTTGCCTGCTACTACCCCCGTGTGGAGTACGGTCAGTCTTCCCACCGAGGCCCTGGCCTGACCCTCCCTCGGGGACCGGCCGTTTTGGTCTCTCTGGGTGTAGCCTGCTCCTCTTACAGGTCATGCACGCAGCCTGTTTGCTCTGACACCAACTTCCTACCCTCTCAGCCTCAAAGTAACTCACCTTTCCCCCTTCTCCTCACCCCCTCTTAGGCTTCCAGGTTAAGGTTCTCCGAGAAGACAGCAGAGCTGCTTTCCGCCTCTTTGAGACCAAGATCACCCAAGTCCTGCACTTCAGTATGAAGCAAACCGGAGAGGCGGGCAGGGCTGGGGGGAGACAGGGAGGCTGAGGTGTGGCCGAGGACCTGACCATCTGGAAGTGTGAAAATCCCCTTGGGCTGTCAGAAGCCTTGGGCTTGGCCATAAATAGGGAGGCAGTGGCACCTCTCCATGGGGGTGGCGAAGGTGGAATGAGAGGATCTACACAGAGTCCCCAGCCTGGGCTCACCCTGCACCTTCTCTTCCCCTCTGACCACTTTTGCGCACGTCATCCCCGCAGCCAAGGATGTCAAGGCCGCTGCTAATCAGATGCGCAACTTCCTGGTTCGAGCCTCCTGCCGCCTTCGCTTGGAACCTGGGAAAGAATATTTGATCATGGGTCTGGATGGGGCCACCTATGACCTCGAGGGACAGTGAGTCATCTGGTCCCCTCAGTCTCTTGTCCTCCCCATGCCTCGCCACCTAGGCCTTGCCCCTCAGAAGCCAGATGCCTGTGCTCTCCGTTTCCACCTGCCATCCTCCCGAGCCCTGCTGACTGCCCCTTTGCCCCCTGCAGCCCCCAGTACCTGCTGGACTCGAATAGCTGGATCGAGGAGATGCCCTCTGAACGCCTGTGCCGGAGCACCCGCCAGCGGGCAGCCTGTGCCCAGCTCAACGACTTCCTCCAGGAGTATGGCACTCAGGGGTGCCAGGTGTGAGGGCTGCCCTCCCACCTCCGCTGGGAGGAACCTGAACCTGGGAACCATGAAGCTGGAAGCACTGCTGTGTCCGCTTTCATGAACACAGCCTGGGACCAGGGCATATTAAAGGCTTTTGGCAGCAAAGTGTCAGTGTTGGCAGTGAAGTGTCAGTGTGTGTTGCTAGGGCTGAGAGCAGTGCCCCTGCCCGATGCAGTTCTGGGCAGGCCAGGTTGACATAACCTTAGACTCTCTGAGCCCTGATGACCCTTGGGCTGTTCAGCTCTGCTAGAACCTCCCAGATGACCCGCTAGGAGTCTAGTGCTTCACAGGACCACCCCGAGCAGAACTGGGACCCAAGAGCCTGCACCCCAAGGACCAGAGTCCATGCCAAGACCACCCTTCAGCTTCCAAGGCCCTCCACTGCCCGGCTGTCGCCAGTCACCACGGCCTCAGACAGGGCTTGTGCTCAGCTGACACCTGTGACACAGCTCTTCTGCCTCATGAGCTGTTGTCCAGCTACACCTCCCCGACTCTGTCCTCGTGCTGCTGGCGGTTCTGAGGTCTGCAGATTTTAGCTGAGTTCCGGGCTGTTGAAAGCCTGCTGACGCTTGGTTCTGTTATCAGTGGAATGAGGTGACTTTCCCGGAGTTGTGCAATCCTCAGGTCCGGCAGTGTCTTCTTCCAGTTACTGGTTTCAAACAAGCCAAAAGTCTGACTTTGGTGTGTTTGTGAATCCTCTGAGGAAGCCGCTGTTCTCCTGGGGTCTCCCCTTCCCACCGGACCTGCCTAACTTTCCCCCATTTAGTGGCACACCTGGGGTCTTCAGAGATGACTCCGCGTCTGTCCAAAGAAGTTTGGTGAGATCAGTTTCCGTAGAGGTCATGACAGTTCAGCAGCCTGCCATCCAGTCATTCGACAGAAATTCGGGAATCTTTCACTTCATGCCATGCCCTGTGCCAGGTGCCAGAGATACAGCTGCTCACTCCAGGGCTCATCGCTGGGGAGACAGATAAGAGGACGGGCAGTCCCCACCCTCTGTGAAAGATGTGATGTCAGGGAGCAGTGTGGTCCTGTGGGGCATCTAACCAAGTCAGGGGCATTGCCAGGCAGGGACAGGGAAGGCTTCCTGGAGCAGGTGGCCTCCAAGTGGGGCTCTGAAGACTGAGAAGGAGCCAGGAAAAGAGCAGGGGTAGATGAGGGCATCTGGGGCAGAAGGAGAATATACAAAGGCCCAGAGGCCGGGGGCAGGACAGGGTACCTTTGGGGACATTGCATGTAATTGACCACATTCGGAGTTTGGATTTGGAAGTGGTGGAAGAGATGGAGATGGTGAGACAAGTAGTAAGCACGTCAGCCTTCCAGGTGCGCTCCTTTCCGATGAGCACTGTCTTATCCCACGTAACTTTGAGAAGTTTGGGCCTTTCCCACTGTGGCAGAGGTTTCCTGAGGCTCTTGCATACATGGCCCTATGGTTGCTCATCAGATCTTTCTCCCAGTAGCTGCTCAGCATGGTGGTGGCATAAGCCCATTTTCCGGAGCCAGGGATTCAGTTGCAGCAAGACATGGCCCGGTCTGGGAGGTCAACCATGAAGAAGGCAGTAGCTGTCATTGCCCAACCCCAGAAATCCCAATCCTGTTTTCTCCCTCTCAGTCCTGATCATGGATTCAGCAGCAGCGAACTCGCCAATGTAGTGGGTGGCACAGCCAGGGTCTTGACTCTGGCTCTGCAGTAGCACAGTCTGGAAAAGCTCTGAGGGGAGAGAGACCCCCACTGGTCCGAGGGTCTGGCACAGAGCCAGAAATGGGGGGGAAGGTATGGGGCTGGGTCGCCTCTGACCTCTCAGGTACCATCCAGGAGGCCCTGGCCTCTCACTGAACCCGGCCACTCCTCTTTGGCATGGCCTCTTCCCAAATCCCCAAACTGCCTCCTTACCCACAAAAGTGGTCTCTGAGTGTCAGTCCAGTGGGACCCCCACCCCTTATGGCTTCAGTTCCCCAAATAGGGCTGGACCCTTGATCCTGATCCAGCTGTGGCTATCCAGCCCCTTCCTGGGGACTTTGGACTTTGAGGGGGGCATGCCCAGTTGTGCTGGGAATCCATACTTTCCCTGGCTGGAGTAGAACCTGTGGACTGTAGTCCTGAGGGCAGTCATGTTCTGCCTGTGCCTGGAAACACAAGAAACTTGACTGCAGAGAGAAGAAAGAGGAGAGAGGAACAGAGCGAGGAAACCGCCCGTCTCCGGGGCTTTTTCTGTTCCCTATCCTTGACTTTCTAAGACCAGTGGGGTCCCCTCCTCTGCTTCTTTTTCCTGAGTTCTGTGAAATTCCCCAATTCTTATTTTTTATCTCAAACCAGCTCAAGGTGGGCTGTTTTCCTTTCAACCAAAGAAAGGTGCTCCTGGTGGCTAAAGGTACATATTCGACAGCTAGATTTCCAGGCTGGAATCCTGCCCTCCACAACATGCGAACAATACCCGTGTTGCATATAGAGCATGGCTGTGAAGAGTTGAGTGAGTGCCCACAAAGCACTTAGAGCAGTGTCTGGTACATGCTATTACTCCGCAGCGGGAAACCACTTCCTCCTTTGTCTTCTGGGCACTTTTGTGAGTGAAAGGAGGCACTAATAACAATCACACTGGGATACCTGTATATACTGGAATGCCCCAGGCAAACCAGGCTTAAACTGTATTACTCTATCTGTAGCTTAAACTAACAAACAACCCACACAAATCACATTTTGTTCTTCAGGCGATTCAGGAAGGCCTATTAGGCAGGGACTGCCATTTTCTCTCTGAGACAAACATCATGCCAGTAAACTGGCCCACGGTGGGGTGGCAGAGGGAGAGGGCCCAGGTGGGGGCGGACACTATTGCCTGCACAGTTGATGTGGAACCAGAAAGCTGACTCTGGATGCAGGAAAAAGGTCAGGGTTGCATTTCCCTTCCTTGCTTCTTGATGGGTGATCAATTTTTTTGAAATACGGACGTCCCAAGGCCAATGAGACTGGTGTCATTCCAGAAAAGGGCCACTCTGTGGGCGGGTCGGTGGGAGGGTACCTGAAGGTGGGGTCAAGGGAGGCCCCAAAACAGTCTACACAGCAGGAGGGATGGCTGGGGCTCTTGAGCTATAAGTGGCACCTCAGGGCCCTGACGGGCGTCTCGCCATGCTGCTCCTGGGCCTGCTGCTGCTGCTGCCCCTGCTGGCTGGCGCCCGCCTGCTGTGGAACTGGTGGAAGCTCCGGAGCCTCCACCTCCCGCCTCTTGCCCCGGGCTTCTTGCACCTGCTGCAGCCCGACCTCCCCATCTATCTGCTTGGCCTGACTCAGAAATTCGGGCCCATCTACAGGCTCCACCTTGGGCTGCAAGGTGAGAGGCTGATCTCGCTCTGGCCCTCACCATAGGAGGGGGCGGAGGTGACGGAGAGGGTCCTCTCTCCGCTGACGCTGCTTTGGCTGTCTCCCAGATGTGGTGGTGCTGAACTCCAAGAGGACCATTGAGGAAGCCATGGTCAAAAAGTGGGCAGACTTTGCTGGCAGACCTGAGCCACTTACCTGTAAGGGCCGGGGGCATTTTTTCTTTCTTAAAAAAATTTTTTTTTAAGAGATGGGTTCTTGCTATGCTGCCCAGGCTGGTCTTAAATTCCTAGTCTCAAATGATCCTCCCACCTCAGCCTCAAGTGTGAGCCACCTTTGGGGCATCCCCAATCCAGGTCCCTGGAAGCTCTTGGGGGGGCATATCTGGTGGGGAGAAAGCAGGGGTTGGGGAGGCCGAAGAAGGTCAGGCCCTCAGCTGCCTTCATCAGTTCCCACCCTCCAGCCCCCACCTCCTCCTGCAGACAAGCTGGTGTCTAGGAACTACCCGGACCTGTCCTTGGGAGACTACTCCCTGCTCTGGAAAGCCCACAAGAAGCTCACCCGCTCAGCCCTGCTGCTGGGCATCCGTGACTCCATGGAGCCAGTGGTGGAGCAGCTGACCCAGGAGTTCTGTGAGGTAAGGCTGGGCTCCTGAGGCCACCTCGGGTCAGCCTCGCCTCTCACAGTAGCCCCCGCCCTGCCCGCTGCACAGCGGCCTGCTGAACTCACACTGTTTCTCCACAGCGCATGAGAGCCCAGCCCGGCACCCCTGTGGCCATTGAGGAGGAATTCTCTCTCCTCACCTGCAGCATCATCTGTTACCTCACCTTCGGAGACAAGATCAAGGTGCCTCACAGCCCCTCAGGCCCACCCCCAGCCCCTCCCTGAGCCTCTCCTTGTCCTGAACTGAAAGTACTCCCTCCTTTTCTGGCAGGACGACAACTTAATGCCTGCCTATTACAAATGTATCCAGGAGGTGTTAAAAACCTGGAGCCACTGGTCCATCCAAATTGTGGACGTGATTCCCTTTCTCAGGGTGAGGACCTGGAGCCTAGACACCCCTGGGTTGTAGGGGAGAGGCTGGGGTGGAGGGAGAGGCTCCTTCCCACAGCTGCATTCTCATGCTTCCTGCCGCAGTTCTTCCCCAATCCAGGTCTCCGGAGGCTGAAGCAGGCCATAGAGAAGAGGGATCACATCGTGGAGATGCAGCTGAGGCAGCACAAGGTGGGGACTGTACGTGGACGGCCTCCCCTCGGCCCACAGCCAGTGATGCTACCGGCCTCAGCATTGCTATGAGGCGGGTTCTTTTGCATACCCCAGTTATGGGCCTGTTGCCACTCTGTACTCCTCTCCCCAGGCCAGCCGCTCAGCCCGCTCCTTTCACCCTCTGCAGGAGAGCCTCGTGGCAGGCCAGTGGAGGGACATGATGGACTACATGCTCCAAGGGGTGGCGCAGCCGAGCATGGAAGAGGGCTCTGGACAGCTCCTGGAAGGGCACGTGCACATGGCTGCAGTGGACCTCCTGATCGGTGGCACTGAGACCACAGCAAACACCCTCTCCTGGGCCGTGGTTTTTTTGCTTCACCACCCTGAGGTGCGTCCTGGGGACAAGCAAAAGGCTCCTTCCCAGCAACCTGGCCAGGGCGGTGGGCACCCTCACTCAGCTCTGAGCACTGTGCGGCTGGGGCTGTGCTTGCCTCACCGGCACTCAGGCTCACTGGGTTGCTGAGGGAGCGGCTGGAGGCTGGGCAGCTGTGGGCTGCTGGGGCAGGACTCCACCCGATCATTCCCCAGATTCAGCAGCGACTGCAGGAGGAGCTAGACCACGAACTGGGCCCTGGTGCCTCCAGCTCCCGGGTCCCCTACAAGGACCGTGCACGGCTGCCCTTGCTCAATGCCACCATCGCCGAGGTGCTGCGCCTGCGGCCCGTTGTGCCCTTAGCCTTGCCCCACCGCACCACACGGCCCAGCAGGTGACTCCCGAGGGTTGGGGATGAGTGAGGAAAGCCCGAGCCCAGGGAGGTCCTGGCCAGCCTCTAACTCCAGCCCCCTTCAGCATCTCCGGCTACGACATCCCTGAGGGCACAGTCATCATTCCGAACCTCCAAGGCGCCCACCTGGATGAGACGGTCTGGGAGAGGCCACATGAGTTCTGGCCTGGTATGTGGGGGGCCGGGGGCCTGCCGTGAAAATGTGGTGGAGGCTGGTCCCCGCTGCCGCTGAACGCCTCCCCACCCACCTGTCCACCCGCCCGCAGATCGCTTCCTGGAGCCAGGCAAGAACTCCAGAGCTCTGGCCTTCGGCTGCGGTGCCCGCGTGTGCCTGGGCGAGCCGCTGGCGCGCCTGGAGCTCTTCGTGGTGCTGACCCGACTGCTGCAGGCCTTCACGCTGCTGCCCTCCGGGGACGCCCTGCCCTCCCTGCAGCCCCTGCCCCACTGCAGTGTCATCCTCAAGATGCAGCCTTTCCAAGTGCGGCTGCAGCCCCGGGGGATGGGGGCCCACAGCCCGGGCCAGAGCCAGTGATGGGGCAGGACCGATGCCAGCCGGGTACCTCAGTTTCTCCTTTATTGCTCCCGTACGAACCCCTCCCCTCCCCCCTGTAAACACAGTGCTGCGAGATCGCTGGCAGAGAAGGCTTCCTCCAGCGGCTGGGTGGTGAAGGACCCTGGCTCTTCTCTCGGGGCGACCCCTCAGTGCTCGGCAGTCATACTGGGGTGCGAGAGAGGTGGGCAGCAGCTCAGCCTCCCCCCGCTGGGGAGCGAAAGTTTCTTGGTCTCAGCTTCATTTCCGTGAAGGGCACCGAGAACTCGAAGCCCTTCCAGTGGTACCAGCTCACTCCCTGGGAAAGGGGTTGTCAAGAGAGAGTCAAAGCCGGATGTCCCATCTGCTCTTCCCGTTCCCCTTAAGGAGGTAGCTCCCAGCACTCAACCAACCTCCCCGCAGAGCTCCCTTCCTGACCCTCCGCTGCAGAGGATTGAGGCTTAATTCTGAGCTGGCCCTTTCCAGCCAATAAATCAACTCCAGCTCCCTCTGCGAGGCTGGCATGATTGTTCCATTTCACCCAGCCACTCAGTCCCTTGCCTGTTACACTGTGGGGCTGAAACCTAGGCAGGCCGAGCCCCAGCCACCCCAGCTCTGAGCCGCCTCCCCACCCCTCACCTGATGGTCCACTGTGCTCCCGTAGAGCCCGTTGAGGTTGGCGTAGTGGCAGTTCCTGTACCACCAGGCCCCTCGGTAGGAGACAGCGCAGGAGATGAGCAAGCTGTTGGGGTCCCGATCACGGGCAGAGAAGACACTGCCGCTGTGGTAGCTCATGGAGTCCCCTGGGCAGGGTGGAGGAAGGAGCCATGAGGGCCTCCCCTCCCAGCCTCACCCTCCCAGCCTCACAGCCTCTGCTTACCTGCGGTGCCGTGGTAGCCCTCCAAGTGGAGGCGGTAGTACTCCGCAGCCGAGTCTACGTGGAAGGAGTCGTACTGGGCGAACACAGCCTCGTCCCCAGCCCGCAGGTCCACGCGCATGGAGTAGTCACCTGCCTGTGTCAGGCTGTGCAGGGCCTCATTGCCTGGGGGTGGGATACGTGCCCTCATCAGGGTCCTGGTGTCCACAGGGCCCCCATCCCCATCCGTAGTTCCCCAGTCCCTGTGAGGCACTGACCCAGCCAGAACTCTCCAGAGATGTTCCCAAAACCATGGGCATAGTCCTCCCAGTCCCTCCAGAAGTCTGTCTGTCCATCCATGCGGCGCTGGAACACCTGGGAAGCAAGTGGGGGCACCATCAGCCTCTGGCTCCCGGGGCAACAGACCCTGCCCTGCACAGACCCCTGGGCTTCCCAATGCCACCCACCAGCCAGCCGCCCCCATCAGTCTCCATGTCGCAAAACACGTTCAGGGGCCGCTCGCGGTTGCCGTTGAGGAAGATGGTGCTGGTCCTGGAGGCACCGGCTCCGTTCTGCATCTCCTCCCCGCAGTCCCTGGGGAAGGGGATCCGCAGCCCACCTGGGAGAGGAGAGCAGGGGCCAGTCCTTTTCCAAGCCTTAGGCCCTGGCTGCCCACCCAGCCCCCGGCCCCGGGCCCGTGCGTCCAGGTACCCGTGGTGAAAGAGGTGGACACGGGCGGCAGGAGGCTCTGGCCCCACATGGCCTGGAGCCGTGCATTGTAGGAGGTGGAGGGAAAGAGGCCAAGGAGCTGGTGAGATGTGATCCCTCCTGGGAGCAGGATCTCCTGTGGGACAGACAAGGGGGGGTCAGGGGAGAGGGAGGTGGAGACCCTCCGGGAGGGCCAGAGGCAGCACCTCCTGGAATCACCCAGGGAGGGGAGTTGGGTCAGTGGGGCCGGGGCACCTGGTTCTGTCCACCAGGGGTGTGGAAGCTGAGCAGGTAGCCTGCGGGCCGGACTGGGGGCTCAGTCCAAGTGAGCAGGGCGGTGCGGGGGGTCACTTCCTTGGCCTCCAAGTCCCGAGGGGCCTCTAGCCCTAGGAGGGAAAGCAGGAAGAGGAGATGGGGATGAGGCCCAACCTGGCTCCCTCTACCTCCTCTCCCTGTCCCACACACCCCACAGACCCTACCTGTGGTGAAGGTGATGCTGGCTGGGGAAGTGAGGTTGGGGCCCCGCAGGCCACGCACTGTGGCGGTGTAGTTGGTGTGGAGGACAAGGTCATGCAGGGGGTAGTCCACCGCGCTGCCTGGGGTCTCCGCCTGCAGAGGCGGGGCTGGGAGTGTAGAGAGGGGCATCAAGGCCTGCCCCCTCCATCCTCGGCCAGAGTCCAGCCTCCCCCCTGCAATCCCCACCCTGAACAAGTCCCCTCCAGAGGCCTCAGGCCTGCTCACCCCCAGGGGCTGTGACCTGGACGTCATAGGTGTCCACAGGATTCTGGGGGGGCTTCCAGTGCAGCACGGCGAATCCCTCGGTCAAGTTCAGTGCACGCAACTGTGTGGGACCGTCAGGAACTGGGGGAAGGGGAGGGGCTCAGAAGGGTCCCCGCGGCTCTCTCTACTCCGTGCCTCCCCAGACTCCACTGGCCTCCCGTCCGCAATCGGAGCCTCCACCACCTCCCTTTCACCCTCCTCGTTCTCTCTCAACTCCCACCCATGCCGTTTTCTTGGCTCCCACCTCTTGCCCCGGGTCCCAGTCCATCTCACCCGTGGTGAGGAAGCCTGTGAGAGGCTCACTCTCCTCAAAGCCTCGGACCGAGACCACGGTCACCTCATAGCGAGCGCCTGGGATCAGCCCCTGGAGTTTCTGGGTCCGGGCCTGGCCATCCACCTGCACACTCTGAGGCTCCCCTGAAAACATTGGGGATCGAGGGTTACCCAGGGAACCCCAGGGCAGCTGGAGGGTGGGCAGAGTGCAGGGGGGAGAGGAAATGCGAGGCGATGAGCACATGGCAAAGGCACCACCTCCGTCCGCCAGCTGGTAGGAGACTTTGAAGCTGTCCGCCCGGGATGGTGGGGGCATCCAGTTGACCTTGGCTGAGGTCTCCCTGATTTCACTGAATTGGAGGTCACGGGGGCTCTCCAGAACTGCAGAGGGGTCAAGGAACAATGACGCAGGCAGGGGCAGGGAGGCTTCTCCCTACGAGTCCCCCCCTCGCCTCTGCTCCAGCACAGGCTCACCACCCCTTTTCCTCTAGTCCCCAGGAATGGAAGTCGCTCTGCAGATTCCTCCAGGCCCACCACCAACTCGCCCACCCCCACCGCTGGCTGAGGCACTAGGTCCCCCCCGTGAAGTACAAAGACCCCCACTTTGGGGCAGAGTGTGTGTGGGTCCTTACCTGGGCTGAGGGTGCGGGCGGTTCCCTGGATGCTGTCGGCCTTGTGGGGTCCTCGCAGCCCATACAGTGTCAGGCTGTACAGAGTCCCGGAACGCAGGTCCCGGAGCACGGCCGAGTGCCGCGTCCCCGGCACCATCAGCTCGCGCTGCAGCAGTGGACGCGGATGCGGCTCCAGAGTGCTTGGTGATGGAACCCCAAAGCGGAGCAGGAAGGAGTCGAAGGCCCCCGGTGGGGCCTCCCAGTTGAGCCTCAGTGAACTGGTGGTCACGTCAGTCACAGACAGCTGGGACAGGCGGGGCCTTGACTCCTCTGAGGTCTGACCAGCAGGAGCCAGCCCTGCACGGAGTGGGTGGGGGAGAAGGGATTGGAGACAGAAGCACACCAGCTTGGTGACCCAGAGCACGTCCCTTCCACCCCCCTCCCTGCCCCCGTTTCTCTATCTGTAACCAGGGACTTGCAGCCACAGGGGGGTCCTGTGGGGCAGAGCTAAAGGCCACTCGCATCCAGCCCATCCATCCTCTCTCCCTGGTACCCGCCTCACGCTCTTTCCCTGCGACCACCCCTTCTGAGCCCCCGTTTCTCCCTTCTGAGTCCTAGGCTAGAGGCCGGAGACGCCTGGTGGTACCTGTGGTGCCCTCAGCTGAGAGGGGCCCCAGGCGCTTCCCTTCATGGAGGCCATAGAGGAGGAACCTGTAGGGGGTGCTGGGCTCCAGGCCTGAGATGAGGATCTTGCTCTGGTCGCCGTCCACGAGCAAGGCCTGGGGCTGCCCGTTCGTGTCCTCATACTGGACCACGAAGGAATCAAAGGGGCCCTGGGCCACGCTCCACGAGAGGCGCATGGAGTCTGGGGTTGTGTCGGTCACGGTCAGCACTCCTAGGCGGGGCTCTTCAGGAGGCTCAGGGGCCTCTGGGGCTAACTCTGGGGCTGGTGTGTCCTCTTCTGGGGCTGCGTGGGAGAAGCCCAGGGGAGAATCTGAGTGAGGGGCGCCATGGGGTGCTCCATTTTTATCTTCCAGGCTTGGCCCAAGGCTGAGGTGGGAAGTTTATAGGTCCAGGCCCAGTCAGACAATGAAGTCGCTGTGGCCTCGTGACTCCTGCGAGCTCCCGCGCTGTCTGAGTCAGGTGCTCGCTTCCCCCTTCCACACCCCGGTGTCCTGCCGAGCCCACCTCGAGATATCACAGGCTCTGGCCCCACCCATGCCGGGATACATTCACTGAGCTTGAGGAGTGTGGTGCTCCCTTCTGAGAGAAGCTGAGGGTGGAACTGGCTGGTTGAGGTGACTGGCAAATCCCACCAGCCGTGCCGTGGTCAGGCCTGTCTGAGGTGGGCATCAGCGAGCTCTGGAAGAGGAGCCTGTACCACAAATGCAGCCACTGCTGTTGGTTTCTGTGTCCCCGCTCATTTTGTTTTCCAGTGATGTTCCTCTTAAGAAAATGCTCCTGACTCATCCACGGCAGGGAGGTTTGCCGCTATCTGGACAAGGCCACCCTTCGGGGAGGCGACAGCAGCCCCAGCGAGTAATGAGGAGCAGTGGCAGTGACGGGGCAGAGTCGGGGCTGGGAGATTAGAGAGCCCCTCCCAGGGCCTTTCCCTCCCGCCTGGCCTGGCTCCTGCTCTGGACTCCTTGATGGATGTTGAAGCCCACAGGGCTGCAGACTCCTCCTCCTTCCTGGGGACAGGCCAGGGCGCCCCACTCCGGCCTGCCCACTCCTGCAGTCATCTTTGTCTTCAGCCCAAATGCACAAGGAAACCCACACAAGCTGGCTTGCTATAGCCAGGCACAGCAGCCTCACCTGTCATTCCCAGGGCAGAGACCGGGCCCAGGCGCTTTCCCCCAAGGAGCCCGTAGAGCAGAAACTTGTATTTCTTGCCAGGCTCCAGGTCCTCTACGGTGACTGTGCGCTGGTCTGCGGCCACAGGCACTGCCCTGGGCTGCCCGTCCGTGTCCCTGTACTGGACCACGAAGGAGTCAAAGGGGCCCTGGGCTACCGTCCAGGACAGGCGCAGAGAGCTGGAGGTCTCCTCAGCCACGGTCAGTTCCCCCAGGTGGGGAGGTAGCTCCTTCTCCAGGGGAGCTGTGCAGAGGGAGGAGGGAAAGCTCTTAGTCACATGCTGCCTTTGCCTAAGCCCTGGCAGCCTCCCGGAGGTGTGAGGTTCTGGGAAATGGTCCCTCCAGTGTAGCCCCAGGGACAGCTCCTTGAGGAGACACACAGGCCTGCTCCCGCCATGCCCCACAGGAATGAGGGAGAACAGCCCCCTCCTCCTCTGGAGGCTGCTGCCCAAACTCCTTCCTGCCCCGCCCCTTCCCTGCTGTGATCGAGGATGCGCCAAATTCATTACAGATCATCTCCCGAGGGATGGGTGGCTGGGGGTGCAGAGAGGGCCTTTGTTTACCCTGACCCCCAGCCCCTGAGCAAGAATGAGGCCAGAGCTGAGAGAGACTCCCCGGAGGTCTCTGGGTTGTCACGGAGACACCCCAAACATCGAGAGCTGGTCTGGGCAGCCGGCCAATGCACGGCTCCCATCACTGCCAGGCTGTGATCTCCCCCTTGTCCCCTTGTGGCCATCAGCCTGAACATCCGTGCCTCCTGCTTCCCCAGCCCCACACTGACCCCACTGGGCCGGGGCAGCCAGGGTGGGGCAGGGAGAAGACAGGGGATTAGCTGGGAGAACAGAGGGCAGAGCAGAGGCTTGCCCGGGTGGGGCTGGGGCCGATGGGTGGGGATCTGTACCCCGTCCCCACAGTGAGGGTTTGGGAAGAGAATTACGGAGTCCCAGGGACCCAGGCCCAGACTGGCCGGCTGCTCTGTCCTCCTCTGGGCATAGTGACTCATGGTCCTGGGAGTGGGGTGAGGGTCGGTGACCCACCACACCCCTTCCTCAGGGAGCTGAGTCATAGGCATAGTGACACCAGGTTTTTCCATCGTCTTTCCATAGCCAAGCCCTCCCTTTTCTTCCACCCCTCGGCTCCGAGTCAGGGAGGAGGGAGGAGGATGGGAACCACTACTGAGTCCAGCGCCATTCCCAGCATTATGCAGGTGAGGACACTGAGGTCCCGGGGATGAAGCGGCTTGTCCATGGTCACCCTGGCAAAGGCTAGGACTGGAACTGGAACACAGATCTGCTGGCCCCAAAGCCCGTGTCCCTTTTATTTCCTCAGCAGTCAGCGAATGAAAGGAAGTAATGCATATGCTTCAGAACTGTGCCTGACACACAGAGGGACTCACTTTCGGAGTTAAGATGGTTGTGTCAGGGCTGATAGAGGGAATCTCACGGGAAGGCTGCAGGGCCAGCTCTGAGGGCTCGGATGAGAGGCAGCTCTGGAAAAGGTGGAGGCTGGACTGGGACTCACCTGTGGTGCTGTCAGCAGAGATGGGGCCCAGTCGTTTCCTGCCTGACAGACCATAGAGCAGGAACCTGTATTTCCTACTGGGCTCCAGGCCCTGGACTGTGACCTCCCGCTGGTTGGCTGCCACCGGCACCACCTGGAGCCGACCATCCTTATCCTTGTACTGGACCACGAAGGAGTCGAATTCGCCCTCAGGGACCGTCCACGAGAGGCCCACGGAGTCAGGGGTCGCATCTGTCACAGTCAGCTCCCCCAGGCGGGGAGACGGTTTGGTGTCTGGGGCTGGAAAAGACAGTGAGGTGCATGGAGAGTGGGATGGAGGCAAAGGGGCCACGGAGCTTCCTGGGCTGCTATGGCTCTGTGAGCCGGTCCCAGGAACGGGAGGGTGACTGGGCCAGGAGTAGGAATAAAAGAGGAGCCAGACAAGAAAGCAAGTGTCCCCTGGGGTGCAGGGAAAGTAGGGAGAGGGATGAGTGTGAGTGGGAGAGGAGAGCTCAGGGCCTGGGTTTTCCTGGACCCAATAAATCAGTGGGTGCTGAGGACTGGAGTGTGGGGCACAGAACGTGAAATTCCAACAGGTGCCACAAGGGGGCGAAGGCTCTGGCCGCGGGAGGCCTCCAGCCCTCACTCACCGGTCCTGGCCTCCACAGGGACTGGGCCGTGGCGTTTCCCATTCTGGAGTCCAAAGAGCAGGAACTTGTACTTGCGGGCCGGGTCCAGCCCCGAGACGGCGACCGCTCGGAGGTCTCCGCTCACAGGCACTGCCTGGGGCTGCCCCTGCGCGTCCCTGTACTGTACCAGGAAGGAGTCAAAGGGGCCCTGGGCCACCGTCCATGAGAGGCCCACTGAGTCCGAGGTCACGGCCGCCACCGCCAGCTCCCCCAGGCGGGGCTCCACCGGCAGTGGTGTGGGCAGGGGCGCTGAAAAGAGCAGAGCAGGCCCATGGGTCAGGAGGCAGGACCCTGCGCAAGGGAGGCAGTGCTCTCCCAGGACTGGAGTGAGCATTTCTTAGCGGCCTCCTCTAAAACGCTTGTTTTAGAATCTGTGCCCTGCATTGCTGTAAGCAGCTCACAAACAGTGGTGCATTTAACCCTCGCACAACATATGAAGTGGGTGCCATTATTATCATCACCCCAACTTTGCAGGAATCTGAAGCACAAGGTTAGGAAACGCCTGCAAAGTCGCACAATCACTACATTCGAAGGCACATGCAGATCTGGGCAGCTGGATCTGAAGCACTTTCTGAGCCACTAAAATACTCCTTAAGGGAGCCTGAAGACTAACAAATGAGCACACGAGCAACATGGAGGTTCCAGATCACAATGGGAGAAGGAAGCTACAACAAACAGGGCATGGACTACCTGCCCATCTGACTCCACACAGTCTCCATGAATCCAAGGATGAGGCAGGATCATTAGCAACATGGGAGAAAAGACAGAAACCTAGAGGCCCAGTCAAAAGAGGTGCCAAGATCCAAAGGAGAAACACAAGGGGGCTGCAGAGGTAAACCTGGGGACGAGGGCCTGTCCCCCCACTCACCCGTGATGCCCACGGTGGACACTGGGCCCACGCGCTGCCCCTCGTGGAGGCCGTACAGATGCATCTTGTATTTGCGCCCGGGCTCCAGGCCCCCCACGGTGACCTCGCTCTCCTCGCCCCTGACACGCACCACCTGGGGCTGCCCGTCCCTGTCCTTGTACTGCACGGTGAAGGAGTCGAAGCGGCCCTGGGGGACGGTCCAGGAGAGGCTCAGCGAGTCAGGGGAGGATCCTGTCACTGTCAACTCCCCCAGGAGCGGCTCCTCAGGGGCCTCCGGGGCCTCAGTGCTGGGTTCTGTGGGGCTGGGGGTCTCTTCCTCTGCAGTGGAGAAGGAGGGAGAGAGAGTGAGGGGGATGTCCTTGGGTCCTGGGGAAAAGGAGGGAGAAGCCAAGGCTATGACTGGGGGACCTGAGGTCATTTCAGAGAAGTCCATTCTTGGGGCTGGGTGGTCCTGCTCAGCTGACAGCTAACACACGTAACAAGTTCCAGGGTCAGCTGTGGGGGACCTGGCACAGCCACCAGCACAGCAAAACTCCTGATGGCCCCTCCCTGCTCAGGGGGAGCCAGGGGTCAACCACATAGGAAGGCCCAAGGGGAGTCCCAGCCCCAGCCACAAGCAGTTCTGTGGTGCTGACCAGACCCCTGTCCCATTCCCCACCAGTCATCACCAAAGAGCAAGAGGTGGCCCTCCCACAGCTCCCACCCTGGGGCTCCCATCATTCACTCACCCGTCACCCCAATGGCAGACACAGGGCCTACGCGCTGGCCACCGTGGAAGCCGTACAGGTTCATCTTGTATTTATGGTCTGGCTCCAGGCCTGAGATGGTGACCCCGTCCTCGTGCCCCGGCACCCGCACCGCCTTGGGCTGCCCATCCCCATTCCTGTACTGGACCAGGAAGTGGTCAAACTGGCCCTCGGGAACCATCCAGGACAGGCTGAGGGAGTCGGGGGTGGCATCTGTCACGGTCAGCTCCCCCAGGCGAGGCTTGATGGGGGGCTCAGGGGTCATGGTAGGCACTGCTTGGGTGGTCTCGGCTTCATCCTTTGGAGCTGGACAGACACGTGTGGGGACAGTGAGGACCCTGGGTTCTCAGTTCAGCATAGAAAGGATGTGTCACAAAACACAAAGTGCCCAAGAACAGGACGATGCTGCCCACAGCGCCTCCAGCACAGCTCTTCATCCTCTCCTCCCCTGCGGCCTTTCCTATCCCTCACCCTGACCCCCCTGCCCTCGGCCCCCACCTCACCCCCACCTCCCAACACCCAGGCCACCTCTCCCTGTCCCTCCAGCACCGCCTCTCTTTTGAGCACAGCTCCACTTGGCCTCTGCACCCTTACCCTCCCTGCACTGGGGTCTCCTCGCCATCTTTTGTTCACTGGGCTTCTGTCTTTGCTCTGCAACAAGCTCAGCACACTCCTCCCGAGGCCAGAGCCTGGGGTGTGTTCCTGGACCCAGCCCCTCACCAGCTGCCAGCAGCCTCAGAGTTACCTCTCCCCCGAGTTTCCCTGGATACCTTCCTCCCCAACCTCCAGTCCCCGATCCTAGTTTGAGCCACTGTCACCTCTCACCAGGGCCACCAACTGCCTATTGGCTTCCCTGCCTCTAGGCTCCCTGCCACCCCATCCCCATCTTTAGCCCCCACAGATGAGCTTCACACAGGCACAGCTGCTGGGGCCATCTCAGCACAGACCTGGGCAATCACATCCTCATCCCTGGGAGACCCCAGGCCTCCTCTGCTCCCACACTTCAGGACTATCTATTCACTGCAAAGGACACCCCACTCAATCCTCAGTACTTCTCACACACCATGCTCTTTCTAGCCTCCTGGCCTTTGCACCACCTGTGCTGATCTGACACGCTTCACCTTCTCTCTAAAGCTGTCACCAAGCTAAGGCCTGCCTGGCCTCAGATCCTGACTGTCCCCTGAGTATCCACAGGTAGGGTGGTTTAGGTATTCCTGCCTGGCTCTGGGCTTCTTGTCACATGCTCACCCGCCTTTGCTTTCTTACTGGTCCACAGCCTGTCCCCCATGACGTTAGCCCCATTAGGACAGGAACTTTTCCCATTAGGACAGGAACCCTAACTCTGAGCCTAACCTCTGTGAGGATTCATGAATGCAAGAAAAATTCGCTTCAACAAATTCTAAGAGAGTTTCCAAATCTGTTACTGGGAGGAGCTTTGCTACAAAGGTGTTCTGTGATTTGCACACAAATATTCATAGCAGCATTATTCTTGATAGCTAAGAGGTGGAAGCAACCCAGATGTCCATCAATGGATGAAAGGATGAGCAAAGTGTGGTCTGTATGTGTAAAACGAAACATTATTCAGCCTGAAAAGGAAGGAAGTTCTGGCCAGGTGCAGTGGCTCTTGCCTATAATCCCAGCACTTTGGGAGGTCAAGGTGGGAGACTCGCTTGAGGCCAGGAGTTTGAGACCAGCCTGGGCAACATACCGAGACCCCCATTGCCACAGAAAATAAAATAAAAAGGAAATTCTGACTGATGCTACGACATAGATGAACCTTAAAGACATTGTATTTAATGAAATGAACCATTCAAAAAAGACAAATATTGTATGATTGCACTTATATGAGGTACCTAGAGTCAAATTCATAGAGACAGAGAGTAGAATGGTGTTGCCAGGGGCTGGGGCAAGGGGAGAATGGGAGTTCGTGTCTAGTGGGTAGGAAGTTTCAGTGTGGGAAGAGGAGTTCTGGAAGTGGAGGGTGACAGTCCACAGCAATGTGAGTGGACTTCATGCTGGACTGCAAACTAGAAAGCGATTAGAATGGCGAATTATGTCAAGTGTACTTTACTACAATAAAAAACAACAAAAAAAGTGTGTTCCTTGGACCAGTGGCATCAAGATAGATGAGAATCTTGTTAGAAATGGATGGTCGGCTGGGCGCCGTGGCTCACGCCTATGATCCCAGCACTTTGGGAGGCCGAGGAGGGCAGATCACGAGGTCAGGAGATTGAGACCATCCTGGCTAACACGGTGAAACCCATCTCTACTAAAAATATGAAAAAATTAGCTGGGCGTGGTGGCGCACGCCTGTAGTCCCAGTTACTCAGGAGGCTGAGGTAGGAGAATCACTTGAACCCAGGAGGCGGAGGTTCCAGTGAGCCGAGATTGAGCCACTGTACTCCAGCCTGGGTGACAAAGCGAGACTCTATCTCAAAAAAAAAAAAAAGAAAGAAAGAAAAAGAAAGAAATGCATGGTCTCTTGCCCTAGGCCAAGCCTGCTGAATCCAAATCTGCTTTTTAACAAAAATCTCCAGGCATTTGGATACACAAAGGAAGGAATACTCTTCAGAGTATGTTTTCACGAAGACTGGAGAGACAGCAGTGTCTTCCAGGGCCATCTTCCCCACCTCGCCTCACTCACACTTACTCACCTGTCACACCCACAGCGGACACTGGGCCCACGCGCTGCCCCTCGTGGAGGCCGTACAGGTGCATCTTGTATTTGCACCCGGGCTCCAGGCCCCCCACGGTGACCTCGCTCTCCTCGCCCCTGACACGCACCACCTGGGGCCGCCCGTCCCTGTCCTTGTACTGCACAGTGAAGGAGTCGAAGCGGCCCTGGGGGATGGTCCAGGAGAGGCTCAGCGAGTCAGGGGAGGATCCTGTCACTGTCAGCTCCCCCAGGAGCGGCTCCTCAGGGGGCTCCGGGGCCTCCGTGCTGGGTTCTGTGGGGGCGGGAGTTTCTTCCTCTGCAGCTGAGAAGAGGGGACAGAGAAGGTGAGGCAGCTTCCCTGGGGGATGTCCTTGGGTCTTGTGAGGAAGGAGAGCGAAGCTGTGGCCATGAGTGGGGGTCCTGGGGTCAGCTTGGAGAGGCCCATCTTTGGAGCTGGGTGGTCTTGCTCAGTTTACAGTCAACACACATGACAAGCTCTGAGGTCAGTGCTGGGGAACTTGGGACAGCCACCAACAGAGCTCACAGGGCCCTTCTCCACCCAGGAAGATCTGTCAGTCCTCAGGGAAGTGGGGAAAGACAAAAAAGTACCATGGCTCAGCCAAGAGCAGAGGGGCTTCCTGGGCCAGTTCACCCATCACCAGAGAAAGGGAGACCCTCCCACAGGCCCCACTCTGGGGCTCCCATCGTACACTCACCTGTCACCCCAATGACAGAGATGGGGCCCACGCGCTGGCCACCGTGGAAGCCGTACAGGTTCATCTTGTACTTGTGGTCTGGCTCCAGGCCTGAGATGGTGACCCCGTCCTCGTGCCCCGGCACCCGCACCACCTTGGGCTGCCCATCCCCATTCCTGTACTGGACCAGGAAGTGGTCAAACTGGCCCTCGGGGACCATCCAGGACAGGCTGAGGGAGTCAGGGGTGGCATCTGTCACGGTCAGCTCCCCGAGGCGAGGCTTGTTGGGGGGCTCAGGGGTTGTGGTGGGCACTGCTTGGGTGGTCTCTGCTTCATCCTCTGGAGCTGGACAGACACGTGTGGGGAGAGTGAGGTCCCTGGGTTCTCAGTTCAGCATAGAAAGGATGTGTCACAAAACACAAAGTGCCCAAGAGCAGGACGATGCTGCCCACAGCGCCTCCAGCACAGCTCTTCATCCTCTCCTCTCCTGCGGCCTTTCCTATCCCTCACCCTGACCCCCCTGCCCTCAGCCCCCACCTCACCCCCACCTCCCAACACCCAGGCCACCTCTCCCTGTCCCTCCAGCACCGCCTCTCTTTTGAGCACAGCCCCACTCGGCCTCTGCACCCTTAGCCTCCCTGCACTGGTGTCTCCTCGCCATCTTTTGTTCACTGGGCTTCTGTCTTTGCTCCGCAACAAGCTCAGCACACTCCTCCCGAGGCCAGAGCTTGGGGTGTGTTCCTGGACCCAGCCCCTCACCAGCTGCCAGCAGCCTCAGAGTACCTCTCCCCCGAGTTTCCCTGGATACCTTCCTCCCCCACCTCCAGTCCCCAATCCTAGTTTGAGCCACTGTCACCTCTCACCAGGGCCACCAACTGCCTACTGGCCTCCCTGCCTCCAGGCTCCCTGCCACCCCATCCCCATCTTTAGCTCCCACGGATGAACTTCACACAGGCACAGCTGCTGGGGCCATCTCAGCACAGACCTGGGCAACCACATCCTCATCCCTGGGAGACCCCAGGCCTGGTGAGTGGTCCCCTCCTCTGCTCCCACACTTCAGGATGATCCACCAACTGCAAAGGACACCCCACTCAATCCTCAGTGTCTCTCACACACCATGCTCTTTCTAGCCTCCTGGCCTTTGCACTAGCTGTGATGATTTGACATGCTTCACTTCCTCTCCAAAGCTGTCATCAAGCTAAGGCCTGCCTGGCCTCAGGTCCTGGCTGTCCCCTGGGTACTTGTGGGCAGAGTGACTTCACTGTCCCTTCCCAATCCTGGCTTGGCTCCTGGGCTCCACATGCTCATCCTTCTTTGCTTACTTTCCGGTTTTCTGCTTGTGCCCACAATTGTGAGCCCCATGAAAACATGAACTTGTGTGTGTCACTTTCCAGCTTCCGCCTATGAAAGAAAAAGGCAGCCCTGACACCCGTGAGCTGCCCTTTCCCTCTGCCAGGCCACGGCTGCTTGGGGCTGGCCTGGCACAGTCTGGTCTTGGCGTGGTCCAGTTGAACAGACAATTTCATGGAACATCAACATCAGACTAGGCCATTTGTCAGTAGGATGGATCAAGACAAGAACAAGGCCAGTCTGTGATCATGTCTCAGTAAGGATGAACTCTAACATTTTCCAAAGCACAAAAATAACCAAACATCACCCATCCAGCTAATCTGAGTGATAGCTGCTTCTTTACCAATGGCAGCTTTGGCCTTGCTCTAGTTGACCTCCCCAAAGATAAGACTTAGTGAGACGCCCGGTAATAGGGTTATCCCTTCTTCCTGACAGCGTCTAATAAAGAGCAAAACCTTGCTTCCTTAAATGCTTTCCTAAAACACCAAACACAAGCCCAGTTCCTTAACAATCTCTTTCTAAAGCCTCTTCCTAAGTCACCCCACAGTCCTCCTGCACTGCATGGAGCATAATTCCATCCATTCAATTTTAGGTGAGTTTCTGGAGGTCGTTGGCCAGAGGACATTGATACCCTAAAATTACAGTGTCCGGATCAGGGCAAGGAATTCTTTGCTGAATGAACAAATTGGCCCATTGGTGAGAAAGGTCTGTTCCTATTCCTATTCCAATAGTGGGCTTCCAGAGTGTGCAGTCGACGCGCTGCCCCTCACTGCCTTCTGTCTTCCTTCACGGCCCCTAGTCAACTCCACAGAGAAAGCACACTACCAGGAATCAGGGACGCAGAAAAATTCTCTTCAACAGATTTCAAAAGAGGGTCCAATTCCTTTGTCGTGAAGAACTTTGCTACTCAAGGGGCGTGATCATGGGCCAGCAGCATCCGCATCATTTCTTGTTGGAAATGCAGAATCTCTGGCCCTAGCCCAAACCTGTTGAACCCCAATCTGCCTCTTAGCAAGATCCCCAAGCATGGAAACGTGCAAAAGAAGCCCGGCTGGTGAGAATATTTTTGTTTTCATGAAGTTGCAGAGAAAGCAACATCTTCTAGGGCCATCTTCCTCACTCACAAACACTCACCTGTCACACCCACGGTGGACACCGGGCCCACACGCCGCCCCTCGTGGAGGCCGTACAGGTGCATCTTGTATTTGCGCCCGGGCTCCAGGCCCCCCACGGTGACCTCGCTCTCCTCGCCCCTGACACGCATCACCTGGGGCCGCCCGTCCCTGTCCTTGTACTGCACGGTGAAGGAGTCGAAGTGGCCCTGGGGGATGGTCCAGGAGAGGCTCAGCGAGTCAGGGGAGGATCCTGTCACTGTCAGCTCCCCCAGGAGCGGCTCCTCAGGGGGCTCCGGGGCCTCAGTGCTGAGTTCCGTGGGGCTGGGGGTCTCTTCCTCTGCAGCTGAGAAAAGGAGATATAGAGAGGATGCCAGGTGCCTGGGGGATGTGCTCAGGTCTTCAAGGGAAGGAGGGAGAAACCATGGCCACTACTGGGTATGTGAGGTCATTTCAGAAAAGCCCATTCTTGGGGCTGGGTGGTCCTGCTCAACTGACAGCTAACACACATGACAAGTTCCAGGGTCAGCTGTGGGGGACCTGGGACAGTCACCAGCACAGCAGAACTCCTGATGGCCCCTCCCTGCTCAGGAGGAGCCAGGGGTCAGCCTCAGAGGAAGGCCCAAGGGGAGCCCCAGCCACAAGCAGGTCTGTGGTGCTGACCGGACCCCTGGCCCATTCCCCACCAGTCATCACCAAAGAGCAAGAGGGTGACCCTCCCACGGCTCCCACCCTGGGGCTGCCATCATCCACTCACCCGTCACCCCAATGACAGAGATGGGGCCCACGCGCTGGCCACCGTGGAAGCCGTACAGGTTCATCTTGTATTTATGGTCTGGCTCCAGGCCTGAGATGGTGACCCCGTCCTCGTGCCCCGGCACCCGCACCGCCTTGGGCTGCCCATCCCCATTCCTGTACTGGACCAGGAAGTGGTCAAACTGGCCCTCGGGAACCGTCCAGGACAGGCTGAGGGAGTCAGGGGTGGCATCTGTCATGGTCAGCTCCCCCAGGCGAGGCTTGATGGGGGGCTCAGGGGTCATGGTAGGCACTGCTTGGGTGGTCTCGGCTTCATCCTCTGGAGTTGGACAGACACGTGTGGGGACAGTGAGGTCCCTGGCTCCTCAGTTCAGCATAGAAAGGATGTGTCACAAAACACAAAGTGCCCAAGAGCAGGACGATGCTGCCCACAGCCCCTCCAGCACAGCTCTTCATCCTCTCCTCTCCTGTGGCCTTTCCTATCCCTCACCCTGACCCTCCTGCCCTCAGCCCCCACCTCACCCCCACCTCCCAACACCCAGGCCACCTCTCCCTGTCCCTCCAGCACCGCCTCTCTTTTGAGCACAGCCCCACTCGGCCTCTGCACCCCTGGCCTCCCAGCACTGGGGTCTCTTCGCCATCTTTTGTTCACTGGGCTTCTGTCTTTGCTCCGCAACAAGCTCAGCACACTCCTCCCGAGGCCAGAGCCTGGGGTGTGTTCCTGGATCCAGCTCCTCACCAGCTGCCAGCAGCCTCAGAGCATCTTTACCCTGAATTCCCCTGGATACCTTCCTACCCCACCTCCAGTCCCCGATCCTAGTTTGAGCCACTGTCACCTCTCACCAGGGCCACCAACTGCCTACTGGCCTCGCTGCCTCCAGGCTCCCTGCCACCCCATCCCCATCTTCAGCCCCCACGGATGAGCTTCACACAGGCACAGCTGCTGGGGCCATCTCAGCACAGACCTGGGCAACCACATCCTCATCCCTGGGAGACCCCAGGCCTGGTGAGTGGTCCCCTCCTCTGCTCCCACACTTCAGGATGAGATACTCACCGTAAAGGACACCCCACTCAATCCTCAGTGCCTCTCACGTGCCATGCTCTTTCTAGCCTCCTGGCCTTTGCACCAGCTGTGATTATCTGACACACTTCACCTTCTCTCTAAAGCTGTCACCAAGCTAAGGCATGCCTGGCCTCAGGTCCTGGCTGTCCCCTGGGTACCCATGGGCAGGGTGACTTAGGCGTCCCTGTCTGGTCCTGACCTGAGCCCTGGGCCTCCCTATCACATGCTCACCCGCCTTTGCTTCATTTGCTGGATTGCAGCCTGTCTCTCCATGACATGTCTTTCCATAATGTTGCTATATTCCTTTCACTGTGAGCCCCATCAAGACAGAAATATGTATAGGAAAATGGTAGAGAAGGGCACATTTTCTAGGGCTGTCTTCCAACCCTGCCCCACCCACACTCACTCACCTGTGACGCCCACGGCAGACACCGGGCCCAGGCGCCGCCCCTCGTGGAGGCCGTACAGGTGCATCTTGTACTTGCGCCCAGGCTCCAGGCCCCTCACAGTGACCTTGCTCTCCTGGCCCCCAACACGCACCGCCTGGGGCCGCCCGTCCCTGTCCTTGTACTGCACGGTGAAGGAGTCAAAGCGGCCCTGGGGGACGGTCCAGGAAAGGCTCAGCGAGTCAGGGGAGGATCCTGTCACTGTCAGCTCCCCCAGGAGAGGCTCCTCGGGGGGCCCTGGGGCCTCTGTGCCTGGTTCTGTAGGGCTGGGGGTCTCGTCCACATCCTCTTGTGGGGCTGAAAGGTAATATAGGGGGATACAGAGTTTAAGGGTTTAAGGGCAACTTGCTTTGCTGGTGCTGTCAACAGAGGTCATACATCAAATGTGCCCCTCCAGAGCAGGCTGAGGGCTGGGGCAGCTTTGTGTTCGCCGTTCAGTGACTCTTGGAATAAGAGCCGGTGAGGTATCCCCGAGCCCCCGGCCTGTACTGCTGGCAGAGCTGCACTGTTAGAAACCTCCAGAAGGCAACTGAGACATAGTGTCAGGAGCCAAAGTAATTCTCATTTCCTTTGACCCAATAATCCCAGTTCTGGGCATCTGTCCTAAGAAAATTATTAAAGCAGGAAAAAGTTATAGCATGGAAGAACTCACGATGGGGTTATTCATGACAGCAGATGTGTCAGGAACACAAATGACCCGTAGAAGATGATTAATTTTGTTATAGTGCTTTCACCGCAACGCATCAAATAACCATTGAAACGATGATGAATGCTGGTTGTGTAGCCGTGAGGTGAATGATTACAATGTACTTGTGTACAAAAAAGGAAGTGCCAAGAACTTTATGAACACTGATTGCAACTTTAAAACACGCTCTGCATGCAAAATACAGGAAGGGAATGTGCACTACACACATTGTTATTAATGCCGGCAGCTGGGGGAGAAAGTAGGACTATGAGATTCTTGTTTTCTGTTTTTCAAGCTTTCCACATAATGTTGCTGTATTATTTTCACTAGAAAAACGTGGGCTAAAAAAGAAATTCTGGGCTGGGAGCAGTGGTTCACGCCTGTAATCCTAGCATTTTGGGAGGCCGAGGCGGGTGGATCACCTGAGGTTGGGAATTCGAGTCTAGCTTGGCCAATATCATGAAACCCGGTCTCTACTGAAAATACAAAAATTAGCCAGGCGTGGTGGCATGCACCTGTAATCCCAGCTACTCAGGAGGCTGAGGCAGGACAATCACTTGAACCTGGGAGGCAGAGGTTGCAGTGAGCTGAGATCACACCACTGCACTCCAGCCTGGGCAACAGAGTGAGACTCAGTCTCAAAAAAAAAAAAAAAAAAGAAAAAGAAAGAAAGAAATTCTGGGCTACAACAATTAATAATAGAGTGTGGGGTGGGGGTGGGGCAGCAATACACATAGAACAGGAGGGGCAGGGGTGGGTCCCTCAGCCTGTCCTCTGTCAGTTCTGTGGTTCCCCACAGTGGAGACAGGAACACAAAACTGAACGTGGACCAGGACAGCTTACCCCCGGAATGTGAATTTTTCTAATGTTCATTTTCCAATAATTTCCCTATTCCCCCTGTTTCCCAACACTCAGATGGTCCTCTGAACATGCATATGGAAATGAGGCCTCTCCCCCAGGAATCGGGGATGCCGATTGAGAGTGCTTCCTCTGTCTGGATGGCCTTTGGGAGATGAGCTCGCACCTCACTTGGTGCCACAGAGGTGGCGACCTGCCCTGCAAGAGACCGCCTCTCAGCAGGGCTGATTCTTCCCCATCGGTAGGAATTCTCGAAAAATACTCTAAGCCAGGCATAACAACCTGGCTGAGGATGACTTAGAAAAGGCAGCCTGACTGAGCATTTGGAATTCAATTAACCTCATGATCTCCACCCCTCCAATTTCTTATGGACTAGAAATTTTGAACTTCCTCATAATTAGAAATGAAATAAGTCTGGCTGGGCGCGGTGGCTCATGCCTGTAATCCCAGCACTTTGGGAGGCCGAGGCGGGCAGATCACCTGAGGTCAGGAGTTTGAGCAGCCTGACCAACATGGAGAAACTCCCTCTCTACTAAAAATACAAAATTAGCCAGATGTGGTGGCGCATGCCTGTAATCCCAGCTACTCGGGAGGCTGAGGCAGGAGAATCGCTTGAATCCAGGAGGCAGAGGTTGTAGTGAGCCGAGATCATGCCATTGCACTCCAGCCTGGGCGACAAGAGCGAAACTTCATCTCAAAAAAAAAAAAGAAGGAAATAAATGAAATAAGCCACAAGAGCGATAGAGGAGTAGGACAGATGGAGTGTAAAGAAGGAGAAGACATTATATATTTTCTCTTTTCCCTTTCCCTGATTGTAAAAGAAATGTTTGCCATTTAAGAAAATTTGGACTATGCAGAATAGAATAATACAGAAAAAAATGTGCTGGAATATTCTATTCTATCTAACAAATCAGGCAACCCGTGGGATGTGTTTCTTTCCAGTCTTCTTGCCATGCCTGTTACTTTCAAATGGTTGTGATTAGCATCCTTACAAAAATTTGGGCTCCTTTTTCTTCTTTTTTGAGACTGAGTTTGGCTGTATCTGCCAGGCTGGAGTGCAGTGGTGATCTCGGCTCACTGCAACCTCTGCCTCCCGGGTTCAAGCAATTCTCGTGCCTCCACCTCCCAAGTAACTGGGATTACAGGCATGTGCCACCATGCTTGGCTAATTTTTGTATTTTTAGTAGAGATGGGGTTTCACCATGTTGGCTAGACTGGTCTGGAACTCCTGACCTCAGGCGATCAGCCCGCCTCGGCCTCCCAAAGTGCTGGGATTACAGGCGTAAGCCACTGTGCCCAGCCTAGGCTCTCTTTTTTCAATGTAACATTATAAAGTAAGGGTCTTATGTTAAAACATTTCAGTGGCGGCATAATAGCTCTTTTTATAGATGTTGCCTAAATTATTTAGTCATCCCAACGTGGTTTGACGTTGGATTGTTCCTCTTGTGTGCATTTGTGTATGTGGTTATAACAAAGAATGCTGTTATTAAGATGGAAAGAAAGGAAAATTCTCGTAAGTCAGGCTTGGTGTGCGCCTGACATATTTCACTCTTGGAGGTTATCAGTGGTTGACCATTAGAGGGAGGCCACGCCAAAGTGAACAAGCAAACCGCTAGCATAGGCCACAGCCACAGGGCACAGAGGGAGGGCAGGACACAGGAGACAAGTCTGGACCCACAGGGCTTGGTGAAAGGGCACAGCAGTAAACCAGGTACCCATGAGGGAAAGGTGGTTACCCCGAGACTCCAAGCACTACTCACCAGTCACGCCCACGGTGGACACCGGGCCCACGCGCCGCCCCTCGTGGAGGCCATACAGGTGCATCTTGTATTTGCGCCCAGGCTCCAGGCCCCCCACGGTGACCTCGCTCTCCTCGCCCCCAACACGCACCACCTGGGGCCGCCCGTCCCTGTCCTTGTACTGCACGGTGAAGGAGTCGAAGCGGCCCTGGGGGACGGTCCAGGAGAGGCTCAGCGAGTCAGGGGAGGATCCTGTCACTGTTAGCTCCCCCAGGAGCGGCTCCTCAGGGGGCTCCGGGGCCTCCATGCTGGGTTCTGTGGGGCTGGGGGTCTCTTCCTCTGCAGCTGAGAAAAAGGGACACAGAGAGGATGGCAGGGTCCCTGGGGGATGTGCTTACGTCGTGGGGAAAAGGAGGGAGAAGGCTATGACTAGGGGACATATGAAATAGCCAAGGCTATGACTAGGGGACCTGAGGTCAGTTCAGAGAGGCCCATTCTTGGGGTCCTGCTCAGCTGACAGCTAACACACATGACAAATTCCAGGGTCAGCTGTGGGGGACCTGGCACAGCCACCAGCACAGCAAAACTCCCAATGGCCCCTCCCTGCTCAGGGGGAGCCAGGGGTCAACCACACAAAAAGGTACAATGGGAGCCCCAGCCCCAGCCACAAGTAGGTCTGTGGTGCTGACCAGACCCGTCCCATTCCCCACCAGTCATCACCAAAGAGCAAGAGGGTGACCCTCCCATGGCTCCCACCCTGGGGCTCCCATCGTCCACTCACCTGTCACCCCGATGGCAGACACGGGGCCCACACGCTGGCCACCGTGGAAGCCGTACAGGTTCATCTTGTACTTGTTGTCTGGCTCCAGGCCGGAGATGGTGACCCTGTCCTCATGTCCTGGCACCCGTGTTGCCTTGGGCTGCCCATCCCCATTCTTGTACTGGACCAGGAAGTGGTCAAACTGTCCCTCGGGAACCGTCCAGGACAGGCTGAGGGAGTCAGGGGTCGCATCTGTCACGGTCAGCTCCTCCAGGCGAGGCTTGATGGGGGGTTCAGGGGTGGGAGGTTCTGTCGAGGCTGGGGCCATTTCTTCATCCTTTCCTGGGGCTGCATCAGAAAATAGAATGGGTGGGCATGCCTGGTGGGCCTCCTTTTAACCAAGGGACTCTGGGATTCTCTTAGACACACCAAGGGCCCACAGTCTGGATGCTGGTGCCCCAAGCTTAGAATATCATTTTTCTGCTTTGAATGTTCAGTTAACACCACACCTGTGGTGAAGTCATGATGCTCAGGTGGCATCCCTGTGATGCTCAGTGTGCAGGCCTGGGACCCTTAGGAGCTGCCAAGCAAATTTGTTTTGCAGGACAGAATTGATGCTTTATAAGAACACCAACCAGGGCCGGGTGTGGTGGCTCAGGCCTGTAATCTCAGCACTTTGGGAGGCCGAGGCGGGCGGATCATGAGGTCAGGAGATTGAGACCATCCTGGCTAACACTGTGAAACCCCGTCTTTACTAAAAATACAAAAAATTAGCCAGGCGTGTTGGCGGGCACCTGTAGTCCCAGCTACTCAGGAGGCTGAGGCAGGAGAATGGCATGAACCCAGGAGGCGGAGCTTGCGGTGAGCCAAGATCACGCCACTGCACTCCATCCTGGGAGACAGCGAGACTCCTTCTCAAGAAAAAAACAAACAAACAAAAACAAACAAACAAACAAAAAACAGCAATCAGGGCCAGGCGTGGTGGCTCAGGCCTGTAATCCCAGCACTTTGGGAGGCCGAGGCGGGAGGATCACCTGAGGTCAGGAGCTTGAGACCAGCCTGGCCAACATGGCGAAATCCTGTCTGTACTAAAAATACAAAAATTAGCCAGATGTGCTGGTGCATGCCTGTAATCCCAGCTACTCGGAAGGCTGAGGCAGGAGAACTGCTTGGACCTGGGAGGCAGAGGTTGCAATGAGCTGAGATCGCACCACGGCACTCCAGCCTGAGAGCCTGGGTGACAGAGTGAGACTCCATCTCAACATAAAGAAAAAAAAAAAAAAGAAAACAAAGAACACCAACCAAACACAACAGGCAAGTTGTATCAGGAGGTTCATCCACCTGGGCTTGGAAATTCCACCTAATCCTGAGCATTTTTAGAAACCAACTTAGATTTTATAGCTGAGGGTAGAGAGATGAGACCACATGAGGGCATCTTTGCAGCTGAGTTGTCTCTGGACCTGCAGTAGCTCTGCTAACTTACGGCAGAGAGAGCACCTCCAGTGATGCCAGTTCTTTTGGCCCGTGTGAAATCAATTGCTTTGTTTTCATTGATTTCTTTAATCTTTTCTGCTCTTCATAGGGTTTTATTCTGCCTTGATAGTGGTATTACAAATTCATCACATTTCATTTGTCTGTTCTTTTTGAGAACTGAGTCTTAAGCATCTAGGGGGTAACAGCTATAAAAGAGCTTACAAAAGCATCAAAGAGCCGAGTTACAGGGTAATGAAAGGAAAATGCCTTATTAAGTTGTGCACATGGCCAATATTTACAATTAAAGTAATAGTATCCATGTTAACAGGATTCAGTGTTGTTTTAAAAATAAATGGGTATTAATTTGGGAGCTTAGAGAACACATACAATTTTTCCCACTGAAATCAGTGATAATTATGAGAATTTGCCCTAAGCGGTTTTCAGGAACTACCTACCTTCCTCAGAAGGGAAAGACTGCAGTTATCTCTCATTGTGTGTGAGAGCCAAGCCACACTCCCGCCCACCCTTCACGACAGGTATGGTTATTCCTTCTTTACAGATGAGGAAAAGGATGTACAGAGAGGTCGTGTGTCTGTTTTTTGTTTGCTTGTTTTGTTTTTTTGAGACAGGGTCTCACTCTGTCACACAGGCTGGAGTGCAGTGGCTCGATCTCGGCTCACTGCAACCTCCGCCTCCTGGGTTCAAGCGATTCTCCCGCCTTAGCCTCCCGAGTAGCTGGGACTACAGGCATGTGCCACCACACCCAGCTAATTTTTGTATTTTTAGTAGAGATGGGGGTTTCATGATGTTGGCCAGGCTGGTCTCGAACTCCTGACCTCAAGTGATCTGCCCCCTTCGGCCTCCCAAAGTGCTGGGATTACAGGCATGAGCCACCGTGCCCAGACAGGTTGTGTGAGTCTCTTGAGGACACACAGCTCAAATGGGCTGAAGCTATGGTCAACCCCAGGTGTGCCTCAGTCTGTGTTATTTTCCTGGTCCCCCACCTCTTTGGGAACCCAAAAAGCCCATGTGTAACGGGCAGAAGACCTGGGGCAATACCAAAGTCTCGGAGTGAAGGCACCAGCAGAACCATTCCCAGGAGCTTGGGAGGCTTGGTCTCAGGGAAAGTAAAATAAAGCCACCAGATACTGACAATAAAAGGGAAACTGAGTCTAGTTCAGGGCAGGGCCCAGTGCCCTACTGCACACTCACCAGTTAAACCAACAGCAGACACGGGGCCCACGCGCTGGCCACCGTGGAAGCCGTACAGGTTCATCTTGTACTTGTGGTCTGGCTCCAGGCCCGAGATGGTGACCCCATCCTCGTGTCCCGGCACCCGCACCGCCTTGGGCTGCCCGTCCCCATTCTTAAACTGGACCAAGAAATGGTCAAACTGGCCCTCGGGGACTGTCCAGGAGAGGCTGAGGGAGTCGGAGGTGATGTCTCTCACTGTCATCTGCCCTAGGCGCAGCTTTGCAAGAGGAGCATCAGGGGACTCCTCTTCGGGGGCTAGGAAGAGATAGAAACAGAATCTTTTCTCTTGCTGCAAGGAGGTGTTGAGGCCCCAGCTGTCTTGAATTCAGGTCAGAAGGTGGGCCCAGTCTGGCCCTAACTTAAGATCGATTTCTGATTATAATCATAATCAGATTTTGTGGCTTCCTTATGGTCCCTCAACCATGCCAGGCAGCCTCCTACCTCAGTACTTTTACAATGACTGTTCCCTCTACCTAAATGTTCTTTCCCCAGATATCTTCATGGCTCATCCCCACACTTCCTTTAAGTCTTTGTTCAAAAGCCACCTTCTTCTGTGGGCCTTCCCTGATTACTCTATTTAAAATTTCAGTTTTCTCAATTGCAATGTATCCTCCTTCTATAGACCTGATTTCAGCAACAAATTGGGAAACAACAATTATGAGACACTCGGGAGACTGTAGCACTACCTGGATACTTGATATCAAGGCATGATTGTTCACTTATCAAGGTATGCTAATTGTATTGTGGAATTTTATTATTTATTTATTTATTTTTTGACACAGAGTCTCACTCTGTCACCCAGGCTGGAGTGCAGTGGCGCGATCTTGGCTCACTGCAACCTCCACCTCCTGGGTGCAAGCAATTTCTTGTGCCTCAACCCCCGCCAAGTAGCTGGGACTACAGGCACGTGCCACCACGCTCCGCTTTTTTGTACTTTTTAAAATTTATTATTATTATTATTATTTTTAGTAGAGACGGGGTTTCACCATGTTGGTCAGGCTGGTCTTGAACTCTTTACCTCAAGTGATCCACCTGCCTTGGCCTCCCAAAGTGCTGGGATTACAAGCGTGAACCACCTCACCTGGCCATATTGTGGATTTTTTAAAAATAATTTTTTTAAAAAGAGATATACCTTTAAATATTTAGTGATGAAAGCATAGGATGTCTGTGGTTCGTTTTTAAAATACTGCAGTAGTATAACCACACAATGCAATACTGTTTGGCAATAAAAAGCAGTGTAGTGGCTGAGAGAGAGCAGGTGGCTCATGCCTGCTATCCCAGCACTTTGTAAGGCCCAGGCAGGAAGATTCCTTGAAGCCAGGAGTTTGATATCAGCCTGGGTAACACTGTGAGACCCCATCTCTACAAAAAATTTTTTTAAATTAGCTGAGTGTGGTGGCGAGCACCTGTGGCCCCAGCTACCTGGGGGGCTGAGATGGGAGGATGGCTTGAGCCCAGGAGTCTGGGGCTGCAGTGAGCTATGATCATGCCACTGCACTATAGCCTGGGCAATAGAGTGGGAATTTGTCTCAAAAAAAATCAATCAATCAATCAATCAATCAATCAATAGCAATGTAGTAAGTATAGTACTTCTACATGCTACATTGATGAACCTCAAAAACATTATGCTCAGTGAAAGAAGCTAGACACAAAAGAATACATATTGTTTGAGTCCATTTATACGAAATGTTCTGGAACAGCAATCTACAGAGAAAAAAGTAGATTAGTTATAAACTAGGGCTGAGGTAGGAATGGGTCTGGACCCAAGATTTCTTTTGGGGGTGATGGAAAAGTTCTAAAATTAGATCGTGGTGATGGCTGCACAAGTAGGTAAAGATACTAAAATCAGTAAGTTGTACACTAAAAACAAGTGTATTTTATGCCACATGAATTATATCTCCATAAAGGTGTTAATAAAGAAAACATTCAGGCCGGGTGTGGCGGCTCACGCCTGGAATCCTATCACTTTGGCTGAGGTGGGAGGATAACTTGAGCCCAGGAGTTCGAGACTGGCCTGGGCAACATGGCTAAACCCTGTCTCTACAAAAAATACAAAAAATTAGCTGGGCATGGTGGAGTGCACTTGTAGTCCCAGCTATTCGGGAGGCTGAAGTGGGAGGATCCCTTAAGCCCAGGAGGTTGAGGCTGCAGTGCAGTGAATTGTGACTGTGCCAGTACACTCTAGCCCAGGCGACAGAGTGAGACCTTGTCTAAAAAGAAAGAAAGAAAAGAATGAAAGAAAGAAAGAAAGAGAAAGAAAGAAAGGAAGGAAGAAAGAAAGAAAGAAAGAAAGAAAGAAAGAAAGAAAGAAAGAAAGAAAGAAAACATTCTAGTGATTCTAGTGGAGGAAGTGGGTGGGGCAGAGATGAGCCAGACTGGCCAGAAGTCGATATTTGATTGAAGGAGGATGGCAGGGTCTTTGTACTATTCTTTCTGTTTATACATTTGAAATTTTATTTAACAAATACTTATTAATTTAATTAATTTGTATTTCAAAAATGTGTTCCAATCTCACAAAAAGAGTTATGTATAGAGTTCCAAGGAAAAGCGGAGAGCCACAAACCAGCCAGTGAATCACCTCCCAAGAGGCCTCAGTCCCTGGGGGCCTTTCCCATATGGCTCCGACACTTCTCCTGGATTTGCTCTCTCTGTCCCCAGATCACACCTGTCCTGAGCCTTTAGTGAACAGGGTGTATTACAGGTTTGAGGTCTTGGGGTTCTGGGTCCCTAGTGGAGGAGATGCTGGAGGCTGTACTTTGCTAAGACCCAACCCAGAGGGCTCTGCAGTGCACACTCACCCGTGACGCCCACAGCAGACACTGGGCCCACGCGCCGCCCCTCGTGGAGGCCGTACAGGTGCATCTTGTACTTGCGCCCAGGCTCCAGGCCCCCCACGGTGACTTCACTCTCCTCGCCCCCAACACGCACCACCTGGGGCCGCCCGTCCCTGTCCTTGTACTGCACGGTGAAGGAGTCGAAGCGGCCCTGGGGGACGGTCCAGGAGAGGCTCAGCGAGTCAGGGGAGGATCCTGTCACTGTTAGCTCCCCCAGGAGCGGCTCCTCAGCGGGCTCCGGGGCCTCCATGCTGGGTTCTGTGGGGCTGGGGGTCTCTTCCTCTGCAGCTGAGAAGGAGGAAGAGAGAGTGAGGGGGATGTCCTTGGGTACTGGGGAAAAGGAGGGAGAAGCCAAGGCTATGACTGGGGGACCCGAGGTCAGTTCAGAGAGGCCTACTCTTGGGGCTGGGTGGTCCTGCTCAGCTGACAGCTAACACACATGACAAGTTCCAGGGTCAGCTGTGGGGGACCTGGGACAGCCACCAGCACAGCAAAATTCCCGATGGCCCCTCTCTGTTCAGGAGGAGCCAGTGGTCAACCTCACAGGAAGGCCCAAGGGGAGCCCCAGCCCCAGCCACAAGCAGGTCTGTGGTGCTGACCAGACCCTTGTCCCATTCCCCACCAGTCATCACCAAAGAGCAAGAGGGTGACCCTCCCATGGCTCCCACCCTGGGGCTCCCATCATCCACTCACCTGTCACCCCGACGACAGACACAGGGCCCATGCGCTGGCCACCGTGGAAGCCGTACAGGTTCATCTTGTATTTATGGTCTGGCTCCAGGCCCGAGATGGTGACCCCTTCCTCGTGCCCTGGCACCCTCACTGCCTTGGGCTGCCCATCTCCATTCCTGTACTGGACCAGGAAGTGGTCAAACTGTCCCTCGGGAACTGTCCAGGACAGGCTGAGGGAGTCAGGGGTGGCATCTGTCACGGTCAGCTCCCCCAGGCGAGGCTTGATGGGGGGCTCGGGGGTTGCGGTGGGAGGTTCTGAAGGCTTCTCCTCCTCCGGGACTGGACAGAGACATGGAAAGAGAGGACTGAGGTGGGCAGGGTATCCGCGGGACTCTGCTGTCCTCTGGACTCTCCCAGCCATCTGAAAGGAGGCATAGTGGGCAGAGTTCTCACCTGTCAGGGCCTCGACATGGACAGGACCTACATGCTTCCCATCACTGAAACCATACAGGGTCACCAGGTATCTGTGGTCGGATTCCAGGCCAGAGAGGGTGATGTCATTCCGGTCACCTCCTATGCGGACCATTTGGAGTTGCCCGTCTCTATCTGTGTACTGGATTTCGAAGGAGTCAAATTCTCCCTCAGTCACCATCCAGGAGAGATGCAGGGTGTGTGACGTGGCCTCCTCCACTGTCAACTCCCCGAGGTGGGGCTCAGGCGCTGGAGGGGTCGGGGCCGTGGTCTCAGTTTCCGTTTCTTCCCTGCCGGCTGGTTCACAGAGACAGGTAGAGACAGATGGCTGGTGTGTCGCTGCACCCAGACTCTCAGGAGGAGTGAGGGAGGAGAGGGAGTGAGGGCAAGCAGTCAGCAATCGAAAGACCAGCTTTTGCTGCACATGGGTGAATTTCAAAAGCATTGTGCTAATTGCAAGAAATGAAACACAAGAGACTGCGTATTGTGATTCCATTACATGGAGAGTCAAAATGCTGTCTCCAGGATGATCGAAAGCAGACAGTGGTTGCTGGAGGCTGGGACTGGGGCAACTGACTCTAAAGGGGCACAAGGAAACTTTCTGGATCAATGGAAATGATATAAAATGGGAAGCTCAGAGATCTTATGGCTCAGTCAGACCAGGAGAGCCAGGCGGGAAGGAGGCACAGGTGTTCCAGCTGCCGCACACTCACCAGTAATGGCGACGGCCGAGATGGGGCCCACACGCTTGCCGTGGTGCAGCCCGTAGAGCAGCAGCTTGTACCTGTGGGCAGGGTCCAGGCCCGGCACGCTGACCTCCCTGAGGCTGCCCTCCACGGGCACCACCTGGGGCTGCCCGTCCCTGTCTTTGTACTGGACCACAAAGGAGTCAAACTGGCCCTCAGGGACTGTCCAGGAGAGGCCCACGGAGTTCTGGGTCACGGTGGTCACCTGCAGCTCCTCCCCCAGACGGGGTTTTGGGGGACGCTTTGTTCCAGTATCATCCATAGCACTCCGGGCTTCTGAGATGGAGACACGGAGAGGAAACGGCTGAGCTGTTTCTGGAAGACTGGGTGACCTCGACGGGCAGGATTGAGAGGTCTGGAGACAGGGCTTTGCGTGGCTGAGTCCTGCCGGGCTGTGCTAGGGGCTTGTGCAGGGACGTGGGGAGCTGGATCTGAGCCGAGTGGCTGGGGCCAAATAATGGTAATGGCAGCCACCACAAGTGACCGTCTGCTGCTTGGCCTGAGGGGAGCAGAGCAGGGACCTGCAGGGAATGCCCCTCACCCGTGGTGCCGTCGGCAGTGAGAGGGCCATGGCGCTTCTTGCCCAGGAGGCCATAGAGGAGGAATCTGTACTTGCGGCCGGCATCCAGAGGGGTGACAGTGACAGAGCGCTCATGGCCCTCCACGGGCACCACCTGGGGCCCGTCTTTGTCCTTGAACTGGACCACAAAAGAGTCGAACTGGCCCTCAGGAACCGTCCAGGAGAGGCGCAGTGAGTCTGGGGTGGGGTCTGTCACCCACAGCTCCCCAAGGCGGGGTGGGGCCCCTGGGCTGGCGTCACCTCGGGCAACTGGAGAGGAAAGGTTCTTGTGTTTATTTTTTCCAAAACGACTCCTTGACTGCCTCCCTCTGGGGCTGGAAAAACCCAGAACTGCCCAAATGCTCAGTGCTTCCCCAAAATATTTCCATCACCTCCCATCCTCACCACCATCTCCGTCTGGTCCATGCCTCTCTCCCCTTGACCCAAGTGGGGAGGGTCACCTGTCCTGAGTCACCTCCAGGAAAAGAGATTCCCTAGCTCCCTGCCTCATCTTACTCCCCTTTCTGTCCAGCCTCTTTCCGCCTCTCACAGACTGCTTCCCCAGCAGGGTGCAGCTTCTTACAGACTGGGTCTCTATCTCCTCTTACCCAGGAGCACACGATTTGGCCGTGATTTGGCCGGCCCCTGAGGAAAGGGGTGATTTGGCCGGCCCCGAGGAGCGCAGGATCCCTGATGGGGGCACTCGGCAGGTCAGGGAGGCAGGATGTTACGACACAGGTAGTTCTCACCCTTCTCCGTTCCCTTTCTTATTCTGCACCGGCTGGCCCGGGAGAACTAAGGCTCCCACTGGGCCTGGTGAAGGAGCGTGGGCTGCCTGTGAGAATGTTGAGGGGGATGATGCCGGGGAGCTCAGGCAGGGAAGGGATCTGGTGTCTGCCTGAGGAGCCATCCCAGGGCTTGAGAAGGAGCTGGCCTGCTGCCTTCCTGGACGGTGAGGACGCTGACGACATTGTTATTGCAAGTTTTCTGGCAATAGGGAGCCCCCAGGGGCAGGGGAGGGCTTGGACTGAACCCTCGGAAAGGGGCACAGCTGGGCTGGGCTCCTCTGGTTCCCAATTTCTGAGACTTCAGGAGGAGGGCAGAGAAGGAAGGGCAGCCTCTGTAGGAGGCACATATGGGCCCAGACAGGCCTGAGCTAGGAGGGTGAGAACCTGGGTGAGAGTCACAGGGGAGACAACAAAGACTCTCAGGAGGTGATGGATTCGCAAGGCAGGAAGGGTTCCTGGCTCCCCTCGCCCCTTCTCCCAGCACCCCCAGGCTCCCACATCCACCCTGCAGGAAGAGGCCTGTAGGGGCTTCCCTCATCCAACAAAAGTGGAAATTACGAGAAGAGAGGCAGAGTCAGCAGGGGACAGCAGACCCAGGAACTGGCCCCACTCTCCTGGTCCTCATCTGCTTTGCGGCTTTTCTTTCTTTTTTTTTTTTTTTGGTCTTTTTTGAGACGGAGTCTGGCTCTATCACCCAGGCTGGAGTGCAGTGGCGCAATCTCAGCTCCCTGCAGCCTCCACCTCCTGGGTTCAAGTGATTCTTGTGCCTCAGACTCCCGAGTAGCTGGAATTACTAGCACCCATCACCACACCCAGCTAATTTTTGTCTTTTTAGTAGAGACAGGGTTTTGCCATGTTGGCCAGACTGGTCTCAAACTCCTGACCTGCCTTGGACTCCCAAAGTGCTGGGATTACAGGCATGAGTCACTGTGCTAGCCCCATGTGGCTTTTCAAATGAGACAGAGCAGGTGGACAAAGGGAAGACTCAGCAGAGGGAGTGAAGAGAAGGGTGGGAAGGCTGTGGCCTCAGGCTCAGCTGTGTAGGGGCCCATCTCACCCGTCTTTGCCTCCACAGAGACTGGGCTGCGTCGTTTCCCATCCTGGATCCCAAAGAGCAGGAACTTGTACTTGCGGGAGGGTTCCAGGTCAGGGATAGTGACCTCCCGCTGATCTGCAGCCACGGGCACCACCTGGGGCTGCCCGTCCCTGTCCTTGTACTGAACCACAAAGGAGTCGAATTCACCCTCAGGGACTGTCCATGAGAGGCCCACAGAGTCAGGGGTTATATCCGTCACTGTCAGCTCCCCTAGGCGTGGCTCCAGGGGAGGCTTGGAGGCCTCTGTGGCTGGGGCTGGTGGGAGGGGAGCTGGGATTTGGGAAGACAAAGAACATGGTTGAGATCTCTGAGGGGAGAACCCCTGGGCTTTGAGGGCCTCAGGGGGGCTGTGAACTGAGATGGGGAATAGTTACACCTTTACTTCCAGACCTCTAACTGAAATGCAGCATTTCTTTCCAAAACTAATATAGAAAACCCACCAGAGTAGAATTATTGTGACTTTGTTACCAATAGAAACCACAGATGTTTTCATGTCACCTTAGAGTTATTGCAGAAACTTTAAAATACCTTTTATATCCATCACTGCTTCTAAATTTTGTAGTTTAGTAAACGCGCCACCAAGTCCTGTTATTTAATGAACTAGTAAATAAGTCCAAGTATTACTAAATCGTAACTTTGGATTTTTAAGAAATATTTTGGGCCGGGTGCAGTGGCTCATGCCAGGCCGAGGCGGGTGGATCACCTGAGGTCAGGAGTTTGAGGCCAGCCTGGCCAACATGGCGAAACCCTGTTTCTACTAAAAATACAAAAAATTAGCTGGGTGTGGTGGCACGTGCCCGTAATCCCAGTTACTCGGGAGGCTGAGGCAGGAGAATTGCTTGAACTTGGGAAGCGGAGGTTGCAGTGAGCCGAGATCGCGCCATTGCACTCCAGCCTGGATGACAAGAGCAAAACTCCATCTCAAAAATAAAAAAGAAATATTTTGATAACTGTCTATAAATATAATGTTTCCTTTGTAATCCTATACAGCTTATTTTACAGATTTAAAAACATTGCCTTCAGGTGGGGTAGGGGTTTCACCAGATGCCACAGCACAACAATCATGGAGAACCTGTGCCCAGGAAGCCATGAGGGGCAGGAAGGAGCCCAGAGCAAGAGTGAGGCAGCCTCCTGGAGAGATGAAAACTCTCCAGGGCTGGGATGGAATGCAGTGCAGGCAGGTGGCAGAGGACTCCTGAGAAGGGACTCAGGATGTAAAGCACTTCGCCTCAACAAAAAAGGGCAGAAGCAGGAGGTGGCAGCTGTGTCCAAGTCACAGCAGGGTTGTAAAGAGAAGGGGTGGAAACAGCTGTGGGCAGTCGGAGAGGGGGAGAGAAAGTCTGTGGCTGGATTTAGGCCAAATGGAAATAAGACATTCCCCTGGGCGGGGGGCAGAGTGGAGATGGGGAAGGAGCTGGAGGGCTGAGAAGGCTCTAGCCCTGGGAGGAGTAAAGGGGTCAGGGAACAGAAAGACTGGCAGGGTCACCGAGCCAGGGCCTGAGGGGATCTAGCCCCTCAGTGAGGGTGCGGTGGTACCAAGGCAGGGCTGGAAGAAGGGCCATGGGGTGGGGGAGCTCTGGGTAACCAGAGATGAGGACTGAGTCCCCCCATTACTCACCCGTCACGATGACCACAGACAGGGGGCCCATGCGTTGCCCATCATGTAGTCCATACATGTTCATCTTATATTTTCTCTCAGGCTCCAGGTTGTAGACTGTGACCTCTCGCTGGTCTGCCGCCACCGGCACCACCTGGGGCTGCCCGTCCTTGTCCTTGTACTGGACTATGAAGGAGTCAAACTGGCCCTCGGGGACTGTCCAGGAGAGGCCCACAGAGTTGGGGGTCACATCTGTCACTGTCAGCTCTCCTAGGCGTGGCTCCAGCGGGGACTCAGTGGCTGGAGGGGTCTCTTCTTGTTGTGGGGCTGGGACAGAGATGGTAGGGGGCTGTTAGTAAAGAATCCCCCTTTTCTTATAGTAATGATGTCTAGTTATTTATTTTTTATTTTTTATTTTTGAGATGGAGTCTCGCTGTCACCCAGAGCAGTGGGCGACCTCGGCTCACTGCAGCCTCTGCCTCCCGGGTTCAAGCGATCCTCCTGCCTTAGCCTCCCAAGTAGCTGGGACTACAGGCGTGCGCCACCATGCCTGCCTAATTTTGTGTGTGTGTGTATTTTTAGTGGAGACGGCATTTGCCATGTTGGCCAGGCTGGTCTCAAACCCCTGACCTCAGGTGATCCACCTGCCTCAGCCCCCAAAGTGCTGGGATTACAGGTGTGAGCCACCACACCCAGCGATGTCTGTTGCATTTGTGGAACCCGCATGATGGTTTTGATGTAAAAGCGCATTGATCTGAACATCTGTCTGGTCAACAGTCCTTCACTAGGTCCCTGCTCGGTGTCTGAGGCTGCATTTGTTGGGGGAGAAGAGTATCAACCATCACTGACACCCTGGGAGAGCGCTGAAATTCCATCTATATGCCAATGACTCCAGATTTACACCCTCTGTCCAGACCTCTCCTGAACCCCAGACTAGTGTTCGTGCAACGTCTTCCTTGGAGGCCTACTTGTGTGTCAAACTCAACAAGTCCAAAACTGAGCCTCTGAGCTTCCTGACACCTGCTCCCGCCACAGCCTCCCCACCTCAGTAAGATTACAACTTTTTTTTTTTGAGACGGAGTTTCGCTGTTGTTGCTCAGGCTGGTGTGCGATGGCGCCCTCTCGGCTCACCGCAACCTACGCCTCCTGGGTTCAAGCGATTCTCCTGCCTTAGCCTCCTGAGTAGCTGGGATTACAGGCATGTGCCACCACGTCCGGCTAATTTTGTATTTTCAGTAGAGATGGGGTTTCTCCACGTTAGTCAGGTTGGTCTTGAACTCCCGACCTCAGGTGATCCGCCCGCCTCGGCCTCCCCAAGTGCTGGGATTACAGGCATGATCCTCCACGCCTGACCAGGATTACAACTTCATTCTTCCAGCTGCTCAGATCTAAACCGCCAGAGTCATCCCCGAGTCCTCTCTTAAACTCCACATCCGCCCTGTGGGTATCCGCCTGTTGTCACTACCTTCAGAGTCTGACCCCTCCTTGCCACCTCCAAGCACCACTGGCTCCTCCTGGATTATCACAACATTCTCTCAGGTCATCGCCTTCTGCCCTCACCCCCCTTTAGTCTGTTGGGTCTGCAGCCAGAAGGATCCTGTTAACACATTAGCCAGAGCTGGTTCCCGCAGTGGCTTCTACCTCACTCAGGGTGAAATCCAAGTCCTGCACTGGCCTCTGAGGTCCCATATTCATCTCTTAGATCATTCCCTATTGCCTGCCCTCCTCCAACTCCACCACAAAACATACTGCATTCCTCACTGTCTGCAGACATCTGGGGCTGCTTCTCGCCTGCCAGTCTCTGCATTTGCTCTTCCTTCTGTCTGGGATGCTCTTTCCCCAAAGGCCTAGGTGGCTGTCCTCTCACCTCCTTCAGGGCTTTCCTCAGACACTGCCCTCGCAGTGAGGCCCTTGCTGTCTCCCTACTAGGCTCTGCTTTTCCCCACCACTCATCACTGTCACATCCGGTGCCACTGACATATTTGTGCAATTTGTTGCCTGTCCCTCTCCACTAGAATGTGAGCTCCTCAGGCAGGAGCTCTGCTTTATTCACTGCTGTGTCCCAGTCCCTGGCACACAGTAGGTGCTCCACAGATGTCTGTAAAATAATGAGTGGTCTACAGGTCTGGGCTCAGGACCTGCAGATCCCCACCACTCCCGCATGAGGAAGCACTCATTAGTGAGCAAACTAGAAGGTGGTCCCAAGAGGCAAAATGGCAGAGAAGGTGGCTGGATGGGTGGGGCTCCCAAGAACTTGTTTCTCTGGCTTCCTCCGGAGGGCAAGACAAGGCTCCAAGCAAGTGACAACTGCTTAAAACAGGCTGGTGACCAGGCCTCGGGCAGACAGAAATGAGTCAGGCTGGGGAGGGCAGGCATGGAGGCAGCTGAGGTGGTGGGAGGGAGCAGAGTGACCACCAAGTATTGAACATCTACTATGTACAGGTACCAGGCTGGGCATTTTCTCTCATTTCATTTGCCTTCTAACCTTACTTGTTCCTGCAGCACCCATTCCCTGCTCCTTTTTGCCCTCTCTGCACTTCTTTCCATGAGGGAATGAAAATGTCCTTCACCATCAAGCTTTATTGCTGGTGGTTTGGATTAACTGGAAAGGTACAATTATAACGATTCATGACTCTGGCAGTCCCCATGCTGCATGTGGGACAGTCCTTTTCCAATTTAGAAGTGTGTCTAATGAGCTCCACGCACCTCTCCCCCTGGCAACTGCACTGTGTGTGCTGCCAGACACAGCCCCCAGCTTGGCGGACTCCAGCTGCTTCGTCCTTTTGCTGCTCTGATAATGCGCACTGATGCCCATTTCTTTCCTAAAGGGCCTCATCTATTTTATCCAGGACGTGTAAAATACATGTTTCAAAATATCCAGCATTAGAACATGGATATACAGGGATTCCCTCACGGGAAGGTCTGAGCAAAAGATGAATGAGCTGAGAAGATGCCAGACATGTTACATCACCACCTTTAACCGTGACAACAAGCTGGGCAGCGTTTACTCCCTCCTGAATATGAGGAAGCTGAGGTTCCAGGAGAGGAGGTAAGTTTTTCAAGATCATACAGCTGGCTGGGCACGGTGCCTCACGCCTGTAATCCCAGCACTTTGGGAGGCCAAGGCGGGTGGATCATCTGAGGTCAGAAGTTCGAGACCAGCCTGGCTAACATGGTGAAACCCTGTCTCTACTAAAAATACAAAAATTAGCCGGGTGTGGTGGTGGGCGCCTGTAATCCCAGCTACTTGGGGGGCTGAGGCAGGAGGACTGCTTGAACCTGGGAGCCAGAGGTTGCAGTGAGCTGAGATCATGCCACTGCACTCCAGCCTGGGTGACAAAGCAAGACTCTGTCTCAAAAAAATAATAATAAAATAAAAAAATAAAAATCATACAGCTGAGAACAGAGGAAGACAGGAAGGAACTCAGTTTGTCAGATTCCCAAACTCCATTTATCTCTACTGCACCGACTTGGTCAGTGCCTGACAGAGCCCATCCTTACCCCAGGGACCAGGCACAGGGCCTCACAGAGCCCAGTGTGGGTCCCTGGGACAGAGCGGCAGAGGGAGGGTCACTCCAGGAGCAGACTTGGCAGCATGTCTGGGCCTGGCACCAGCCTCCACCCTACAACCTCAGGCCCCAAGGACAGCCACTCAGGGTGGCTTTGCCGTCTCCCTCTTCTCAGGGCTGACTGAGGCAAAGAAAATAAATTGAGGGTGGAAGGTTCTGGAAATGAAATCAACCAAGTCATGATGAGGCTGAGCTTGGTGGAATTACAGAAACCATGTTCTGGAAAACTATCTATTTCTCTACTTTTAATTTTTTAATCTTTCCCCTTATAGTAAAAGTTATTTTTGAGAAAGGTGTGTCTTTGTTTCTGTGAGCAAAGGAAAAAAGAGATTCCCCTCACTGTGACTAAACCGGGCAGGTCAGCCCGAGGGTCCCAGAGGCACTGCTGTCCACTCAGCCTCTTGGGCTGAGGCCCTGGAGAGGAGGTGCCCAGGCTGGTCCTGTGTGGTGGTGGATGTGGCCCTGTAACCAGGCCTGAGAGAAAGGGTGGAAGGGATGTTCTTCTTTGCTGTAAAGTCACTCACTGGATGAGTATTAAAGAAAGCCTTGTGGCCGGGCGTGGTGGCTTATGCCTATAATCCCAGCACTTTGGAAGGCCAAGGCGGGTGGATCACTTGAGGTCAAGAGTTTGAGACCAGCCTGGCTGACATGGTAAAACCCCATCTCTATTAAAAATACAAAAATTAGCCAGGTGTGGTGGTGCATGCCTGTAATCCCAGCTACTCGGGAGGCTGAGGCAGGAGAATCACTTGAACCTGGGAGGCAAAGGTTGCAGTGAGCCAAGATTGCACCACTGCATTCCAGCCTGGGCAACAGAGCTCAAAAAACAGAAAGAAAGGAAAAAAAGAAAGAAAGAGAGAGAGAGAGACAGAAAGAAAGAGAAAGAAAGAAAGAAAGAAAGAAAGAAAGAAAGAAAGAAAGAAAGAAAGAAAGAAAGAAAAAGAGAGAAAGAAGAAAGAGAAAGCTTTGTGGTCAGGCGTGGTGGCTCACGCCTGTAATACCAGAACTTTGGGAGGCCGAGGCAGGTGGCTCACTTGAGGATCTGGAGTTTGAGACCAGCCTGGCCAACACGGTGAACCCCGTCTCTACTAAAAATACAAAAAAGTAACCAGGTGTGGTGGCACGCATCTGTAGTCCCAGCTATTTGGGAGGCTGAGGCAGGAGAATCACTTGAACTTGGGAGGCAGAGGTTGCAGTGAGCTGAGATCGCACCACTGCACTCCAGGCTGGGCAACAGAGTGAGACTCTGTCTCAAAAAAAAAAAAAAAAAAAAAAAGACAAGAAAGAAAAGAAAGCTTGCTTCAAGCTGTACTGATGAAGAGGCCAATGTCTCACGCGCATTCTCCCATCCAAGTACTAACCAGACCTGACCCTGCTTAGCTTCTGAGATCAGAGGAGATGATAGGACACCTTCAGGGTGGTATGGCCTTAGATTCATGTGCATTCTGACCAAGTAACTGAACCAGCCAAAGGGGACAAAGCAGACCTCAGAGTAAGAATATTTATAACAATTCTCACAGCAGACACTGGCAGCATATTTACTTTTGCCAGGCCCATTCTTGATGCTTTACATCTGTTAACTCACTTAACCCTCACAATAACTCTGTGAGGTAGGTGTCCCCATTTTACGGACAAGGAAACAGAGGTGCAGAAAGTTTAAAACTTGCTCAGGGCCATGAAAGCTGGTGGTACGCCAGTCCCCAGTGACATGCTCTTTCTAGGTCTTCCCCTGGCAGGCAGCCTCAAGGTTCCACTGGAGCAAGGAGAGCAACTGGCTACAGGGAAGCTGGGAGCCAGCAGTGGGAGGGAACCAAAGCAGGCCCCTGCCCCTCACTCACCTGTCACGCCCACGGCGGACACCGGGCCCACGCGCTGCCCCTCGTGGAGGCCGTACAGGTGCATCTTGTACTTGTGCCCGGGCTCTAGGCCTCCCACGGTGACCTCACTCTCCTTGCCCCCAACACGCACCGCCCGGGGCCGCCCATCCCTGTCCTTGTACTGCACGGTGAAAGAGTCGAAGCTGCCCTGGGGGACGGTCCAGAAGAGGCTCAGCGAATCAGGGGAGGATCCTGTCACTGTCAGCTCCCCCAGGAGCGGCTCCTCGGGGGACTCCGGGGCCTCCGTGCCCAGTTCTGTGGGGCTGGGGGTCTCGTCCACATCCTCCTGAGGAGCTGAGAGAAGAGATAGAGGCATAAAGGGCTGCTGGCTTTGCTGCTGCTGCCCACAGATGACAGCCATGGAAATGCCCTTACGCTGTGGGCTCAGGGGCTCTGTAGCCTTTGTATTTGCCATTCGGTCACTCACGGATGGAGAAGGCTGAGACAGCCCTTGCCCCATCCTGCTCTGGTGGGTTCTGTGGGGGTGAGGGGTCTCCCTTCGTGTCTGAGAAAGGAGCTGAGATGGGAAGAGAGGAAGCCTCTGAGGGTTCTTCCAAACCACGTTCACTGACAGTGCTGACCTCAGACAGTGAGGAGGGCAGTGAGGCCTCTTCCTACCTGTGCCCTCCCCAGGGCACTCTGGCTGCCCCACCCCTCATATGAGGATCTGACCATGGAATGTGCTCTTGCTGTGGCCTCCCCAGGCAGCCCTGCCCCTCCCTCCCCTTTAACCCCAAGGAATGAATTGCTAAGGCAGGGCTCCAGGCATGAGTGGGAGAAAAATTCTGGGGTGAGTGGGATCCAAGGAGAGACATGTCCTTCCCTGGCTGGCTCTGGAATCACAGCCCTGTGGGCACCTACCCGCCCCCTACAGTTAGGTCTCTGCTGAGGCTCCATGGAGTGGGGAGACTGTGGCACAAGGGAAACCAGCCCTTCTGTGACCTGCTACATGGGGGACTACTTTGGGATAGCAGATTGAGGAAAGAATTGGCAAGAATGACAACCCAGAGGAAGGGAGGGAGGTGGGGAGCAAAAAAGATTACTGGGAAGTGAGAGAGTCAGGGAGAAATTGCAGCTCACTCTGAAAATGCTTTGCTGCTCCAAGCACTATTCTAAGTGTGTGGGCTTTTTTTGTTTTTGTTTTTGTTTTTTTTTTTGAGATGGAGTCTCACTCTGTCGCCCAGGCTGGAATGCAGTGGCGCGATCTCGGCTCACTGCAAGCTCCGCCTCCCGGGTTCACGCCATTCTCCTGCCTCATCCTCTTGAGTAGCTGGGACTACAGGCACCTGCCACCATGCCTGGCTAATTTTTTGTATTTTTAGTGGAGACACGGTTTCACCGTGTTAGCCAGGATGGTCTCGATCTCCTGACCTCGTGATCCACCCGCCTTGGCCTCCCAAAATGCTGGGATTACAGGCATGAGCCACTGTGCCTGGCCTTTCTAAGTGTTATACATATATTAACTCATGTAATTCCAACAGCTCTGTGCAGAGGGACTGAAATCCAGCCACCTGACAGAAGGGAAAGCTGAGGCACAGAGAGGTTAAGCAATTTGCACAAGGTCCTACAGGAAGTAAGTTGCAAGGCTGGTAGTGAGACTCGGGCAGTTGGCTCCGGAGTCTTTGCTCCTAACCACTATCCACACTATCTCTCATCAAATAATTCACAGGCCAGGGGAATGGCACTGGACAGGGAAAGGCTGGGGACATGGAGGAACAGGCTGGGATGCTGGGCTGAACACAATCCCTTTGCCCTGTTCCAAGGGGGCTGGGAGTCAAGGAGTCGGGAGCTGAGAGGAGTCCTCTTCATGCTGCAAAAAGGCTAGAGAAACGTGGTGCTCTTGTCACTTGGATCTGCCACCTCTGAACACAGCAGAAATGGCAGGAGGTTGTGGGCAGCAGGTGACAGAAGCCCAGAAGTGACCATGGCCCAAACCAGACCATGAAGGAGCCCAGTAAAAACTGAGGGGTGAGAACACAGTGACCGAATGGTGAGGACATCTGTGGGGAGGACAGCCCCAGGTGGAAGGATGAGTCCAGGTGTTTGGAATGGGGGAAAATAGGACCTGCCCTTGGAGATGAAGAAGTGAGGCTGAGGAAGAGATGAGGAGGTGGAGGCTGGATGAGGGGGACCTGGCATGCAGAGGACAGGAGAGCAGTGCGGGAGGAAGTGGGTGGAGGCTTTGGCAAAATGAGCTGAGAAGGCGAAGATGGAGGGAGGCTGGAAGGAGCCCCAGCCAAGTCCCGCTCACAGGATGGGGCTAGCAGGGGAGGGAGGCCTGGCAGCCATGACTCACCAGTCTTGGCCACCACAGACTCGGGCCCCACACGCTGCCTGCCACGAAGCCCGTAGAGGTTCATCTTATACTTCCGGTCGGGATCCAGGCCGGGGACAGTAACCTCATTCTCATCCCCCGCAACAGGCACTGCCTGGGGCTGCCCCTGTGCATCCTTGTACTGGACCATGAATGAGTCGAAGGGGCCCTGGGCCACTGTCCATGAGAGACGCAAGGAGTCTGGGGTCACGCCGGTCACTGTCAGTTCCCCCAGGAGGGGCTGCTCCAGGAACTCAGGGCGGGGGGGCTCCTCTTTCCTCTCTGGAGCTGTAAACAAGGAGATCCAGCCAGGTGCTGAACTGGCAGCCTGGGACTGGGGCTTGGGGTTTCGACGGGATGTCACACCTATGGGGGGTGGGGGGTCACTAGTCCATTAATTCGAGTGCTAAACTTCTGGGAAGCCTGACACAGCCAGGGTATGACACACCTTCTGGGCCACGGGGAGCTGCTGCTTGGGATGGAAGGGGCCCAGCAGTGCGGGGGAGTCTGGCTGCCCCTCAGCCCTGGAGTGGGGCCGGGAAGCTGGAGTCAGCTGTCTTGCTGGGGGACCCCAGCTGGTTTTGGGCTGAAGGGAAGTGTGCATGGGGCTGAGAAGGGGTCACATGGGGGCTGAGGTGGCTGCTACTCACCAGTGGTGCCATCGGCCGTGAGGGGGCCATACCGCTTCTTGTTCGCAATTCCAAACAGAGTGAATCTGTACTTGTGGTCAGGGTCCAGTGAGGAGACAACAAATGAACGCTCGGGCCCTTCCACAGGTACCACCTGGGGCCGTCCATCCCTGTCCCTGTACTGGACCATGAAGGTGTCAAACTGGCCCTCAGGGACAGTCCAGGAGAGGTGCAGTGAATCTGGGGTAGGGTCTGTCACCCACAGGTTTCCCAGGTGGGGTGGAGTCCCTGGACTTGGGTCACTCTGAGGCACTAGGAAGAGTGGGTAGAGAGAAGGGAGAGACTTAGGTCCAAGGAGAATGGGGAAGCCAAATCCCACATAGGAATGCTGTGTGAGGCTGTGCAGGTTGTTCACTGCACAAAAGTGCATTTGCTGAGGGAGTACAGAGGGACTGAAATCCAGCCAGCACTCTGCTTGCCGAGCTGTGTGCCCTGGTGAGGAGTGGTGTCCACTTTAAGGAATGGGTGCCTTCTTTCAAACGGCATGGAAGCACTGCGTGGACTAGTGTGGCTCTGCCTCCAACCACAAACCAGAGCAGCAGGGAGCTTCAGAAAGAGGGGAGCCCAGCCAGGCCCTTTCACATCTCCATAGCCAGGGAAATCTTCCCAGTACAACCTCCACTGCTTCCAAGCCTAACTACTAGCTGGCTTCTTCTCCAAGAGAGGAGAGCACAATCCTTGAAGCGTTTTAACGTGGGACAGCCTCCCTCATCTATGCTGCAGGCCTCTCCTCCTCTTTGGGAACTTTGACCCATGGATGGACTCCCTCGCCTGCAGCACTGACCCTTCACTCCCCAGCAGCTGTGCCATCAGCATTTCAACAAGCTACTGTCACACCCCTCCTCACCCCCACTCTGTGTGCATCTCTCTCTAGCCTCCATCTTCCCTCTTTGCTCTCATTCCCAGCCCAGATTCCAGAAAGTGATGTCTACACTGATTGCAGCCATGTCCTCACCTCCACCACCCTCCCGATCCAGCTCCACCCCTCCACCAGGCAGCAGCTCTCATGCAGGCCAGGGGTGGCCTTGCCATTGCTAAATTCTGTGGACGCTCCGTAGCCCTTGAATCACTGTTCCGGAATCTGACAAGTCCAACCGCACCCTCCTTCCTGGAGTCCAGACAGCACCCTCCCTGGTTCTGCCCCTCCCTGCAAGTCACTCCGCAAGCTACCCTGTGGGCTCTTCTTCCTCTGCCTCCGCTGTGAGTGTAGGCTGTCGACAGGGTTCCAGTGGCCCTGTCTCTTCCCCAACCCCACACGACTACTCTGGTGCCTCAATTCTCCTGACCTATAAAGTAGGCATGCCTCCCAGGTGTGCTTTATGGGGTGTGATGATCCACTTAGAGAACATCTTGATCACAACTGACTCTCAATAAATGCACAAAAGGTATTTATGTAAGTGTCTCTTAGATATTGATCTAAGTTTATCTAAGGCGTTGTTCCCCACCTCTGCTGCTCCCTGCCTCAGGGAATGGGACTGTCTCATCCAGAACCCTGGGGGCTGCCTGGTACACCTTGCTTTCCTTCGCCTCCCCCATCCAGCCCCACTGCCACCATCCCAGCTGACCCATCATCATTTTTCTTTTTTTTGAGACAGGGTGTTGCTCTGTGCAGAGTGTGGATAGCACCCAGGCTGGAGTACAGTGGCACAATCATGGCTCTCTGCAGCCTCGGTCTCCTGGGCTCAAGCGATCCTCCCACCTCAAGCCTCTCAAGTAGCTGGGACTACAGGCACGCACCACCACGCCTGGCTAATATCTTTTGTTATAGTAGAGATGGGGGGTCTCACTATGTTGCCAGGTTGGTCTCAAACTCCTAGCCTCAAGCGATCCTCCTGCCTTGGCCTCCCAAGGTGCTGGGATTATAGGCAGGATCAACCCTGCTAGCCTTTACCAGCTCTTAACTCACTTCTCCAGCTAGTCTCAGCAGCCACCCGGTTATTTGCAAGATAAATATCTAGTCTCATCACTCTCCCACTTTACCCTTCAGAGGCCCTCTAGGGGCCTTCGAATGAGGCCCAAGCCCCTCAGCACAGCACAGGAAGCCCTGAGACCAGGCCCTTTGGCACCCCCCACATGCCCTGTTCTCCAGCCAGAGGAAACTGTAACAGTGATTCTCTTACTGGCCATGCTCTCCCCACCTTACTCACCGTGACTCCCTCAGGCTGCACTGAGCTTCTCAAACTCTTTGCCTGCCCCACCACTACTTTCCCTTCAGAATTCAGCTCATGCACCACTGCCTCCAGGAAGCCTTCCCGGAGCTCCCAAAGCAGGTTCCCAAAGCACTGAGAAAACCTCTTCAGGGCAGTACAGAGGGCAGGGTGTTACTGCTGTCACTCACAGATCTTGGCTTCAGCCACCAGCGGACCATGCCTCTTCTTGCCAACAAACCCATACAGGACAAATTTGTACTTGCGGCCAGGATCCAGGGAGGTGATGACGGCCGAGCGCTGGGGTCCTTCCACGGGCACCACCTGGGGCTGCCCGTCCCTGTCTTTGTACTGGATCACGAAGGAGTCAAACTCGCCCTCGGGGACCGTCCAGCGCAGGAGCAAGGAGTCGGAGGTCCTGTCTGTCACCGTCAGCTCACCCAGGCGTGGTGGGCCTGAGGACTTCCCAGGCTTCTCCTCATCCTTGTCTGGAGTTTGAGAGGCAAAAGCAAAGCATAGTGGACTCAACCGTTCTCTTGTCTGTGTCTCCTTCCCTCTCCCCTGCCCACCTCACTCCATCCTGGATAGATCCCTCCCCGGAAGACTCTATCTGCCCACCCCTCAGTGACTAGCTCTTCTGGAAGAGGGGCATTTCCCTCTCAATCTCTGCTTCTTCCCTTGTGACAGTTTCTCCATCCCTCACAAGGTCTTGGTCTCTCTGCACACCAGGATCTTTGCGGGGGTTTCAGGTCCCCCTGGTTCTGAATGAGAGTTTCAAGCCTCCCTGCTGCAGCATCAGAGCAGTCTGAAAGCTCCTCTGCCCACCTGAGCTGCTGTCTCTCTTACCACCCTCTCTTCCAGTGGTGAGCTTGACCTGGAGCTGGGGGATGAGTCAGCCACCCTGGTCCCACAGAGAGGAACAAAGAGGGGATGTGAAAGCCAGGTACCCCAGGACCTGTCTTTCACTGGTCCTGCAAACCTCATCCATGTCTGAAGTCCTGATGGCTGTGGAGCCCCCTGCCCCAAGGAGCCTTCACCCCCAGCAGAAACTGGCTGATGGGACCATGGACTGCTGTCCACTGCAAACCAGGCTCCCAGGGACGAGGTATTGGGGGCTGAGGGTCAGTGTCCAGAGGCCTTCCCATGCCCACCCTGAAAGATTTATAGGGCAGGGAAGGGCAGAGGAGCAACCGAAGAGTGGGGGCAGGGGACAGGGCAAGGAAAGCTGCAGGTGGAGGGCCAGGGACCTTCAGCCTCTCTCCTGGAATCTCTGTCCCACCCTCGGCCTTTTTACCTCTGCCTCTTTCCCCTCTCCCCACCCATCCTTATCATTGTTTTAAGATCCCCCTCGATCCATCTTCCTGCTGAACCTGCAATTCCTTTTCTCTCCTTTTCTCCTCTATCCAGCCCCAAACATCAGCCCTGCCCTTCACTGGCCCCTCAATATCCATCCTACCTCTGAAGTCCCAATAACCCCAGCTCCTCCCCCAATCTCAGGATATTGATCTGAGCAGAGTCCAAGATGTACCCATAATGCCTTGGTAGATGATGGGGTCAGAGGGCTTGCCCCCAGGAGGGACCCCATGAAGTGACAGCTCATACGGGGTTCCAGGAGGGGGTGGAGGCACCAGAGCCTGGCGGACGTCCCCTGGCAGCACTTCCTCATGTGCCCCCGGCCCCTCGGGCACCCGCATGCGCAGTTGGAAGTAGGCAAAGGTGTCAGGCTGGGCGGTCCAGACCACACGGAGGCGCCCTGTCTCATCTCTGCCCAGCACCCTCAACTCTCCCAGCTCCTGGGGGCGCTGCTGCAGGAGAGGAGCCTGGGCCCCTTGCGTCGTCGAGGGGCCTGAGGGAGGAGGCTCATCGGTAGTCCCCAAGAGGCCCAAGGGTGAGGACCCTGGGAAGGGGCAGGGTGAGAAAAAGAGGAGAGTCCAGTATGAGAACTAGAAAGGAATCCCCAGTCCCCAGGTTCTGCCCTCCAGCCTCTAAGAGCCTTGTTCTACTTCTACTTCTGGTTCCCTCACCTGGGCCACTCCCTCCTCCCAAAGGTCAGCCAATCCTCCAAACACCCCCATCTACCACATTCCTGAGCAGACGGGCCTGTGCTTCAGGCAGGTAATAGGTAAAATAAAGCCTGCTATCCTTCACCCCACAAGGCTTCCATGACCTCCAGCCCCCGGAGACTTCCATGTCCCTCCCCACATACATCCCCCCCACTGGGTGGTGGTCAGGTGGCTTCCATTAGTGCTGCAGTGAGAAGCCTGGAAGAAAGACAGTGGTGTTAGAGAGGGAGGATGCAAGAGGAGAGTGGGCAGTGGGAAGAGAGAGAGGGTGTGGGGGTGGACATCCAGGTCAGGTGGCATCTGGGCCCTATGGGGGAAGAAGAGGTCCACCACCCTCCCCACAGCAGCCACAGGGTGCCCTTTCCCCAAGCCCAGACATCGTTCCTGTGGGAGAGACCAGCATAAAGTGAGCCAGGGGGTCTGAAAAGCCAGCTTAAGAAGCAGTGGTTTCACCTCCCCAATATACAGTTGCTGCCTGATGGCACCCAGGCCACCCCCACGCAGTTCTGATGTGTCCCTTCAAGGTCAAGGCCAAATTGTGGAAAACAGTAACCACTAACCACAGTCTTCAGCCACTCTCACCACAGTGAGTCAGAACGGGAATCACTGTTTTCAATTCCCAGCCCACTCAAACTGCTCCAGTGAATCTTTGCAGGTGCCCCAACCACATCACCCTCTATTGCCTAAAATAACAATCCTGGAAGTGTCCCGGGAAACCCCAAAGAAGGCGCTGCCTTGACCTTAGGCATCCACAGGATGGATGCCAGGACCCTGGGGTGGGGACGTCTTCTAGGGACAATGGACTCGTGCTTTGTCCTGGGGGCCCCCTGGAGCCCCGGCCAGGTAGGGCCTGAAGGTAGAAGGGGGCAGTGGGGGGTGGCAGTGGGAGGAATTCATGAATGCAGGCTCCAACGGCAGGTGAGGCTGGACAAGGGATAGGTGTCCCGTGGCCCCAGCCCACACTACCTGTGGTGGTGATGAAGGCGTAGGACTTGGAGGTCTGCCCCGCCCGCACCCCGTGGACCTCCACGTGGTAGGTGGTGCCGGGCCTGAGGTCGGGCAGGCTGACGGTGCGCGTGGTGCCCGGCACAGTCAGCTCACCGCCGGGGCCCTCTGCAGGCGGCTGAGGCCGCCAGCGCAGCACCACGCGCTCGAACTGGCCGCGGAGCCCGTCGAGAGACACGAGAAGCGCGCCATCGGCGGAACTGCCCAGCACCTCTGGCTTGGGGTGGCGGGACGCAGCCACCCGGTCGACGCCTTCAGGCGAGAGGCCGTAGATTCCCTGGTTGGAGTCCCGTTTCCTGGTGCCGGGATCAGGGCTGGCGGTGGGGCGGGGGTGGCGGGGCGGGGGTGCGGGGGAGCCGGCTGGGGCGGCGGCCAACAGACGCCGCTGCAAGTATTCATGGATGTGGCGCGCCACCGACGTGTAAGTCTGGTTGGCCCGCAGTGGGTAGCCGTGAGCCCGCAGGTGGCGCTCCAGGTCCTGCACCGTGCCGCGGAAACGGCTCAGCTCGGCCGTCAGGTTGCCCCAAGGCCGCCGTGGGGGCTGGGACAGGCTTGGCCTGGGCGGGGACTCCTCCTCCCTTTCCTCTGCTGGCCTCGAGGGCCAAGGGGGCCGTGGGGGCCGCGGGGCTGGGGCTGGCCGGGGCCGGGACTTGGGGGGCGGGGCTGGGGGGCGCACCTCCGGGTAACTGTAGTGGCCTGGTGCTGCCAGGGGCAAAAAAGGGGAGAACAGGTCAGTGGCAGCTCCCTCCCGGCACTCCTTCCCGCGGCAGCCCCTCCCTCGATCCCTCCCACCAGAGCCAGAGGCCTCTTCCCTGTGCCCCAGCCCCACCTGGAAAGAGAACGGAGGGAAATCGGTCAGTGTCCCGCAGCCCCCCCATTCCCCTCCAAGCCCACCACTGTTGGTGCCCTAGAAAGAAGAGAGAAGCCCGTGGGTGGGGCCCTGTAGCTGAAGGAGAGAAAGGGGAGTCGGGGAAGAGAACATGAGCTACAGCGAGGTGGGTGTCCCCCTGTCACAGGAAAAGAAAAATATCCAGGTATCTGTTAAGAAACCTCGAGGTTTAGTGGAAAATCACTGCTGTGAGACCCACCTCCCAGCAATCCCAATCCAAAAGTCAACAGGACTGATGATCTCTAATCTGCCTAATTCCAGTCCCACAAGATCTATCAGCACAAGGCCTGTCCCGGTACCTAAATTTAAAAAAGAACCTCCCTTAACTGACTGGATCAGGCAGCATCTCCTATTCACTTCTCTCCCTGGGGCCATTCCTTTCATAGGCTAACCTGTAATAACCTTCCTACAGGACTCCAGGCATCTGAGGGCTCTGTCTCCCCAGTGGCCTCAGGACAGAGCAAGGCCCCCAGCAGGTGCCTCGAGACTGCCACACACCTGCCAGAAGCATTCAGAGGAGTCTGTGAGCCCTGAGCCTGGGCTCCTGAGGAGGAGGATCCAAGGCTGGGAAACCAGGGCCCTTCCCTAACCTCTGGCCAGCCATACCTGTGTTGGCCCTGACAGAAGCTGGGTAGCTGACTGCCCGGCCCCGCTCCGCTGTGACAGTCACCACATATTCTACGCCTGGCATCAGGTCAGTCAGCAGCGTCCCGTCTGCTTCAGGGGGCACTTCCAGCCTCACCCTCTGGTTGCCGGCACTGACGTAGGACACCACAAATCGGTCCACCTCAGCCTGGGGACGCAGCCAGCCAAGCTCCAGTGTTGTCGGTGTCACAGCCACCACTCGGAGGTCCTGGGGCCCATCGATCACTAGCCAGGTTAAAGAGGAGGACTCAGGTGGGTGTCTGGTTCTTCAATCATCATCTTTCCTTCCAAGAGCCTAGCCCCCATCCAGCCCCTTCCTTCTGCCCTCCCGGAGGGCAGATTCCCTCTCTAGTCCAGATCTCCACTCAGGACACCCCTCCCCACAGCCCCAGCTCTCACTGGTGGTGATGGTCTTGGAGGCAGGAAGGCCCCAGCTGGTCCCTCGAAGGGCTCGGACAGTGACCTGGTACTCCTGTCCAGGGGCCAGTCCTCTCTGGTCATAGGCTGAGGCAGAGCTTGGAACCCGTGCTGTGAATGGGGGGCTCGCCCCCTCTGTCTGTGAGAGAGAGCACCAGGTGGCTCAGGGGCTGGCACTCTTGCCTCTGCTGCTCAATCCCCCTTATCTCTTCTTTCTCCAATTCTAAACAGTGTCAGCATGGTACTGTGTGGAACTTGACCCTGTACAAGCTGGGGAGCAAACATGCTGAGAGCGCTAACTCCTTGTGAGCCACTGTTCTAGGCGAGGTACACACATGAACTCACTTAATTCTCACAACAACCCTACGAAACAGGTCCTATTAGTCCCATTTTACAGATAAGGAAACTGAGACACAGAAGGACAAGTATCTTGCCAACGTCACCAACACCAAGAAAATGGCAAGAATTTAGGCCCTAGCAGTGTGATCCCAGAGTCCCCTCTCATGGGCACCCCCTATTTATCTGTCAGAGTCCCCTCTCATGGGCACCCCGTGTTCATCTGCCAGAATTCCACCCAACATGCACCAGGACTCTCCCTCCAGCTTTGCCCTGGCAACTCTGACTACCTGGGCATGAGGAGCCTTTTCCTAAGCTTGGTCCTGTCAGAACAAATGAAGTAGATCAAGGATGCCCCTTCAAGTTGCACTTTCTCCTTAAAGGGTCTGCCTCACCCTGAACCTCCTCGTAGATGCCTGCTCATGGCTGTGTAACAGGAGTGGGACCCGCATCACAACCTTTCCCTTGAGGGACTTTTCTTGTCTCTTCACCCGGGTTGTAGGCTCCTCAAAACAAGAACCACCTGCTCAAAGTTCCACAAATATGTTTCCTGATTGTTGATTTTGTACCTGGCATCATGCTGGGCATTGGAGACACAAAAATAAAATATATGGTCCCTGTCCTCAGGTAGCTGAGACTCTAATAGCTAAATGTATGGCCACATCTTGAATATATGAGATACTTACAACAATCTCTATGCTTAGCAAATGCTTGTGAGAAAACAACACTCCTACAAGTGTACATTTAAGGAATTATGATTATGTGTGGTGCCTCCAAAGGGAATCTACTGGACCCTGCTCCAGGCAGGGTCTCCTGGAATGCCCACCACTGGGGAAACAGGAGGAACTGTACATCTGTGAGCATTCTAACAGCCCCACATTTTGCTGTGCTGTCCAGCTAGGACAGCCGCTAAGGATGCTGTGTTCTGCCTAGCTATGTTGGCTGTGATGGGGACACCTCCATTCAGCCAAGTAGGATTGGAAATTTCAAAAGGTACTCTCCTAAACCAAGAGAACTGTGGGGAAATCAACATAGTAAATACCGAAGTATAAAACCAGATGAGAAGGCCACGTAGAGATTTCTGGGTTGAGGATGAAGTAAAGCTTTGTCAGTTTTCTGGGTTGAAAAGTTTTCCTGGGCACATAGGACCTCCAGCCCTCTCCTATTCACCCTGCCTTAGAATACCCCAGCCTAGGAAGCCTTGGGTTGGCCTCAACTCAAGACCCATGAAATCCTTACCCTTCCCAGAATTTATTTGTTCATTTTCTCTGTGTGTGTGTATGTCTCTTTCTCTTTATCCACACCCACCCCATCCCCACAGCCGCAATACACACACCTTGGATGCTCCCTGATGATGTCTGGTTCTTTCAGTGAGGCAAGCCTATCCCCAGAGTTCTCCTTCTCCCTATATATATCCTTTAGACACTTCTTGGTTCCTCCTGAGATCCATCTGGGAACAGTCCCCTGAAAGTCCATCAACCTAACCCATGTCTCCTACGTCTCCTAGCACCATCTTACTGGTCTGAAGCAGGCTTTCTTTTTTCTTTTTTTGAGAGGGAGTTTTGCTCTTGTTGCCCAGGCTGGAGTGCAATGGCGCGATCTCAGCTCATCGCGAGCTCCGCCTCCCGGGTTCAAGCGATTCTCCTGCCTCAGCCTCCCGAGTAGCTGGGATTACAGGCATGCGCCACCATGTCCGGCTAATTTTGTATTTTTAGTAGAGACGGGGTTTCTCCATGTTGGTCAGGCTGGTCTCGAACTCCCGACCTCAGGTGATCCACCCACCTCAGCCTCCCAAAGTGCTGGGATTACAGGCGTGAGCCACCACACCTGGCCCTGAAGCAGTCTTTCTAAACAGATGCTGGCAGCTGGCTCTGCCCCTTGGTAAAGCTTGGCTGCTTCACTGATTTTTTTTTTTTTTGAGACGGAATTTCGCTCTTGTCTCCCAGGCTGGAGTGCAATGGCACGATCTCAGCTCACTACAACCTCCGCCTCCAAGATTCAAGGGATTCTTCCTTAGCCTCCCAAGTAGCTGGGATTACAGGCATACACCACCATGCTCAGCTAATTTTGTATTTTTAGTAGAGATGGGGTTTCACTATGTTGGTCAGGCTGTTCTCAAACTCCTGACCTCAGATGATCCACCCACTTTGGCCTCCCAAAGTGCTGGGATTACAGGCATGAGCCACTGCGCCTGGCCTGCTTCACTGATTTTGTTCTTGGGAAGTTTTAGAGTTTATCTCAATATTAACCTCGTGGCTCCAGATGAACTCTACCTTGGCTGGTCCTTGGAGCTTATCTCACCCTCATTGCTGTTTTTAGACTAGACCCAAGCAAAAACTTCTCTGAGGCTGTGAGGTTTTGAGTCCCAGTGAACACTTAGCCTAGCCCTGATTTCCAGGCTGCAGGACACACCCAGACAAGGAATATCTGAACCTCTTTCTCATTCAGGAACTCATCTCCCTCAGTTTCCCCATGCTTTCTCTCACATTCATAGTGGAGCTAGCACTTTGCAAAATAGCAACATTCCTTCACTTAGGGGGCCTCAGGCTGGAGGGGCATCAGAATCACCTGGAGGGCTTGTTGCAATACAGGTTACTGGGCTCTGTGCCCAGACTTTCTGACTCAGTAGATCTAGTGGGGGAGTCTGACAATTTGCATGCCTAACATACTCCCAGGTGATGCTGATGCTGCAGGTCCAGGGAACACACTTTGAGAACCACTGAGTCAGAGTAACAGTGCCACATATACAGGGAGAGGAGAAACTTTCTTCTTCTGCATTCTGAAAAATAATTCCAATAACTAGGTATGTCCCTTGATCTGGAATAGCAGAGTTTGGGCTTTGAGAGAGAAGTGCTTCTGGGAAGAGGGAAGGTAAGAGGTAGAGATAGGCTTCTAGGATGACAGCAGCAGCCAGAGGACAGACAGCTATTGAATATACTCTGTACCCACAGAAATGGACAAAGGGTAGCTGGGCATTGTGGCAGGTGTCTGTAATCCCAGCTACTTGGGAGGCTGAGGCAGGAGAATCGTTTGAACCTGGGAAGCAGAGGTTGCAGTGAGCCGAGATTGCGCCATTGCACTCCAGCCTGAGCAACAAGAGCAAAACTCTGTCTCAAAAAAAAAAAAAAAGAAAGAAAGAAAAGAAAAGAAATAGATGGCACTTGCCAAGGCAGAAGGTACGATGCCAGGGACCAGCTACAGACAGCAGAAAGCATGGTCTGAGGGTGGGTAGCCCAGGCCCAAGAGGAGTGTCTGGGGACCAATTTTACAGGAGTGTTTTCCACACCCAGGCTCAGAGAAGACCCAGAATGTGACAGATGCCCATACCGAGAGCAGAATGGATGAGCTAAGAACATGGCCAAGCCTGGCACAGGCCAACTTGGCACCACCATCCTGGCTCTGAGTGAGGGAGAAAGTCTAGGGCTTCAACTGGAAAGCGGCGCCCTTGACAACACCAAGGATCGGTTTGTATTTATTTACTCAGAGCAGGAGACAACTGCTGCCCTAAAAGCTCCTCTTATCTCAAGTGTTTATTTTAATTCTTCTTTCCCTGAAATTTCTTAAGAAACTTCCTTTTCGAAGTCCCACCCTTTCAAGATTAGAGCTATGTAAATAATATATACAGAGAAGAAGAGAGTGGGAGAAACACTTTAAAATGTTAGCAGTGCTTGTTTTAGTGAGGAGCAGCCAGGAATTGTTTTTCTTTTCTCTAGTTGCCAAATTCTTGTCTCGTGATTAAAGTATTTTTATAACAACAACAAAAAAAGATGTTTAAACAGAAGAAAAAATTCAAGCTATCTTGGTTGCGCCACGAAGTTGAGATTTCTGCTTCTGCTTTGGCTGGAGAGTGAGGAGAGGCAGAACATAGTAGGGGGCTGGCCTGAGGAGCATAATGACAAGACAAAGCAAAGTGGAGTGAGGATGACAGTTCCTCTGAGCTGTCCCCTTCTGTCCTAGTGCCTTCCGAGGCTTTAGGCCCAGGGAGTTGTTTATTTTTACAGAGTCCTGGCTAAGCTGATGAAGATGAGGATGACATGGCCCACACCCCATATGGCATTTGTGGGATGATGCAGGAAAACATGAGTTGGATGGTAGAAATGTCAGAAGATTTGCAGCTGGGGAAACGACCATATCTTAAAAGCCCAGTCTGCACAAAGGGAGGCCCCAAATAAGTGACCACAAGGCTTTGTCCTTAGGGTGTTCCCTCTAATGTTTTAAGAGCAAGTTGGATGGCCAGGAGTGGTGGCTCATGCCTGTAATCCCAGCACTTTGGGAGGCTGAGGCGGGCAGATCACTTGAGCCCAGGAGTTCAGGACCAGCCTGGGCATGCAACATGGAGAAACCCCGTCTCTACTAAAAATACAAACATTAGCAGGCTAAGGTGGTGCACACCTGTAGTCCCAGCTACTTGGGAGGCTGAGGTAAGAGGATGACCTAAGCCTGGGATGCAGAGGTTGCAGTGAGCTGAGATGGCACCACTGCACTCGAGCCTGGGCCACAGAGTGAGACTCTCTGTCTCAAAAAAAAAAAAAAAAAAAAAAAAAAAAAAGAGCAAGTTGGAGGGAGACAGAGAAAAAACTGGTTTGCATGTACTGATGACAAGGAGGTGGGAGATGAAGTTCACAGACTCAAAATTATTGCAACAGCCTAGACAGCTTGGCCCAAACCAAAAAAGATAACATTGAACAGGGCCAAATGCAAAGGCCTATATTTAGGTGAAAAAAAAAAAAGTGTATATAGTTGAATGTTGTCTTCTTTCCTTCCATCTTTTTTCCCTGCTAATCTGTATTTTCTAAGTTTTCTGCACGGGGCCTATATTACTTTTATAATTAAAAGTTACTTAAAAAACCAAATATGACCAAAACAGCTGCCTGCTTGTGTGACTACAAATTGCTATACGCCAGCTCTGAGAAAAGTGTCCATAAATTCAGAGTAAGTCAGTGGGCCCCTCTCTGTCCCCACATTTTGGGGGCACATGAAAAAAGCAAGAATCACAGGAAGGTAAAGGATTCAGAGAATAAAGACTTAGGGAAAAGGGGCGAAGAAACTGGGAGGTTTTGCCTGAGGAATGAAGACATCAGGCTGGTGTCTCCAAATACCTGAAGGCCTGTGGTGTAGGACACAGGGAAAGCAAAAAACATTCCAGCTGCTGATGAATACCCAGCTAGGGCCAACGGACAGGTGCTAGAATAGGGGCAGACGGATTCTGCAACAATGATAACAGCTAACAGTGATGACCAACAATGGACTGGACAGCCTCAGGAAGTACTGAGCTCTCTGTTACCAGGTGTTCCAACTGTGTGGGACCAATGCTTGCTGGAGATGCTGCAGAGGCCTCAGTGCCCAGTGTCAAGCAGGCTAAGAAAGCCTTTACAGCAGCTTCAGGTACCCAGCCATCTGGACTCAACCAATGATCACCTGGAACTTCCTCCAGGAGGTGAGCCCTGCCCCCCTGTCCTGCCCACTCAGTCCCCTCCTGGAGCCTGGCATCTCTCTCACCGTGGGGATGAACTGAATTTCATAGGCATCCACGGGGCCAGGAGCCGGGGTCCACTCTGTCCGAACTGTTGTCTCCTCCAAGAGATGCATCCTCATGCCCTCAATGGTTGGCACCTCTGCCCAAGAGAATGGGTTAGGGAAAGCTGGTTAGCACAAGGCAACCACCCCCACCCACAGCCCCTTTTACTCAGGGACATCGAAGAGGCCCATCCTAACTCCCACTCCTCTCTGCTAGTGGAGAATAGCTGACAGAGGGCTGAACGGGGCTTGGATCGCCTTCACCTTCTCTCCATCTTCAGGAGCACAGAATCTCCCTAAATGCAACTAAATGGGCCCCAACCTGCTCCTCAGAGATCTGAAGGCCAGTCCTGCCCACTGGAAAGCCCCACCCCTGTGGTTCTGCTGCCCCTGGTGGGCACTGGCTCCTTGGAATGACATGCTCTCCCTCCACTCTTCCTCAGGCTCAGGTCTTCCCCATGGCTCCTGTTCACAGAATCACAGTCCCAGAGTACACTGGGGAAGGCTGCCTGCTCACCTTCTCCGCAGTCTTCGCCAGCATACCCATCTTTGCAGACACAGCTGCCATCGTGACACTCTCCTCGGCCACGGCAGTCCCCTGGGCATGTCTGGATGGCACAGTCAGGGCCTCGGAAGCCCTCTACACACACACACTGGCCTGCCCGGCACAGTTCCCGGGGCCCGCAGCCTCCAGGGCAGGCGCTGGCTGGAGGCTCTTCCTGCCCGCAGTCCTCACCGCCATAGCCCACGTGGCACAGGCACACTCCTTGCACACACCGCCCACGTCCCCGGCAGTCAGCCGGGCACATGCGGGTGGCACAGGTAGGGCCGGTGTAGCCTGGGTCGCACAGGCAGCGCCCTTCCTCACAGCGGCCCCTCCCGTGGCAGTTGGAGGGGCAGGTGCGGATGCTGCAGTCCTCACTCACGTAGCCTTCCCAACAGATGCACACACCGTCCTGGCACACGCCGTGCTGGCTGCAGTCATTCGGGCACTGCCTCACACCGCAATCCTCGCCAGAGTAGCCGTCCTCGCACACACACCGCCCATCTAGGCACTGGCCGCGGCCTCGGCAGCCCCCGGGGCAGCTGCGCGTGCTGCAGTCTTCCCCTGAGTAGCCTGCGTCACACACGCACACGCCATCCTCGCAAAGGCCGTGCCCACGGCAGTCCCCGGGACAGCGACGGCTCCCACAGTCCTCACCGGTGAAGCCCGGGTTGCACACGCAGCGGCCATCCACGCAGCGCCCGCGCCCGCGACAGTCGCCAGGACAGGCGCGCGTGCCGCAGTCCCGGCCTGTGTACCCCGGCCAACACATGCAGCGGCCACTCTCACAGCGGCCCCGGCCACGACAGTCCCCAGGACAGCTGCGCACACCGCAGTCCTCGCCGCTGTAGCCCGCATTGCAAACACACACGCCGTTCTCGCAGCGCCCGCGACCTCTACAGTCGCGTGGGCAGGCGCGCGAGCCGCAATCGGTTCCAGTGTACCCCGGCCAGCACACGCAGCGGCCGTCCTCGCAGCGGCCCCTTTGGTTGCAGTCGCCAGGGCAGCTGCGCACGCCGCAGTCGTCCCCGCTGTAGCCCGTGTCGCAAATGCATTCGCCGTCCTCGCAGCGCCCGCGGCCCCGGCAGTCCCTCGGACATGTCCGCGTGCTGCAGTCCTCGCCTGTGTACCCGGGCCAGCACACGCAGCGGCCGTCCACGCAGCGCCCGCCCTCGCCACAGTCCCAGGGGCAGCTCCGCGTACCACAGTCCTCGCCAGTGTAGCCGGGGTCACACACGCAGCGCCCGTCCTTGCAGCGTCCCCGCTGGCTGCAGCCCCGAGGGCAGCTCCTCACCCCACAGTCCTCGCCAGTGTAGCCGGGGTTACACACGCAGCGCCCATTCTCACAGCGCCCCCTCTGACTGCAACCGCGAGGGCAGCTCCTCATGCCACAGTCGTCACCAGTGTAGCCTGGGTCACACACGCAGCGCCCACCCTCACAGCGTCCCCTCTGGCTGCAACCTCGAGGGCAGGAGCGCTGGCTGCAGTCGGGGCCTGAGAAGCCTGCCCGGCACACACACACGCCCTGCACGCAGCGCCCACGGCCTTGGCAGTCCCCGGGACAGGATGGCCAGCCACAGCTGGGGCCAGTGTAGCCGGGAAAGCACACGCAACGACCACGGACACAGCGACCCTGATCATTGCAGTCATCTGGGCAGGACCCCGAGGCTGAGGGTGGGGAAGAGGGAGGGATCTCAGCATCTGTGGGGTCTGAGCAGGTGGGCCCACCCCAGCCTGGCTCACAGGAACAGGTGCAGCGGCTCAGATCAAACACACCATGGAGACTGCAGAGGGTCCGCACATCTGTCTGACCTGGAGTAGGAGGGGAGAGGCAAGTCTCAGTCTCTCTCCTGGGAGAGAGGCTGAGCCTATGTAGTGCTCCTATGTGCAGGCCCCTAGCCAGGCTAGCCTCATCTCATAAGGCCATGTCTGCTCCCAGTTGCTAGTATGTGTAATGTATGCAGCCTCTCAGGGCCCTCGCATATGCTTTGGTTGACATGTAGCCCAGCTCTGCTCTCCAAGTTGTGTTCTGGGCTGCATCCACACCCCTCATGGTGAGGAAGGAGTGCCTTCTTCTAATTCATACCAAGGACCTTTATGGACTAGCAATGCCCACCCCACCCCACCTCTCCACCCTCTTCTGTGATCACCTGCTCACCTGTGCCAGCTTGGGCAGAGGCAGGACAACATCCCCCAGTGCACTGTTCCTTGAGCCCCTTCACCAACTCCTCCAGGATCTCTAGACGGACCCTCAGGGCCTGTACCTCTGAAGCAAGGACTGGGGGCTCGGTGCCTGGGGGACAGCCACAGCCAGTGGAAGGGGGCAGGTTAATGCGGTGGGTGAATACCACCTGCTTCTCCCCTCCTTCCACTGTGTGCTCGTAAAGCTGAGAAGAGGGGCTTCCCACTCCAGCCCCCACTGTGTGGCCCCCTGGCTGGGGAGGGGGCCGGGGGGCTGGCAGTGTCACATTGGACCGTGAAGAGAAGGGGCCTGCTCTGGCTGTGCTCAGCAGCACCAGGAGAACCAGGCTGGAGGTTAGAGCATACTGGGCTGGCATCATTCAGGAGGCTGCAGGGAGAAAGGGTAGGTATGAGAGCAGCTTCAAAAAGGAGACAAAATGAATCCCCCCTTCTCCAGCACATACCCACGGTCCCACCACCCACAAGTAATCTACCCAACTCACATGCATGTAAAAATTCACATTCCGCCCAACCCTAAAGGATACCCTCCCTGGGCAAGTCTGTTCTCTACCTCTCTGATATCATTTATTTACCCTGCTCCTCACCCCCTTTTCTATTGTGTTCCCCTACACTGGTTTTTTTGTTTTGTTTTGTTTTGTTTTGTTTTGTTTGTTTGTTTGAGACGGAGTTTCACTCTTATTGCCCAGGCTGGAGTGCAGTGGTGCGATCTCAGCTCACCACAACCTCCGCCTCCCAGGTCCAAGCGATTCTCCTGCCTCAGCCTCCTGAGTAGCTGGGATTACAGGCATGCCCCACCATGCCTGGCTAATTTTGTACTTTTAGTAGAGACCGGGTTTCTCCATGTCGGTCAGGCTGGTCTCAGACTCCTAACCTCAGGTGATCTGCTCGCCTCAGCCTCCCAAAGTGCTGGGATTACAGGCATGAGCCACCGCACCCGGCTCTACACTGGTCTTTTGTTTTTCCCACGAGCACTACAAGCTCTCACTACTCCAAGGGCCTTTGCATTGTGTGTTCCCTATGTCTGGGATGCTCTTCACTCTGCTCATAAAGGCTGGCTCCATCTTCAAATCTTAACTCCCAGTTAGGGCAGTCTTCCATTACTCTCTATCACAATATCCTGTTCCTGTTCTTCATGGCATTTACTGCTGCCTGAGTTATCAGTTTACTTATTACCTTTCTCTCAATGCTACAATGGGAGCTCCTTGAGAACAAGGACCTCATCTATCCCAGGACTGCTGTATACTTGTGTCTGGCACATAAATGTTCTATCTGACACATCAATGTTGAATGAATTAGTGGATGAGTACCTAGGGCCAATCCTTCCCCAAACACCTGGATCCCAGCTCCTACTGTCTTCTAAGAAAAGTGCAGATTATCTTCTCCCTCTCTCTCTCACTTTTTTTTTTTTTTTTGAGATGGAATCTTACTCTGTCGCCCAGGCTGGAGTGCAGTGGTGCGATCTCGGCTCACTGCAACCTCTGTCTCCTAGCTCAAGTGATTTTCCTGCCTCGGCCTCCTGAGTAGCTGGGATTATAGGTGCCCACCTCCATGCCCAGCTAATTTTTGTATTTTTAGTAGAAATGAGGTTTCACCATGTAGGCAGGCTGGTCTCGAACTCCTGACCACAAGTGATGTGCCCGCCTTGGCCTCCCAAAGTGCTGGGATTACAGGCATGAGTCACCGCACGACCTCTTTCTAATATAGAGACAGGATCTTGCTCAACCCCCTGGTTGAAGCTGGACTTGAACTCCTGGGCTCAAGCCATCCTCCCACCTCAGCCTCCCAGGTAGCTGGGATTAAAAGCATGAGCCACCATGCTTGGCTTCTCTCTCTTTTTTATTCAACTCCTCACTCTCAACTGGATCCTTGCTCAAATATCTCCAATTGAAAAAAAAAAAACAAAAATCCTCTTCCTCAGGACTTACATGATCAAATATCAAGACTTATTTTAAAGGTGCAAGGATAGACAGATGAAACAGAATAGGGCCCAGAAACAGGCCCACACATATGTGGTCAACTAATTAACGACAAAAGTGCCCCTGCAGTTAAGAGGAGAAAGGATGGTCTTTTTAGTTCCTGGTGCTGGGTCAATCCAACATCCCTAAGTAAAAAAAAAAAAAAAAAAAAAAAACAGTCATTCTCCACCTTATGTCTGATATACCGAAATTAATTTGAGATGAACCCAGGACCTAAATAAGAAAAGTAAAGCAATATCTTTCATAGCAATATCTTACAGAAAATTTCTGACCTTGGAGTAAGCAAGATTTCTTTTTTTTTTTTTTTAAGACTGAGTCTTGCTCTGTCGCCCAGAGTGGAGTACACTGGTGCTATCTCGGCTCACTGCAACCTCCGTCTCCCAGGTTCAAGTGATTCTCCTACCTCAGCCTCCTGAGTAGCGGGGATTACAGGCATCTGCTCCCACACCCAGCTATTTTTTGTATTTTTAGTAGAGACGGGGCTTCACTATGTTGGCCAGGCTGGTCTCAAACTCCTGAACTCAGGCAATCCGCCCGCCTCGGCTTCCCAAAGTGCTAGGATTACAGGCTTGAGTCACTGCACCCAGCCGCAAGATTTCTTAAGTAAAACACACACAAAACCTAACCATAGGCCGGGTGCAGTGGCTCGTATCTGTAATCCCAGCACTTCAGGAGGCTTAAGTGTGAGGATTGCATGAGCCCAGGAGTTGGAGACCAGCCTGGGTAAGATAGTGAGACTCTGTCTCTACAAAAAACAAAAAGAATTCACTGGGCGTGGTGGTACACCTGTAGTCCCAGCTACTCAGGGGCTGAGGTGGGAGGATTACTTGAGTCTGGGAGGTCGAGGCTGTGGTGAGCTGTGATCATGCCACTGCACTCCAGCCTGGGCAACAGAGCTGATACTCTGTTTCAAAAAAAAGAAAAAGAAAAAAACAAAACAAAATTTCAGGTCATCAAATTACATCATTAAGAGAATAAGAAGGCAGCTGGGTGTGGTGGTTCACACCTGAAATCCCAGCACTTTGGGAGGCTGAAGTGGGCGGATCATGAGGTCAAGAGTTCAAGACCAGCCTGGCCAACATGGTGAAACCCCATCTCTACTAAAAATACAAAAATTAGCTGGGCGTGGTAGCGGGCACCTGTAGTCCCAGCTACTCGGGAGGCTGAGGAGGAGAATCGCTTGAAACTGGAGGCGGAGGTTGCAGTGAGCTGAGATCATGCCACTTCACTTCAGCCTGAGAGGAAGAGTGAAACTCCATCTCAAAAAAAAAAAAAAAAAAAAAAAAATCTCTGCAAAACAAAATAAGCCAAAATCAGGAAACCTAGTTTTTTAAATTGTCAAAAGACAAACAGGTACTCCAGAAAAGAATATAGCCAAAGAGCCAATAAACATTTTATTTATTTTACCTGGGCTCAAGTGATTCTCCTACCTCAGCCTCTGGAGTAGCTAGGATACAGGCATGCGCCACATGCCCAGCTCATTTTTTTTGTAGAGATGGAGTCTTGCTCTTTCGCCCAGGCTGGAGTGCAGTGGTGCGTCTTGGCTCACTGCAAGCTCTGCCTACCAGGTTCATGCCATTCTCCTGCCTCAGCCTCCTGAGTAGCTGGGACTACAGGCGCCCACCACCATACTTGGCTCATTTTTTTGTATTTTTAGTAGAGATGAGGTTTCACCGTGTTAGCCAGGATGGTCTCGATCTCCTGACCTCGTGATCCGCCCACCTTGGCCTCCCACAGTGCTGGGATTACAGGCGTGAGCCACCGCACCCAGCCTTTTTTTTTTTTTTTTTTTTAGTAGAGACAGGGTTTCACCAAGTTGGCCAGGCTGGTCTCAAACTCCTGACCTCAAGTGATCTGCCTTGGCCTCCCAAAGTTATTAGGATTACAGGCATGGGCCACCACACCCACCCTATTTCATTTTATTTTAAGATAAACTCTACCTCTGTCACCCAGGCTGAAGCACAGTGGCACAATCACAGCTCACTGCAGCCTCAAACTCCTGGGCTCAAGTGATCCTCCTGCCTCAGCCTCCAGAGTAGCTGGAACTACAGATGGGCATCACCATGCCTGGCTAATTTTTAAATTTTTTGTAGAGATGGGATCTTGCTGTGTTGCCCAGGCTGGCCTTGAACTCCTGGCCTCAAGCAATCCTCCTGCCTCACCCTCCACAGTAGTTGGGCTTACAGGTGTGAGCCACTGCACCCAGATCCAAGGAGCATTTTAAAAGATGCACAAAATCACTAGTTATCGGGTAAATGTACGTTAAAACCACAATAAGATGCCACTAAATATCCTCCAGAATGCTTGTCCCTCTTCAAAGAGGCTGTCATTGCTTGATATTGGCAAGAATGTGAAGCAGCTGGAATTGTCATCTGTTGCAAGTGGGAGCATATATTAATGCAAACACTGGAAAGTTGTTTGGTAGTATCTGCTAAAACATATAGTCTATAACCCAGATATCTATAACTAAATATCCGGTGGGAATGACTGCATAGTTCTTCCAAAAGACGTAGACCATAATGTTCATGAGATTTATTCCTATATTAGCTAAAACTGAAAGCAACTCAAGTGTCCATTCATAAAGTGGATAAATAAATTGTGCCAGAGTCATACAATGGAATACTATACAGCAATAAAAAACACCCTATTGCTACATGCAACATGGGTGAATTTCACACACATAGTGCTGAGTAAAAAATATCACACACAGAAAGAGAATGCTCTTATACTCTTATATACCCTTCCTGAGCTACCAAAAAAAGAAAAAAGAAAAAAGAAAACACTCTGAATAATGCCGTTTATATGAGGTTCAAAAACAGGCAGAGGCTGGGTGCAGTGGCTCATGCCTGTAATCCCGGCACTTTGGGAAGCCGAGGCGGGCGGATCACGAGGTCAAGAGATGGAGACCATCCTGGCCAACACGGTGAAACCCTGTCTCTACTAAAAATACAAAAATTAGCTGGGCATGGTGGCACACACCTGTAGTCCCAGCTACCTGGGAGGCTAAGGCAAAAGAATTGCTTGAATCCCAGAGGCGGAGGTTGCAGTGAACCAAGATAATGCCACTGCACTCCAGCCTGGCAACAGATCAAGACTCTATGTCAAAAAACAAACAAAAAAACAAACAAAAACAGGCAGAGTTAATCTTTGCTTTTAGAAGATAGGATCAGATTACTTGTAGGGATTATTGACCGGAAGGAGTCATATTTCTGGAAATATTTTGTATCTTAATCTGGGTGGTTACATAGATATATACATATTCAAAAACTCATTGAGCTGCACACTTAAGACTTTGGCATTTTGCTGTATAAAAATTGAACCATGGCTGGGTGTGGTGGCTCATGCCTGTAATCTCAGTACTTTGGGAGGCCAAGGTAGGCGGATCACTTGAGGTCAGGAGTTCAAAACCAGCCTGGCGATCATGCTGAAACCCCGTCTCTACTAAAAATAAAAAATAAAAAAAAATTAGCTGGGCATGGTGGCAGGTGCCTGTAATCCCAGCTACTTGGGAGGCTGAGGCGGGAGAATCGCTTGAACCTGGGAGGCAAAGGTTGCAGTGAGTTGAGATTGTGCCACTGCACTCCAGCCTGGGCAACAGAGCGAGACTCCATCTCAAAAAAAAAAAAAAATGAAACCTTAAAAAACCTATCCCCAATCTCACACCCCCTCCAGCCACCACATATTTCTCTCCTCTACTTCATGGCCACAGTTGTCAAAATTTATTTGTATTTGATGTTTACATTTCCTTATAGCCTATGCATGCCTCAATCCACTCTACTCCCTCCAACCCACCAAACAGCTCCCTCTAGGGCTTCCCAATGACTTCGGTGCCACAAAATCTAAGGGACATTTGTCTTCATCTTGCTTGACCTTTGACTTCTCTCAAAATCACTAGACACAGTTCACCGCATCTTTTTTTTTTTTTTTTTTTTTGAGATGGAGTCTCACTCTGTCGCCCAGGCTGGAGTGCAGTGGCACGATCTTGGCTCAATGCAACCTCTGCCTCCTGGGGTTCAAGTGATTCTCCTGCCTCAGCCTCCCGAGTAGCTGGGACTACAGGCACCCGCTACCACACCTAGCTAATTTTTTATTTTTAGTAGAGACGAGGTTTCACCATCTTGACCAGGCTGGTCTTGAGCTCCTCAGCTCAGGTGATCTGCCCACCTCGGCCTCCCAAAGTGCTGGGGTTACAGGCATGAGCCACCACACCTGGCCCTTCTCTTTTAAAACATTCTGTATCCACGCTGACCAATATGGTAGCCAGGAGGGATATGAGGCTCTGCAACACTTGAGATGTGACCAGAACGACCAAGTAAGTGAATTTTACTCAGTATTTTTAAAAGCTCCCCAGATGATTGTAATGTGCAACAAATTTCTACTAAATTAATAGACCTACTGCTCTAGTCATCCACCTGGTACCTTCATCCAGACTTATAACTTCAATTTCCAAACTATACACCAATTTGTAAAACACCCCAGTCATCTTCCTCTCGCTCCACAGCAATATATCCACCTGCCTACTTGGCATCTCCACTTGGGCACCTCAAATTCACCATGCCTGTAACCTGAACTCACGGTCACCTTCCTGTATCCCATCCCCTCCCAGAATTCCCCATTGAAGCTCAGGACCCCACCATTCATCCAGCTTTACAAGCCAGAAACCTAATAGCCCATTCAAGGCTACCATATTTCCTTGTATCTACCTGTATTTTCTCATAAACATCTCTTTAATTCATTTCCTTCTCTCCCACTTACCTTCATTCTAATCCAAGCTTCCATCCGCCTCTTGCCTGACAACTGCAATTGCCTCCTGGCTGCTTTTTTTTTCTTTTTTTTTGAGACAGGGTCTCACTCTGTCACCTAGGCTGGTGTGCAGTGGTGCGATCATAGCTCGCTGCAGCATTGACCTCCTGTTGCTCAAGCAATCCTCCCACCTCAGCCTCCTGAGTAGTTGGGACTACAGGTGTGTGCCATCACGCTCAGCTAATTTTTAATTTTTTTTGCAAAGACAGGATCTTTCTATGTTGCTCGGGCTGGCCTTGAACTCTTGGACTCAAGCAATCCTCCCACCCTAGCCTCCCAATGTGCTGGGATTACAGGCGTGAGCCACTGTGTCCAGCCCTGACCCTTCCCTCTGCTTCCACTCTTGCCCTCTACAGTCTCACAAACGCAATCAGGATGTCCCTATCCTCAAAATGCTTCAGTGTCTCCCTTCCAAATTCTCTTAGAACACTGACAAACAGCCCTACCATCATGTATCCCCTGCTCCCACTTCACCACCCATAACATTTCCCTCCCTCCCTCCATTCCAGCTCCACTGACCTTCAAGTCCCTCATACTCTCTGTGCCCATCCCCAACCCCAGATCTTTGTATACTCTGTTCCATCCGTGTGGAACACTGTTCCCTTCTCTCTTGGCCTTCTCATCCTTCAGGTCTCAGCCCGCCATTTTTTTCACAGGGAAGTTTTCCTGACCAGGTCAGGTCCTCCTATCATGTGATATCACAGCATCATGCCATTCTCATGTGTAGCGTTTATAACAATTTGCAATCATATATAAACAAATATTTTTTTGAAGTCCAAAGTAATAATAAATATACTGTGAGATTATTTTATTACTTTCTTGCCCACTAGACTATAAAGTCCATGAGGGCAGGCATGGCACCTATTTTTTTTTCTTGGCTGCTGTATCCCTGCATCTGGCACATAACTGGTGCTCAATAAATATTTACCGACTATATGAATGAATGAAAAGTTCAATGTAAACGCAGGACTAGCATTAAGGCTGGAACCAAGGGCAGGACCAAGGTCAGGGCTAGGACCACGGACAGTGTCTGGGACTGGAAGTTGGTTAGACACAGCCACCAGGGCTGAGGCAGAATCAGAGGCCAGGCCAGGGAAGATCCTGGCAGGACCAGATGGTACAAGCACTTTGGAAAACTGTTTGACAGAATCTACTAAATGTACTAAAGGTGAACACATGCAAACCCTATGACCCCGCAATTCCACTCCTAGGAATATACCCAACATAGCTCATAATAGCCCCAAACTGGGAACTACTCAAACATTTCACATCAGTAGAATAAATAAATTGTGGTTTATTCACACCGTGGAATAAAATAAAGCAGGAATGAACTATAGTTATATGCAGTAGTGTGATGGATCTTACTAAGATGATGTTGAACAAAAGCCAGACACAGGAAAGAGCATGCTGCACAGTTCTATTTATGTGAAGTTTGAGGAGAGGCAACATTAATCTGTAGTGCTCCAAGTCAGAAGTGTGATACTCTTGAGGGGGTAGTGACTAGTAGGGGCATGGGGGGGGGGGCTTCTGGGGTGCTAAAGGTGTCTTGTTTCTTGATCTGGATGACGGTTACCCAGTTGTATGTGTTTGTGGAGTTTACTGAGGCAGGGATTGGGGAGCACACAGAGACAAGAGGTGGGAGGAAAGGTGGTAGGGGGGTCCCAGGATAAGACAGGAGACAGGGCTATGGCAAACCTGAGTGTGAGGGGGCCAGTCAGGATTCAGCTAGGGTGAAGAGTTGAGGAGAGATGTTGAAAGGTGCCCAGCTCTTCCAGACCAGAGGCTGGGGAAAGGAGGAGGGCAGGGTGGGTGTGGAAATGCTGACCGGTGAGGAGTGGGGGATGTGTCACTGGTAGGCGGAGGTGACTGTGACACACACACACCTCCACCCAACACGCACACATCTTCTGGCTTTCTACTCTTAAACTTTTCTCCTGGATCAGAGAAAAAGGAGTAATTGGGGCTACCAGCCATCACATTCTGCTACCAGCCAGCAAGAGACGGAAAGGGAGCTGAACAGGGACAGAGTGTTTCCACACCAAGAGGCTCCCCACCCAAGAAAGCCCAGGCCGAGAGGCCTGGCATACAGAGAGCTGCCCTTTCCTGTCTCCCCAGCCCTTCTCTCAGCCTGGAGTGTAGCCTTGGGTAAGAGATGGGCTCTGACCGACCCTCAAATCCTGTCACTTTGTGTCTAAGGCCATGCTAATCACTCCCACACCCTGGGAATGCTTGCACAAAGATGTGTACACATGTACACTTACAAATATATTAATGTGTGCTCATCCACAAGTACAAACATACCTGCACAGACACACAAATCCACCCCCAAAACCTGCATCCTTGTAGGTACACATATGGGTGCCCATGCACACACGTGCACACACACCCAATCTCCCCTTCAGGTTTCCTCCACACCTAGTCATTGGGTGATGCCTAAGAAGGCTGATTTCTTGTTGGCTCCGAGGGCAGCTCTGTGAGTGAAAGAACCTGGATGGTGTGAGAGGAACAAAGCAGGAGGCCCTTCCCAGTGGGAAGCAGCGGACACATGGCCTCCACCATACTTCCCCGTACCCCTGGAGGCCTCTGTGAGTTGTCCAGTGCCCCTCCCCAAATAAGTGGATTCCTCATCTTTCCCTGCACAGTGGGGGAAAGCAGAGAGGGTCTTTGCACCAGGAAGGAGTGAAGAGAGCTCACCAGCTTTTCTGGAAAGCTGGTGAGATTGGTCTAGAAGAGCAGAGCAGCCTCCATTGACCACACACCCAGAGGCTCCTTCCCAATCTCCCTCCCTGCCCTGTTGCCACCACCCAGCCCTCCAGCTCCCCATTCCAGCTCCTGGGATAATTCTGCTCTTCTCTCGGTACTGGGCAAGCAAAGAATTGGGTGTCTCTTGTGTCTCCCCTTCACCATTCCCCCTGCCACTATGTCTGGGGTGGTTCTCTGTAGTGTGTGTTTGGAGAGAGATATGGCCTCACCCTCTTGGCACCCTCCCCACAGTTGGAGGGCTGGCAGGGATGGGGGCATCTTCCCAAACTGTGACTCAGCTTCCTGGGTATTTTGTGTTGTAGCCAACTTTGACACTTTGCTCATTAGGGACTGTATAGGTCCCAAGGGGTGGGGAGAGGGGCTGGCTTCCATAAAAGATGTTCCACAGATGGGGGTTCTGGTCCTGCCCCCATGCCTCCCTCTGACCCTCCTGCTACACCCTCAGTTGAATCTGGCAATGAGAGGTGAAGGTAGAAGGATTCTAGGAGTGAGACTAAAAAGGGAATGTGGGGGTCTCAGATATTGGGCTGGAACCAGGTAGGAAGGAGGTGTCAGGGAGGGGTAGGTTGGGGAATCCAGATACCCCTTATTCTGGGGAGCTAATCGGCCTGGGAATGGAAAAATTAAGAGAAAGGATTTCCAGGCCCCAGCTGAAAATGGTTAGGGGTGCAATGAGAGACAGGAAGGCAGTTTCTGGTCCTGCACCTAGTGGCTAGGTCTGGAGTGAGCAAAGGAAGTTTGAGGAATTGAGGTGCTGGGTCCCCAGGGACTTGAAGGCAGGGTCAGGGAAAAGAGGAGGGGCTGGAGATGCGGGAAGCAGGGGCAGGGCAGGCAGCAGCTGTGGTGTTTCCGAGTTGCTTCCCAGTAGTTCCTCTCAGTTCCACTTCCAGTTGTTTCTATGCCATTAAATTCTTTCCAGGCGAGATAAGGGGCCCGCCCTTCCCACCCGGGGCGTGTCACGTGTACTGGTGGTGGGGGGCGGGGGCGGCGAGGTGAGGGAGAGTGCGGGTTCAGACAGACAGAGGCAAGGGGAGCCTGGAAGGGGCACAGAGTGAAGACGGAGCCCCTGTGCCCCCAGAGGCATCTCTCAGCCATCCCAGCCCTGCTGAACCGTGAGTCATGAGTGCAGAGCTCTGGCCAAGAACAAGTTTTAGGATCCTCTCTGCAGGCTCTGTGCACGTCCCAGACCCGAGTCCTGACTGTCCCATTTCAGTATTTCCTAAAGAGATCTCCCAGACCTCCCTCCCTGCAACTCTCACGCTGCCACCTAGGGAGTCCCCATTTGGATGCCCAAAGAAGCACCCTCTGGCACCTCCTGGAGCCTGGAGCCCCCAGAGCCTGGGCTCAGCTGCTCTAGCCCGACATTTGGGATTCCGCAAGCACTTTCCTTCCAAGGTTCAGCTGGCCACCAGTTCAGCCTAGTCCTATCTTCCCGCTAGCCCCAGCACCTCCAGGGCCCAGGGGCTCACCTCACCAATAACCACCTCTACCCTGGTTCCACCATCTGACTCCCGGAGTCCCTCGGTTTGTTCCCAGCCCCTCTCAGTTGTCTGCATCCCATCCAAACCCTGACACATACTGCCCACCCCAACACACACATACCACCCTCTCCTCCCAGACACTCCTTCACAGGGAGCCTGGTTCCCAGCGAATGCTCCTATGTCCTCTGTCCTGAACAGAAGTCCTTGCTCTGGAAGCACTGCTGAGAGCTCACCTGCCACACCTTCACCTGGGGCATGGGGATAGGCGAGAAATCCCTTGCCTCTCCTTCTGGGTCTCCCCAGAACTCTGTTCCTTACCTGGGCAACCGAGCAGCTGCAGTGCCTCTGCACCTGCTCTGTCCCCAACCCCGGGAGGGCGGCGTCTCAGGGCAGGACAGGGAAGTCTCCCTCACTTGTCCCCTGCAACAGGGGCTGAGCCACAACCGACTGTGGATCTCGGCAGCGACAGTGAGGAGGGAGTCTGCAGCGAGCAGGGGAGGAGAAGGGGAGGACCAGGATGAGGTCAGGGAGGGGAGCGGAGATAGGGCAGGTCCTCCCACCCCTCCCAGGCCCTCCCACATGCCACCCCTCCTCTTCTCCTGCCCCCACCCCAGCCCCCACTCCCTGTCTAGCATCACTGTCTCACCATACCCTCATCTCAACCCCCAGCCCCGGTCTTACCTCCCACGTCCTTTCCCTATGCCATTTTTAGCTCACCCTAATTTTTGCCCAACTTGACACCCCCCACCCTTCCTGCCATTTCTTTTTTCCCCACCATTTCTCCACCTGCTGCCCCTCCTCTCTGACCCCAGTGGTTTCCTCTCAGCCTATATCCTTCCTCATGGCCAGCCCCCTTCCCCTCCCTCCCCCATGCTCCTCTCCCATCTCTTCCCAGCCACTGCTCTAGCTTGGATCTCTGGATCGCACCCCATGTCTATCACCCAGTGCTGGCTCCCTCATCCTCTCACCAGTTCTCCCCTGGCAGTCTGGGGCAGGGAGCAGGGGCAGAGGGCAGGAGGCAAGAGGCAACCTCTTTCTCCAACTGGGACCGTCTCTGGGACCCCAAGTCCCCACCCTGCTCCAGTCCCACCATTTCTATCTTCTCGGCTTATCCCGTCCCCGAGCCACTCCTGCTGTCTGTTCTGTTCAGTCCCTCTCCTGTCACTGCCCCCTTTGCATTCTCCTACCTCAGCAAGTCCCTAGAGAAAGAGCAGGTGAGGCTTGGGCACTGGCAGGGCAAGGGCTTGGGTGAACACTGGGACATACAAGCCTTGGGGAGGAAGCTGGGGTTGGGGCGGACAAGGAAGGAAAGCCTGAAGGTTAGGAGGAAGGTTTAGGGTTGAAGAAAGGGCTAGAGACAGGAGGCAAATATAAGGGTGGGTCACCTGAATAGAGGGTGAAGTGGTGGAAAGCAGGGTGGGGGGCTGGTGCCTGGGTGCTGCGGGGGAGCAGGAACAGAGGCGGGGAGAGGTAGGGGCTGGAGGAAACGGACACGCTGTCTCTGGTCCCAGGCAGAAGACTGACAGCCAGAGGACAGGGGGGACAGGGAGACAGACACACCCCACATAAGTCTGTTGGGTGTTTCCCTAGCTTCATCTCCCCATGTGCTGCCCTGACAAGGAGCTGAAAAAGAGACTTTGCTACAGAGGAGAAATATCCCAGCTGAGTGGGAACCCACTACCCCCAGCTTCACAGTGAGGACTGGGTCTCTCTATCCTGCTACAGACCTCACCACTGAGGTGTAACTTGGCCAAGTCACGGGTGAAAGGTACGTGAGGGAGCCCATATGTGCTTGATTCTGCCACATGGGTGACGGCCCAGGTGTCTGCACACCAGGTCAGATCCCCATGGTGGCAGGTGTGTGGTGTTCCTGGGTCAGGGCGTGCCTGCACTGCATGTGGCTGTGGCCAGATGCCCAGTAAGCTCCATGTGGCCGAGGGCAAAGGCACACATGGGCTTTTGCGTGGGTGTCCCCGTGTGTGTCCGTGTGTCTGGGTGTGTGTGGCTGTTTTTTTCCTGGCTTTGATGGGGAGGATGAAGTCAGCATCTTGGACAGAGCCAGGCTCAGCTTCCTTCCTCTGCCTTGGCCTGAAGCCCCCAGAGCCAGCAGTAGGTAGCAGCTTCCCAAGGATCTCCTGGCAGGAGGTGGGGAGCCCTGCAGTGATAGGAAGAGGGAGGGTCTGGAGACAGTATCACACAGAGGGCAGAACACAGGGTATGAATTTCCTCTGACACCTTCAGATTTCTGTTCCATGGTCATATCCTTTAGTGTGTGTGTGCACGCGCGTGTGCCTATGCCCTATGTCCTGGCTTTATTATTTAGGAAGAATGGTCAACATAAGTACATTTGGCACAGAGAGTGGCCAGGGACCTCAGAGAAGACAGCAAGAAGGATGGTCCTGGGATGTTCTGGAAGCCCACTGTTGGGGTCTCAGAGAGAAATGTGGGATTCCAGATGTACACAAGCTTATAAGGCATTTGGGGAAGCCACTGGAAGCTTAGCAGATATAGTTTCAGGTTCTGAAATTATCTTTGTTTACCATTTGATTCACCCTTTGGTTTCCAGGCTCATGGAGAAGCTCATGTCTTGTATGTTCACATCTTGTAAGAAAAGCACCAAGCCTTGCACAGTGTAGGTGACCAATAAATGCAAGTCAACACTGAAATGTGAAAGGACTGGGAGAGAGGAGGGGGAAAGGGTAAGGAGCCCAGGCGTGAAGGCAGGGAAGCCCAGTGGTCAGAGCTGGGGTTGGCTTCACTGAGGTGTCTGGGTGGTGGTGGGTAGAAAGGTCAGTGTTGTCCAGAACTGTCCACAAGCTCCGGCTGTTCTCTGTAACCTCAGTCCCTGTGTCTTCAGCTCTGAGCCTCCCTCCTTGAATGATCCTCCAAGTTCCTGTCCTGACCTCAGGAGGAAAAGGGATGAAAGATAGAGAAAAGGAAAGGAAAGATAGGGAGGAGAGAAGGCAGACACATAAGAGTAAGGGCAATTGAGGGCAAGGACCTGAAGGATGAAGACAGGGGAACAAGAGATGCCAGGGGCTGCGGTCCAAGAAAGCAGTCCCAGAGAGGGGAAAGATAGAAAACACTTGTGCCGGGCTTCCGTTTACAAAACAGTTTCCTACACAGTGCGGGCATTAATCCCACTTTGTGGCTGAGGAAACGGAGGCTCATAGACATTAAGGGTCTTGTTCAAGGGGCTAAGTCAGTAGTGGTGAAGGTGGGTCTCACCCAGGTGTTCTCATTCCTAAGCCTGTATTCGCTCTTCTCCCCAAACAACTCCAGGAAAGGAAAGGATTGAAGACTTAGGGAACAAATGAAGTGGCTTCTTTGAAGCACTTGTACAAAGAAGGGTGGAGAATCCAGATTTTTGAAACTTTTCTGCATCCAGTTATTGTGTAGATTCACTTAGAAGAAATGGCATCAGATGGGGAAGGGGGTGGTCAACATTCCATTATTGAGAACTGGGGGTCGGGTGAGGATGGGGAACACAGAATGTAAAGACAGAGAGCAGGATGAAAGATGGGAGAGAACTAAGAGGCTACAGCTGAAAAGGGGGCAAGGGAGCCTCAGAAGGAAGGGTTTGGACCCTTAAAACTTCCTTTGCCTAGAGACATGGGTGTGGGGAGAAGGGAGGAGGAAGGACATTTCTATCTCGTGACAAAAGAAAGTCACACAATTGTTTTGTTCTCTGCTCTGAGGCGGGTGGGCGCCTGTATTTACCAGAGGGACCCAGGTCGCTGTGGCAACCACACATCTGGGCCCCGGAATCCAGATGTGCTGTATCCAGAAGCCATAGCAGAACGATGAGGCAAACATCAGGCTCCCCAGTGCTGGCCCCCACAGCTGGGAAGAGGATGGAGAACTGGTGTGGGAAGTAAAGGGAGTGGGGGAAGGAAGGAGGAGGAGAGGACCAAAGTGGGGGAAAAGAGAGGACATAATGGAAAGGGGCAAGAAATGTGGACGAGGGAGCAGAATGGGAAATAGAAAGGGGGCGGCATGAGAAAGGGAGGAGACAAGCACAGGGTCAGCAGCAGCAGCAGATGAGAAGACCAAGAAAAACAAAGGAAAAAGACAGTGAATTTAAAAATATATATATATTTTTAAATAAGGCCAGCACGGTGGCTCATGCCTGTAATCCTAGCACTTTGGGAGGCCAACATGGGAGGACTGCTTGAGGCCAGGAGTTCAAGACCAGCCTGGGTAACATAGCGAGACCCCACTTCTATTTTTAAATTAAAAAAAAAATTTAAGACAGTGAAGCAGTGGATGGGGTGGGGAAGATACAAAAGAAGAAAAAAACAGTGATGAATAATGGTTCAAAAAGAGGTTGTGATAACTGCTAATGAGGTAGAGAGCAAAGAAAGGCAGGAAAGAAGTCTAGAAAGAGGAAGGGAGGGATGATGAGGTCAGGGATGAGAGAGAACAAAAGGTGGGATCCTGAGGAAGAAATGAAGGAGATGGTGGCACAAGGAAAGCAGAACAGAAAGACAAAGTGGGCATAGGGCAGGAGGGGCCAATGAGGTGCAGGAGTGACAGCGACCTGGCATGCTGAGTGGCCTTGGGGGTGTGGCCAGAGGAATGGAGATCCACATGGGCCTAGAAGGCAGCAGCCCAGAGCCTGCCCGGCTTTCACCCTGCATCAGGTACCCACTCACCGTCCTTCTCAATCCTTCCTGCCACCACAATCCCTCAGCCAAGAGAGGTCTGATGTCTCATCCACACCAAAGTGCCAGCTGTCCCTTGCCAATCAGCAGAGGAGCAGGATGTCCCACCCCAGGGTGACCCCTGAGATGCCAGCACTTCAAGTACTTTCCCGAACTGGGGGCAGGAAGGAGGAAGACAATGGGACAACGAAACAGTAATGAACCCAAATGGGATAAAAGTGGAAGAGAGAAGGACAACAGAGATGGGGACAGAAAGGGGCAAGGGATGAGGAAAAGGTGTATCTATTATGGACCAGGCACTGAGGACGTCGTCTTTCATCCTGTCATCAACCCTGATTAGGAGGTAGGAACATCCCATCTTACAGATAAGCAAACTAAGGCTCAGAATGTTTAAGGACATCTACTAACGAAAGGCAGGGTAGGGAATCCAGCTTAGGTGATGTGCTTCCAAAATCCTTGTTCTCACTGCACCCCCTCCAGAGATACGGTGGATAAGGCTCAAGGACTCTGGGATAGAAAGCATAGCTGAGAAGCTGGGCTGCCCTCTGGAGGGAGGAAAGGTCTAGTTCCTGGGATCCCTGGTTCCAGGTTGCCATAGTTACTTGGTCTGTTTTCACCCCAAACACAGTAATGGGTGAGGGCAGTGGGAGGGGTGTGGGGGTTGCCTGGCTGGACACATGAGGTTCTTCCTCCCTCCTTCAGGCCTGGGCTTATGGCCCAGGCAGCCCCTGTCCAGTCATCTGGGCATTGAGCCCAGGCCCAGCTCACACCCTCCAGCTGACCCAGGACACTCCTGCAGGGTCAGGCCTGAGGCACTGCTGAACAGGAGCAGCTGGAGGGGGATTCTTCCAGGTTGGCCTCAGACTCAATCCCTCACTTTGTCCTGCTCCCCTTCCTCCTAATTAGAATGCACAGCCTAGCCAGGCATGGTGGCTCACACCTGTAATCCCAGCACTTTGGGAGGCCGAAGTGGGCAGCCTGGCCAATATGGTGAAACCCTATCTCTATTAAAAATACAAAAATTAGCCGGGTGTGGTGGCGTGCACCTGTAGTCCCAGCTACTTGAGAGGCTGAGGCAGAAGAATCACTTGAACCCAAGAGGCGGAGGTTGCAGTGAGCCAAGATCGCGCCACTGCACTCCAGCCTGGGTGAGAGAGCAAGACTCCGTCTCAAAAAAAAAAAAAAAATTAAAAACATAAGAATGTACAGCTTTTTCTGCCTGCCCCACTCTTGTCTTTGTCTTTCATCTGGACTCTCAAGTCTCAGTCCCCTCCAGTTTAGGGCTTAGAGGATATCCTGCCACATCCCCCTTCCCTTCCAAATATCACCCCTTCTTCACCGAGACCCCCACTTCCTGGGCTCTGAGCCTCTGGCCCCAGCTCTTGTTGTTTGTTTGAGCTGCTCATCCTGGACAGCAAGAAGAGGGGGAGAACCTGCTCGAGAGCAGGAGACCCAGAGGCTGCTCACCCTGAAGGGCGTGGGGCCCCATCTTTCCTGTTGACTCACATTCCAGGGATGCGTATCCTCTAGTCTGTCACGCCATGAGACATCGTTGCTAGACACAGATATACCCCAGAGTTGCAGGGGTGGGGGCAAGGGGATGACATGCGGTCTGTGATCCCGCACCCACCCCACCTCAGAGCCAGCTATGTCTTCAGTGCTTGATTCTTTGATGCTGGCTCTGGAAAAGCCACTTTCCCCCAAACTCCCCATCACGAGCCAGGAAGGCAGCCACCATTCCTTCAACTCCCTCCAAGTTGTTTATTTAATAATAATAAAAAAGAAATGCACACACATAAACCTGAACTCCCCCCCACCCCACCCTCCCTTACTCCCAGTAACTAGCTCCAAAATGAAAAAACTTCCCTTGTCCCACCTGGGGACTAAATTCCCACCTCCACTGCCATAACACTAGAGAAACAAAATAAAAAATATGCAGCAGCTCACCACCCACCCCACAACTGAACCTCACACAATCCCCTCAAACAAAGAAGCCAGGACTGGGGGTTCACAGGAATGAGAGGAGCCCTATATTCTGAAAAGGGATGAGAAGAGAGGTGAACACCCCCACCTCAAATAAGTGCTTAACCCCCACACCTGCTCTTTCCTTTACCAATTGCCCCAAGCCTGGGGATCAGGGAAATTTGAAACAGTCCCACCTGGCCACCTGGTACCCCCTCCCCCCGTTCTAAGTCAGTGTGAATGGCAGAGGTCAGGGATGATTGAGGTAGAGGGGCTGGTGGGAGGCCTGGTGGGCCTGGCTGGCTGCAGAGACTGGCAAGGGGCCACCTGTGGCATTGCCTGGGGTTGGGGATGGCTGTTTTCGGAGCGAGGGGGGCACTGTGGAGGTCTTGATGTGAATCACCCTGGTGTCCATGACCTCACACTCGATCTGCATCATCTCCTCATAGTCCCCCGGGGCCCCACGGCCTGACAGGGTCTCTGTGAGAAGGGGAGAGTTAAGGAAGAGGAGATGGGGAGGCAAACAGGGATTGCAGGGAGGAGGGGAGGAGGTCAGAAAAGTAGAGGTGAGCAGAGAGAAAAAGAAAGGGCAATAGTGAGGAGGCAGATCCATAGCGGGAGTTAAACAGGATGGCAGGGACAGAGTTTGGTGCAGGGGCAAGGAGAGGGTAGGAAAAGAAAAGGGCATTGAGTGTGGGGTCACACAGGAGAGGACATCAAGAGAAAAAAGTAAGTGAGAGTCTAGCAGGTTCCCGGCCCCCCGCCTCTGCCCAGTCATCTACCCAAGCACCTTCACCAGGGAAGGACCCTCACCCTTGTCTCCCTCCCAAGTCTCCTGCATGGTGCTCTTCCCTCCACCTACTTCCTGCTGCTTCTCACCTGTGGGTCCAGCAGCTCTCTGGATGCCCTGCTCCTCTCCCCCTTCCCCCTCAGCTCCCAGGCTGGATCTCCCTGTTGGAACTGCCCCCATACCCAGCAGGGAAAGAGTTACCATTGGGGGCCATGGCAGGCATCACCAGGGACATCTTGGGCCGGGAGGTCTTGTTGTGGCTGATGGCTGGGAGCAGCAGGTGGTCCTGGGGAACAGATGGGCCAGGCCAGAAGGGTGGAGGCAAAGATGCCAACAAGCTCCCCAGCCCTACTCTACATCCCCCCACTGAAGACAGACTGCTGGGAACCTGGGGTGACAGAGATGGAAGGGCAGGAGAAACTCACCCTTCGGAAAGAGACAACATAAAATGTGTCTTCCCGTCGGTCAATTGCATCCAAGAATGCTGGCTGCGAACGGTCTGGGTGGCGATATAGTTGCAGCTGGCCCACAGAATCCCTAGGCAGGTGGGGAAACAGGATTTGAGGGGAACTAAGCCCAATGCTCAGTTTCTACCAGGGAAGCGGGTAGGATGAGAGAAAAAGACAGGAGACCCCCAGTGGAGGAGGGAGGTATAATCCCACTGGTGACAGTAATGACAGGCACAGGACAGCTACTGGGGGTACAGCTCTTGAAAGTGGAATTTCACTTAATAAGTAAGCACCCCACCCCACACTCACCTTTCTGGGGGTCCAGGGGGTTGGATGGGGACTGCCTTAACTGGAGGTGACTTCTTCCGTGGCTGAGACTTCTGGAAGGAGAAGTATCTAAGGACTTGGAGAGGGTGAAGGGAAAAGGGAAAGAGACAAACAGCCCCTGGAAGCTGATGCCACCTCCCACTCAACCCTCCACTTCCTTCAAACGATCCCTCAAACTTCCACAGCGAGATGCCCACTAGAAATCCCCAGACAAGGCCTTTAGCCCTTGTCTTCAAGTGGCCTTCCTTGAACCAGCCACCCGCCCTACCTGTCTCTCCTGGGCCCTCTGAGGGATCTTCCTCCGGCCTCTCTGGTGGCGCTGGACCCAGCCACTCAACTCGTCAGCAAGCCTGGGGAAATGGAGGAGCTCAGGACCTCCATGCCAGGCCAAGATTCCCACCCTCCTTGCCCACCCACAGGAGTGAGGAGAGGGCAGGGAGCACTGGCGCTTTAGTACACAGGCCAGCCAGGCTGACTGCAGAAGGCCTTGGGAGGCCGGGGGAGCTGGATGCCCCAGCAATGAATCCCACACCTCAGGGACTCAGTGCGGTTGAAGTGCCGGCAATCAGAGGAGAGGAAGAGCTGGTCTAGGTCTCTTAGTAGTAGCTCCTTGGCGCCCCCAGGGAAGGCTGTCAGGTTGCTGGAGTGAAGCAGGAAGGAGACAACACTTGGAGACTGCCCAGCACTCCCACAACAAAGAAGGCGATGACGGCAAGAGAAAGCTTTGGGTCCCCCTCACTGAAAGCGGGGAGAAGACCAACTCATACCCTCAAACGAGAGGGGGCCCTCTCTCTCTCTCCTCACCTGAAACTGGGCTGGTCTGTGGGGCTGGGCTGGGGCTCCTTAGGGCCCTGGGAGGACCCCTGGAGAGGTTCAACTCCCTGAACTGGCTCTTGCTCTGAGAACCCCAGCAAGTGTCTCCGGGGTTGAGGCTCCCCCTTGTTCATCCGAGGAGAGATGGGAGCTGAAGGAGGCTCACTGATGCTGTGGATAAAGAAGGACTGAGCACAATGAAGAATTTCAGCTGTATCAAGTATCTAGGTAAGAATAAAGACTCTGCAGATGGACTGCTTGAGTTGCAATCTGTTATACAAGCCTGAGTCTGCCTCTGTAAGATGGGAATAAGGATGGTCCCTACATACAAAAAAGACAGTGCATCACCTAGAGCCTAGAACTCAGTAAGCACTTAATAGTCACTATTTCTACCAGCATTATCACCATCATCTACTCTCCACTGGAAAAATAATGGAGCAGGAGGCCGGGCGAGGTGGCTCAAGCCTGTAATCCTAGCACTTTGGGAGGCTGAGGTGGGCAGACTGCCTGAGCTCAGGAGTTCGAGACCAGCCTGGGCAACAACAGTGAAACCCTGTCTCTACTAAAAAATACAAAAAATTAGCCGGGCATGGTGGCGTGCGCCTGTAGTCCCAGCTACTTGGGAGGTTGAGGCAGGAGAATCACTTGAACCCAGGAAGCAGAGGTTGCAGTGAGCCGAGATCGTGCCACTGCACTCCAGCCTGGGCAACAGAACAAGGCTCCATCTCCAAGAAAAAAAGACAAATAATGGAGCAGGAAGGGGCTGGCCAGACACATCATCGGTGCCAAGGACACCAGAACCATTTGTATATAAGCAGAAGGAAATGGCCTGGGCCAAAGCAGGCAGCTAGGAGGCTGTAACGTGGGCTCCACCTGGAAGGTTCTAGTGAAGCAAGGAAGGTCTCACCTGACAGGTCCAAAGTTGAAGGCAATGAAGAGAAGGAAGACCATGATGCAGACCACCTTCCTGTTTCCAGACCCTAACTTGAGCTCGCTGTTCTAAGGTACAAAGAAGGAGACAAGAAAAAGGGGAATCATTCCAAGGAGGCTGTATTCCTGTTGGTCTCCCAGGGACAGACTGGTCTTACTTCAGCCAGCAGGGCCTCCAGCCGCCGCCGGAGGGCAGCATTCTCTCGGCGGAGCTGCTGGTTGTCAGCCAGTACTGCTTGCAGCCGAGCCTCCAGTCCCTGCAGATACTCTTTCTTCTTTCTCCGGGACTGGCAGGCTGACTCCCGGTTCTTGATCATTCGCTGCTGCCGCTTCAGCAGCTTTGCCTAGGCACCCGGAAGGTCAAAAAAGAATGACAGATGAGTTGGCAGAAGGAGACTATGCTCTCAAACCCCAAGGAATGATTTACCCAAAGCTCACATGGCCATTCCCCTGCCTTCCTGACCCACCTACATAGCCAGAGAGGTTTTTCCTCTCTACTCAAACACGCTAGGGAAGGGGCCCTTCTTTCAAACATTCCCTGCTACTGCTCCTCAGAGGTGGGAAAGGTTAGAGTGTGGGAAGAACTTTCTCCATGCTGGTGGAAACTCTTTCCTTCGTAACTCTTTCTTCCTGTCAGCCCACATTTGTAGGGTTCAAAGTTTAACCTTGTTATACTGCTTATACAGTTTACCTGATTTTCCCCTAGGAGGCAGCCTCCCTCCCCAACTATGGCCATGACCGTAGTCGTATAGTACAGTACGACTTCCTTGCCTTTAATTTATGGAGACCAACCCCATTTCTCCATCTGCAGTGACAGCAAACCTAAAGGACCCTAAAACTACCTGGAGTTGATATTCATATAGAAACAGGAGTCCATTCTGACCCTCAGAATGATCTAATGGGTCCGTTTCCTCACTTTTTTCTCCTAGGTATCGACTCCCTCCTCATCCCACAGTTCTCTCTATGGCAAGACTTCCCTCTTCCCTTCCCATCACTCGCCCTACTTCTCTCCTCCCCAACACTTACATCCACTTCAGGCGGGCAGGAGTTTCCAGGCATAGGAGCGGGAACGATGCTCTTCCTCTCAGGCCGTGGTAGAGAGGGAGCCGGCCCTTCAGGCTGGACTCGAATAGCACCCTGGATGAGGACAACTGGGGACACTGGGGCAAGTGAGCAGAGGTCAGAGGGCTGTGCGCTGGGTGGGGTCCTTGTGTCCACACCCACACAAGAGCACCCAAGGATTGGGCAGCCTCAATGGCTGCAAGCTCTCTGACAGGGTCAATGCAGCCCGCCTCCTTTTCTCCTTTTTTTCTTTTTTGAGATGCAGTCTTGCTCTGTCGACCAGGCTGGAGTGCAGTGGTGCGATCTCGGCTCACTGCAAGCTCCGCCTCCCGGGTTCACGCCATTCTCCTGCCTCAGCCTCCCCAGCAGCTGGAACTACAGACGCACGCCACCACGCCTGGCTAATTTTTTTGTATTTTTAGTAGAGACGGGGTTTCACTGTGTTAGTCAGGATGGTCTCGATCTCCTGACCTTGTGATCCGCCTGCCTTGGCCTGCCAAAGTGCTGGGATTACAGGCGTGAGCCACTGTGCCTGGCCTTTTTTTTTTAATTAATTAATTAATTTTTATTTTTATTTTTTGGTTTTTCTTTTTTCTTTTTTTTTTTTTTGAGACAAAGTCTCGCTTTGTCGCCCAGGCTGGAGTGCAGTGGCATGATCTCGGCTCACTGCAACCTCCGCCTCCTGGGTTCAAGTGATTCTCCTGCCTCAGCCTCCCGAGGAGCTGGGATTACAGGCGCCTGCCACCACTCCACGCTAATTTTTGTATTTTTAGTAGAGACAAGGTTTCACCACGTTGGCCAGGCTGGTCTTAAACTTCTGACCTCAGGTGATTCGCCCGCCTCAGCCTCCCAAAGTGCTGGGATTACCGGCGTGAGCCACCATGCCCGGCCCTTTTCTCCTTCTTCAGTACCTGGGGGTGGCTGGACGAGGGACTGCAGAAGGACTGTGGTGCTGGGAGGCACAGCTCTGGATGGCATTGGGACAGTGGTTAGCACTACAGGTTTGGGCTGCAGTGGCGGCTTCCGGGTGGGCAGGGCTTTGCCTGAAGGAAGGTGAGAGAAAAGAACAAGAAATGTCAGGACCAAAGGCCTCTCACTAGGGATTCCAAGTGTCAGGAGACTCCATTACCTGAGGAGCCATCAAGGGATGGGCCCATGCTGATCTGGACAGCTCCAAGTGAGGGGGCTGGGACATCCCACAGGAGGCATCCTGAAGGGGACAGGGACTCTGTCTTCACTTCCAGGACCTCCTCTCCTATAAAAGCCTATGTGGGGCATTCCAGAGATACATTAGTCAGGAAGAGTGTCGAGGAGAAGGAGCTGAAGAAGGGAAAGCTCTCATACCTCTAGGTCAGGAGGAACTCACTGGAAAACCTGGAGGAAGGAAGGAAGGTGGTGCTCACCTGGCTGGAGGAGTCGGCTGAGAGCAGGGAGGCCTCAGAGTTGACGGAAGAACATGGAGAGACAGGTTCTATCTTGGTCTGGACATCTGTGGGAGGCAGGATGAGGCAAAAGCTGGATATCATGTAAACACTGAAGGGTTAAGAGGGTTAAGATGGGAGGCTGGGCATGGTGGCTCACGCCTGTAATCTCAGCACTTTGGGAGGCCAAGGCGGGCAGATCACCTGAGGTCAGGAGTTCAAGACCAGCCTGACCAACATGGAGAAACCCCGTCTCTACTAAAAATACAAAATTAGTCGGGCATGGTGGCGCATCCCTGTGTCCCAGATACTCAGGAGGCTGAGGCAGGAGAATCGCTTGAACCTGGGAGGCAAAGGTTGCAGTGAGCCAAGATCGCGCCATTGCACTCCAGCCTGGGCAAGAAGAGCAAAACTCCATCTCAAAAAAATAAAAAAGAGGGTTAAGATGGGGAAATGGGTCCTTTCTCTTTGAACCTGAAAATAAAACTCTTCTGGCCCTAGATTACAGGCCATCCAGGAGGGGCAGTCACAGAGCTGCTCACCTGCTGGCTCTCCGCCCCGCTTTTCGCCTAGTGCTTCCCTTTCTCCTTTAGTGGCTCCTCTGATTTTTCTCATCCCTGCTCCATGTTCCTCAAAGCTGTCTTTGCCCTTCTGCGTTTCCCTCTTTCTTGTTCACAGAACTTGTCTATTCACATAGAATAGGCCTGAGCAGGGGAAGTGGCAGGGGGGTCTCCAGCATTCACATGGCCCAAATTCCTATCTTGCTGGATTTCCACCTTATCCCTGCCCAATGCATCTCCATGCTGACAACCGCCAAGTGTGCATCTCCCCCTGGCTGCTCACCTGCACCAGATTCTGACTTCCAAGCTGCCTGCTGGTCCCTTCCATTCTCATGCCTCACCAGTCACCCAAATCTAACTGGCCATAAATGAGGCTTCCTGATTGCCCCGTCACACAAGTTTTCCTCCCAGGCACCAAACAGCAAAGCCTCAGTCACCTCTGAGCCTCCATGGCCTCCAATAAATCTGCCTTTATGACTTGTTGATCACTCCATGAAAGAAAATGCTAGGCCCCATGTCGGTGAAATAAAACCCTTCTGAGGGCCAGATTCAGCCCACAGGTCAACAGTCCACCACTACCTCTGGTCCATACCGTTCACTTTGGTACTTAATTATATGATCACTAAGATTGCTTTTTAAAACTTCAATTTATATTTTTGAATAGATAATACAGTCATGATACAAATCCAAACGAACAAAGGAAAATTAAGTCAAAAAAAAAATCTTGGCGGGGCACGGTGGCTCACGCCTGTAATCCCAGCACTTTGGGAGGCCGAGGCAGGTGGATCACGAGGTCAGGAGATCGAGACCATCCTGGCTAACACGGTGAAACCCCGTCTCTACTAAAAAAATAGAAAAATTAGCCAGGCGTGGTGGCGGACGCCTGTAGTCCCAGCAACTTGGGAGACTGAGGGAGGAGAATGGCATGAACCCAGGGGGCGGAGCTTGCAGTGAGCCGAGATTGCGCCACTGCACTCCAGCCTGGGTAGAGCGAGACTCTGTCTCAAAAAAAAAAAAAAAAAAAACTTCCCTTCCCGGTCCTCCAGTCACTCAGATTCCCTACACAGAGATAACCACTATCAGAACTATTTAACCATGGCTGGGCATGGTGGCTCACGCCTGTAATCCCAGCACTTTGGGAGGCCGACACCCAACGCAGGTGGATTGCTTGAAGCCAGGAGTTTGACACCAGCCTGAACAACATGGCAAAACCCTGTCTCTACCAAAAATACAAAAAAATAGCCGGACATGGTGGCACGTGCCTGTAGTCCTAGCTATTAGGGGGGCTGAGGCAGGACAATAGCTTAAACCCAGGAAACGGAGGTTGCAGTGAGTGGAGATCACGCCAATGCACTCTAGCCTGGGTGACAGGGCAAAACTCTGTCTCAAAAAAAAAAAAAAAAAAAAAAAAAAGGGAACTATTTAACCATGATGTATTATAACCCTCACAAAACTCTCCAAAAGCAAGAACTATGTCTCATGTCCATTGAGGGTAAAGTACAGGCCCTCAAAAAATACCTAAGTATGGAGGAGAATCTGACTCTAATAACACTATGCAATGCAAAGCCACCAACAATCCTTACAATCCTTTTGCTGCTAATAGCAGTGGGCGATCTCGGCTCACTGCAAGCTCCGCCTCCCGGGTTCACCCCATTCTCCTGCCTCAGCCTCCCGAGTAGCTGAGACTACAGGTGCCTGCCACCATGCCTGGCTAATTTTTTGTATTTTTAGTAGAGATGGCGCTTCACTGTGTTAGCCCGAATGGTCTTGATCTCCTGACCTCGTGATCTGCCCGCCTTGGCCTCCCAAAGTGCTGGGATTACAGGTGTGAACCACTGTGCCTGGCCTGCTAATGGTATTTCAATCCTTATTTTGTGTATCTTTTTTATAACATGTATTAATCTGCTAGATATAATCTGTTTGTCCCTCCAAATCCACTTTCCATCCCTCCCTGCTGTGCTCCCTGAGATCCAGGGAGAATCTGAATGGACTGCATCAGCGGGCTCCCTGGTTGGAGTTCAGCCAGTGAGAGATGGTGCCAGGAGATCCAGAAGGTACTTTGAAATCAACAATCAACATGTCAACTGGGCATGGTGGCTTACGCCTGTAATCCCAGCACTTTGGGAGCCAAAGTGGGTGGATCACCTGAGGTCGGGAATTCAAGACCAGCCTAACATGAAAGAAGCCCTGTCTCTACTAAAAATACAAAATTAGCCAGGCGTGGTGGAGCATGCCTGTAATCCCAGCTACTCAGGAGGCTGAGGCAGGAGAATCGCTTGAACCCAGGAGGCAGAGATTACAGTGAGCCAAGATCACACCACTATTGCACTCCAGCCTGGGCAACAAGAGTGAAGCTCCATAACAACAACAACAACAGAATCAACATGTCCAACGCTGAATTCATCATCTTCCCTGACCAGAAAGCCCCTGCTTTTGCAGTCTCCATCCAGTGAACAGTAACATCACCCACCCACAGCCATCCTAGCCACAAACCTCTTTGACTCCTACCTCTCTCCAATGTCCAGGAGGTCACAACTCATCTATTCCACTTCATTCTTTCTCAAGTCTGCTTTCTTCATGACATCCGAATATCTTACTTGATCAACTGCATAAGCTTCTTCCTTGGTTCTCTTGCCTCTGGCCCTGCCCCTCTGCAACCCATTCTCTACTTTGCCACTAGAATCATCTTCCTAATCATATTACTTCCCTGCTTAATTCTCCAAAGGCCCCCACCTATCCACAGGATAAAAGCTAAGAGCCCCTTAGCAGGGGCCCCACCTGGCCCTGTAGCCCCTGCAGTTCCACATCACTCCCCAAATCCTTCTTACATCCACTCTGAAGAAATGCAGGGTCCTCAGACACAAGTCAACCCCCACACTGTCCTCCTGGCTAATTTCTACGTGTCCTTTAAAACTCTCAGGAAACCCTTCTTCCAGGGGCACATCCCAGATTCAGCGCCAATGTGGATGAAATGTCCCCTCTTATGAGCTTTCATGGTACCCTCTAGTGATTTTTTTTTTTTTTCCAGACGGAGTCTTGCTCTTTTGCCCAGGATGGAGTGCAGTGGCGTGATCTCGGCTCACTGCAAGCTCCGCCTCCCGGGTTCATGCCATTCTCCTGCCTCAGCCTCCCAAGTAGCTGGGACTACAGGCTAATTTTTTGTATTTTTAGTAGACACGGGGTTTCACCATCTTAGCCAGGATGGTCTCAATCTCCTGACCTCGTGATCCGCCCACCTCGGCCTCCCAAAGTGCTGGGATTACAAGCATGAGCCACCACACCCAGCCCCACCTCTAGTGATTTCTATCCTAGAATGACCACACCTGTATTGACTGGTACTTGTCTTTCTCCCATTACCAAATCACAGGGTTTGAAAGTCAGCATGGTGGTCAGGTCTTGTTCATCTTTGCATTCCCAGCATGCTGCTCAGTATCTGGCATGGAGTAGGTGCTTAATAAATATTTCTTTTTTATAATTATTATACCTCAGATATGATCACATCAATAAACATTTACTAAATACACAGCTACGAGTAAATAAACTTGGGAACACTTTAAAAATAGAACAAATAATGTTAATTGTAGAATCTAGTTTAGTATATGGTGTTCTAGCCTTTCTGTATGTTTAAAAATGTTTATGGGCTGGGCGCGATGGCTCACGCCTGTAATCTCAGCACTTTGGGAGGCGGAGGTAGGCGACTCATGAGGTCAGGAGTTCAAGACCAGCCTGGCCAACATGGTGAAACCCCATCTCTACTAAAAATACAAAAAATTAGCTGGGCGTGGTGGTGGGTGCCTGTAATCCCAGCTACTTGGGAGGCTGAGACAGGAGAATCACTTGAACCTGGGAGGTGGAGGTTGCAGTGAGCTGAGACCACACCACTGCACTTCAGCCCGAGCGACAGTGTGAGACTCTGTCTCAACAACAACAAAAATGTTTATAATAAAATGTTGGGTGGAGGGGAATCACACAGATACATATGCCCTAAACTGCTCACAAGTTTTTAAAAAGTAAGTTGAATGGCATGACAGAATACTAGGAACAAGAAAAAGAGAGAAAAATAATATCCATCTCCTCAGCACTGCCCTTGCTGTGGTTCCCTGAAATGTTTCCTCTCCTTCCTGCCTTCCCTCCTGGTTTTCTGCCATTTCCCCTCCCCACCTTTTTCTCCCTGTCCTGCTGCCTGCACTTCCCCTCCATCTACACACATACACACACACACATAACACATTCTCCCGTAGTAGAGCCAAGGATTGGGGGCAGGCTGTTTTATTACCTGAGGAATCATCAGAGGTGGGGATAACGTTGATCTGGACGGTTTCAAATGAGGATGTTGGGTCATCTCCCAGGAGACACAGTGGGGGTGCCAAGGACTCTGTCTTCACATGGAGCACCTCCCCTACCCCAAGAGCCTGGGTGAGAGTTGGTGTGGGGCAGGGGGCAGAAAGAAGGGCAAAAAACAAGGGAGATGTTGACAGTAAGAGCGAGAACAAAAGCTTTAGAAGTTTAGGGCTTACAAGCCATCAATTATTTGACATTCTGGTCTGAATGGTACTGACCATCTTTCTAACCTGTTCATTCTTTCTACTTTATTTCTGGGAGAATTGATGAAGTCTCATGACTTCAAATATGGCCTCAGAGTGGACAACTTGGGCAAGAACAGTTCCAGAATTCTCAGCAGTCAATAACTCTCTTCTTCCCAGCCCCACATAACTCTTTATATTAAAAAGACCCAAGATCAGGCGTGGTGGCTTATACCTGTAATCCAAGCACTTTGGGATGCCAAGGTGGGAGGATCACTTGAGCCCAGGAGTTTAAGTCCACTCTGGGCAACATAGGAAGACCCCATTTTTACAAACAATAAAAAAAATTAGCCAGACATGGTGGCATGTGTCTGTGGTCCCAACTACTCAGGAGGCTGAGGCAGGAGGATCACCTGAGCTCAGGAGGTCAAGGCTACAGTGAGCTGTGACCCTGTCACTACACTGTAGTTTGGGTGACAGAGGGAGGCCCTATCTCAAAAAAAAGCAAAAAACAAAAAACAAACAAACAAAAAAATCTTCACTGCTAGATAACCAAAGGGGATGTGGAAAATGAAGATATTAAGGAAACGGCAAAGGTAGTGGAGAAGGCCCCCCACACCTCACACACCTCATGACTCATAGCACACAAATCATTTAAATCATTTCTTTGTCACCCACGGGTGAAGGGAATGAAGCAGAGTCCCCGTCACAGAGAGTAAGAGGGATATGGCTCTCTCACCTCGCTGGATGGCTCTGTGGAGAGACGCGATGACTCGGAGCTGAGGGAGGAGGAAGAGCAGGGGGAAGATGGCTCAGACTTCACCTGAAGATCTGGAGGAAAGGGAGTTAGAAATTATCAGGAAGCAGAGCTTAAGAAGAGTCCAAAAAGTACCCAAGGACATGTCGGTGGGGATTCCTGTACCGCAGCAAGGGAGAAGAAACAAAAATAGGGGATTGAAGGAGAGAGGATAGGCACTTATGTAGAAGCGTGAGGATATAGGAAGCTACGTAGTTTCTGGGAAACAGTGGGAAGATGAGGGTTTCTGGAAATCTGAGGGAACGACAAAGACTACCTTACCTGGGAAGATCGGCAGGAGTTCCCATGGGGGCTCAGAGGGGCTGACATCCATCCCCACGTCCAGGGAGCTGCCGTCAAACTAAATAAGGGAGGATACAAGAGGGCAGGAGTGTGAGAAAGGATGAGAAAGTAGGGGTGACTCCAGATGAGTTATGGCCTGTGAATGGGTCCAGGTTCTGGGCTCACTTTCCACCCACCAAGGGTTAGAGAAAGGCTGGGGACACAATACCGGGACATCCTGCTCCGGGCAACGGAAGAGCTGCGTCTGCTCCTCGGCCACTTCATCTAGGCCAGAATACAAGGTGCTGTCTGCAAGAAATGCTGAGCGTCGGGGGGTCGTTCGGTGGCCCCAGCCTACAGATCGCACACAAGCCCCCGCCCCATCCCTCATTGGCTCCGCTCGGCCAGACCCACCGCCCGCCCACTTGAAAAGTGATACAACCAGGGCGCTTCAGCCCCTCCTTCCCCGACCCCGGAACAACTCGACGTTCCAGCAGGGAGCAGAGTTCTTCCCTGACTTTTGTATCCCCCTTAATGCACAACGAGCCCCCTGCTCCGCTCTCCTTCAGATGGCGGATTCCGTATTTGCCCAGACTTCCTCTTTAGGCCCCCGCTTCTTTCCCGCGTGCCTCAGGGACAGTTTGCCACAGCCCTCTCCCCTCCCCGGTGCCTCACTCTGCAGACCCCAGTCCTCCGGGCTAAGCAGGTTGTCGGTGAAGAAACGCGTCGGGTCAGCAATCTCGCTGAGCAGCATCAGCTCCGCCATCTTTCCCCCCCACCCCCCAACCAGGAGACGGTTCCCAAGGCCCGCCTCTCCCCATCACCAACTAATCAGTTGACTCTTTCAAAAAAGGGGGCGTCCCGGAAGCTCTACCGACCAGTAAGAGACCTGGGTGCTGAGCACGTGAATCAACAGATGCGGATGACTGTGTAGGCGGGCCCAATGGGAGCACAGCAGCAGGAAGTAACTTCCAGACAGTGCCATACCGCCAAGCGCATGCGCCAAACAGGCTCCAGTGATAAAGCGCCTGGGAGATGTAGTACCCAGTATTAAGGTCCACCATCTCCCCCAGCCACTACTAAGTTTAGTTTAGACAGCTTCTATGTGTCCTCGGAGATAGATAAGCCCCTCAAAAGGGGCGCACTGTGACCACTGCTACCTCCCCTAGGAAGCCAAAAGCTGAGAATGGGATATGGGCTGAAACCTTCCCTCTGGCCCCCCACCCCCAAATCTCACAGCACAGACCACAATTCACAAGTTCCTGTCTCTTTTAAGGTTTAACTTTTAATCAGCCAAACATCTTGCGCAGACCCTGAGCCAGCCCTGCATCCTGGTTCTTCCCCTGAATGACCACCTTCCCCAGTTCCTCCTGGGCTGCCCGGTTTTTGGGATCTATCGCCAGCACCTTCTTGAGGTCAGCAGTTGCTTTTTCCAGGTTCCCAAGGGCAGCCTGGGCAACCCCCCTTCGGTATAAGGCCTTTAAATGGCCAGGCTCCCGCTCCAACACCCGGTCACAGCTCTGGGCTGCCAACTGAGGCTGCCCTAGCAACAACTGACAGGCAGCCAGATTGGCATGAAGGACAGTTCGTTCTGGAGGGCCAGGTGGGGGTAAAGTCAGGAGCAGCCGAAGAGCCCGTCCATAGCATCGGGCAGCTCCTTCAGGGTTCCCAGCTCGAAATAGTTCTGTGCCCCTTGCACGTTCTTCCCTGGCCAGGGCTTCCTTCTCGCTAGTCTCCAGCTCCCAGGAGTCTCGGCCTTGAGTGAAGGATGCCAGTGTGAGCCTGACAGGAGGTCCAGAGTGCCCAGGCAGCTGAAGCTCTGCTTCCTCACCTTGACACATGGACTCCAAGCATTTCTCTATGAGCTCCCCCCAAGTTTCCTCCCTCCATGGCCCTACGCCCATAGTTAGCTCTGTCCAGCCCTCTGGCGGCCCTGATCCGAAAGGAAACCCCAAAGCCAGTACCCGGCAGCAGGAGCCTAGTTTGGGTTTGTCCAAGCCATGGCCACGGATTACGATCTTCTTGACAAAGCTCCCATCGGGGCAGTACCAGAGATCAGAAGCTTGAAGGGCCTCTGGCATCTGACTGGTTGATCCATGAGACTTATGAGAGTCTCCTTCAAGTTCAGCAACCAGTTTTTCAGCTCCTTGAGTATGCTCTAGAATTTGGCTGGCTGGATCTGGGCTTACTTCCAGCTCAAGCGTTTCGGTAGGAGGGTCTCGGGGCTGCTGCCTAATCTGAATAACTGAATCAAGGTTCTCCCGAAGGTTCTTTTCCCACTCTTGTTGCGGCTGAGAGGTGTCCTTTTCTCCAATTGTATTGACTGGTGGCGTCTCCATATGGATGCTTAGTCCCTTCCACGGTGAGTGAACAGTTTTGGTCAGAAAGGGATGAACCAGGTTCAGGTCAGCACCTGAAAAGAAAACCAAACAATGCTAATAGCAGGGTTCTTATTTAGACTCCTTTCTCGTCCTTTCCCATTCTTCTGAGACCCAGGCCCCTAGTCCTGAAAGTCCCCAGTTTTGCTTTCCTCCAAAAATCTGCTCCAGCTTCCCCGTTCCACCCACATATAATTTAGAACTATAAATTCCACAATTCCCTGCGGTTAAGGTAGCCGCGCCAACTACGGACACCCGGTCGGGTCAATAAGTACCTGCGCGGCCAAAGTGCCTAGCATGGTGACAGGAGGAGCCGGGCCATTCGAATCACCTCTCCTTCCAAAGCTAAATGGCTACTGAATGCTGCCCTCGGAGCCTTGCCCCACGCGGAGAGGGCAGCCGGAGAGGGGCGCGGTGCGGGAGGCGGGGGTAGGGGGCGGAACAACTGGGAAAGATACTGACAACTAACCCTGGAGCCCGCGAGACTCCGAATCTAGTCAAATTCCTGGCAGCCAATCGGGAGAAGGGAGGAATCTGGTTAGCCCGCCTATTGAACGTGACATCATTTCCTCCGCAACCATGAAGCTCCAGGCCTTAGCAACTGAACTAGGCCAGAGCAACCGAACTAGGCAGAATCGAACAGAATTTGGCGCGGTCGGGCTGGCCAGGCTGCTCAAGAGTCAAAGTGGGCCAACATGGTGAGACCCTGTCTCTACTAAAAATACAAAAATTAGTAGGTCATGGTGGCGCGCGCCTGTAATCCCAACTACTCGGAAGGCTGAAACAGGAGAATCGCTTGAACCCGGGAGACAGACGTTGCAGTGAGCCGAGATCACACCATTGCACTCCAGCCTGGGCGACAGAGCGAGACTAGAGACTCCGTCTCAAACAAAAAAAAAAAAAAAAAAAAAAAAAAAAGGTGGGCCGGGCGCGGTGGCTCACGCCTGTAATCCCAGCACTTTGGGAGGTTGAGGTCAGGAGTTCAAGACCAGCCTGGCCAACATGGTGAAACCCCGTCTCTACTAAAAATGCAAAAATAGCTCGGCGTGATGGCGGGCGCCTATATCCCAGCTACCCAGGAGGCTGAGGCAGGAGAATGGCTTACCTGGGAAGCGGAGGTTGCAGTGAGCCGAGATCGCGCCATTGCACTCCAGCTTTGGCAACTGAGACTCTGGGAGGCTGAGGTGGGCGGATCACGAGGTCAGGTGATCGAGACCATCCTGGCAACATGGTGAAATCTCGTCTCTACTAAAAATACAAAAAGTTAGCTGGGCATGGTGGCGTGTGCCTGTAATCCCAGCTACTTGGGAGGCTGAGGTGGGAGAATCGCTTGAACCAGGGAGTCGGAGGTTGCAGTGAGCCGAGATGGTGCCACTGCAATCCAGCCTGGCGACAGAGCAAGATTCCCGCCTCAAAAATAAATAAATAAATAAATAAAAAGCCGGGCATCGCGCACGCCTGTAATCCCAGCAATTTGGGAGGCCGAGGCGGCGGGGGGGGGCGGGGCGGGGGGAGGGGGCGGGGCGGCGGGGGGATCACTTGAGGTCAGGGGTTCGAGACCAGCCTGGACAACATGGTGAAACCCCGTCTCTACTAAAAATACAAAAAATTAGCTGGGCGTGGTGGCGGGCACCTATAGTCCCAGCTACCCGGGAGGCTGAGGCAGGAGAATGGCATGAACCCGGAAGGCGGAGCTTGCGGTGAGCCAAGATCGTGCCACTGCGCTCCAGCCTGGGCGACAGCGCAAGACTCCGTCTCAAACAAACAAACAAACAAACAAAAAGTCAAAGTGTAGAGAAGTCCTGGAATGGAGACTGGGGGCGGATGACAATAGAGTGGAGAATGGCAGAGGTCGTGGTAAATGATAGTGGCAGCAGCCTTTTATCTGGAGACTTCAGGCCCTCCTATGCTAACTATCTTTATGTTCAGAGCTCATTCAGTACAGGGTGTTCTCCAGGATAAAACCTCGGGACTCTCTCTCCAACCGGCCCTGTCCCTTGGGTGACTACCTGAGGCTTCTCTTTACCTTTCCTTTCACATCCATCATTGCCTTTCAAGTCCTCCTTCATCAAGAAATCTTAGTGCTTTTCAAACATAAGTGTGCATACATATCACCTAGGGAACTTGTTAAGTTGCAGATTATGATTTAGGAAGTCTGTTGTGGGGCCTGTGATTCTGCATTTCAATAAGCTGGTTAATGCAGATGCTGCTGGTTCATAAACCGTATGTTTTTCTTTTTTTTTTTTTTTTTTTAGAGAGATGGGGTCTGCTGTGTTTACCAGGCTGGTCTCAAACTCCTGGCCTCAAGCCATCATCCCATCTCAGCCTCCCAAAGTGCTGGGATTATAGGTGTGAGCCACCACACCCAGCAATGAACCAATGGGATGAGATTCTAGAACAGTCTCATCCCATTGTCTTCTCCCCTGGCTCTGTGCCCCTTTAGTTTATCCTACATTTTACATGTATAACTGGTGTGACCTGCTCCACTGGATGTTGCAGGTTCTCCTCCTAATAGAAGATGTAGAGACCTATTGTGATTCAGTCTTGCTTGTCCAGCTACCTACACAGCCTGGGCTACCACAGTTCTCCAGGAAAGAAGGATCCCTCTCTTGAGTACCTCACTTTGGCTCCCTCTTAAGTTTGCTCTCACCATTGTGCCTCAGACTATAAAAACCATGCCAGGACAGCCAGGAAGGGAGACGGTTTCATCATTAGCCAAAGACTTGTGTCAAAACAATTCTCTCCCTGGTTTTGTTTGTTTGTTTTTGTTTTTTTGTTTTTTGTTTTTTTTGAGACGGAGTATCACTCTGTCACGCAGGCTGGAGTGCACTGGCGAGATCTCGGCTCATTACAACCTCTGCCTCCCAGGTTCAAGCGATTATCCTGCCTCAGCCTCCCAAGTAGCGGGGATGACAGGCACCTGCCACCATGCCTGGCTAATTTTTGTATTTTTAGTGAAGATGGGGTTTCACCATGTCAGCCAGGCTGGTCTCAAACTCCCGACCAGAAGTGATCTGCCCACCTCGGCTTCCCAAAGTGTTGGGATTACAGGCGTGAGCCACGGCGCCAAGGCAGGCGGATCACTTTAGGTCAGGAGTTTGAGACCAGCCTGGCCAACATGGTGAAACCCCGTCTCTACTAAAAATACAAAAATTAGCTGGTGTGGCGCATGCCTGTAGTCCCAGCTACTCAGGAGACTGAGGCAGGAGAATCGCTTGAACCTGGGAGGCGGAGGTTGCAGTGAGCTGAGATCGCGCCACTGCACGGAGGCCGAGGCGAGCGGATCACAAGGTCAATATGGTGAAACTCCGTCTCTATTAAAAATTCAAAAATTAGCCTGGCGTGGTGGCACACGCCTATAGTCCCAGCTACTTGGGAGGCTGAGACAGAAGAATCGCTTGAACCCAGGAGGCGGAGGTTGCAGTGAGCCAAGATCACACCATTGCACTCCAGCCTGGGCGACACAGCAAGACTCTGTCTCAAAAAATAAATAAATAAATAAACACAAATACAAATATAGGCATTGAAACCCCTAAAAAAAACCTAATCCAAATCATCATGTATGAAAATATTTCTCTTTTTAAAAATATGGCCCATCAAGAGGTAAGCACAAACTTAAAGTTTTAGAAGAGTTCCCCAGAGAAGATAGCCATGGACCTGTAGATTCCCCCTAGTCTTAACTTGAGAAACACAGGACTAGGAAGGGACCAACAACCTGTGAAGATTCAGAAATAGGAAAGAGTGGCCAGGCGCAGTGGCTCATGCCTGTCATCCCAGCACTTTGGGAGGCCAAGGTGGGTGGATCACTCGAGGTCAGGAGTTTGAGACCAGTCGGGCCAACATGGTGAAACCCCGTCTTTACTAAAAATACAAAAATTAGGCTGGTGTGGAGGTGTGTGCCTGTAGTCTCAGCTACTTAGGAGGCTGAGGCAGGAGAATCGCTTGAACCCGGGAGGCAGAGGTTGCAGTGAGCCGAGATCACACCACTGCACTTCAGCCTGGCGACAAAGTCGCCTTATCCAATTTCCTTTCCTTTCCTGAGGTAGAAAGGAATTTGAGAAATTCTGTCTCAAAATAATAATTTGTAAAAAAAGAAATAAGAAAGAGTATAGGCTCTCCCCCAAAGTGTAGATACTACATGCTTGTTGACTGACTCACACTATCTCCCTCAAGTCTAATTGTGCCAGAGCTCAGCTCTTTGGAGGCAGTCATCAAGGAATCAAGACGAAAGAGAGCCACAAACCAGGAAGATTATATCCTTAAGCCTGGCTAGAGAACAAGACATTTGAGAAAGATACATAAAGAGGATGACAAGTGAAATTTGCTTATCTGTTGGGATAGATGCTTGGACTGGAAAGTGGGGAAACAGCAATGTCTCTCTCCTCTCCCTTTCCCCTAAAGATTTGAGAATGAAATGGAAGATGAGCAGGCATGAGAGGAAGAGATGAAAAGGAATCTTCTTCCCCAAGGGACTGGATCCAGTCTCTTCTTGTCACTACAAATTGTCCTCTGCTCCCTCTCTTCCTTTGGTGTTGCAGGGACCAACATCACCAATACCTCCAGAAATCGTGTGAATGCAAATGGGACATACTTACCCCGTCTTGCTACACAGAAACCTCTCGAAAAGTGAGACTCTGGGTTAAGAAGGTCAAAGAGGGCCAGGTGCAGTGGCTCACGCCTGTAATCCCAGCACTTTGGGAGGCCAAGGTGGGCAGATCACATGAGGTCAGGAGTTCGAGACCAGCCTGGTCAACATTGTAAAACCCCATCTCTACTAATAAAATATAAAAATTAGCCAGGTGTGGTAGCGGGCGCCTGTAATCCCAGCTACTTGGGAGGCTGAGGCAGGAGAATCGCTTGAACCTGGGAGGCAGAGGTTGCAGTGAGCCAGGATCACACCATTGCACTCCAACCTGGGCAATAGTGTGAAACTCCGTCTCAAAAAAAAAAAAAAGGTCAAAGAGACATCTAGGAGAATGCAAGAACTTGGGAGGAGGGCAATAATTCTGCTCTCTATGATTGCAGAATGTTAACTCCATTTTGGAACAATTCTCCACTCCTTTAAGTGAAGAAAATTGGACTGAGGGAAACCATATTTGACAAGTTTCTGGGGATTTACCTGCAAATATATTTACATCTTACCTGGAGTCACTTCCCTCCTTCCTTTTTTCTGGGTCCTCCCCTTCTAAGATGGCTCAGAGAAACTGGCCATACTCTGTTATTCTCCTTGTTCTATCCCAGAAGGGCATTGTTTGCCTTCATTCAAGACCTAACCTGAAGCCTGGGCAACATAGAGACCCTGCCTCTACAAAATAAAAATTAGCTAGGCAGGGTGGTGCACCTGTAGTCCTAGCTATTCAGGAGGCTAAGGCGGAAGGATTACTTGAGCCCAGGAGTTGAGACTGCAGTGAGCTAGGATCACACCACTGTACCCCAGCCTGGGCAACAGAGTGAGACCCTGTCTTTTAAAAAAAAAAAAAAAAAAAAAAAAAAGAGTTAACCTGAGGCAGAACCCAAGGAGAGGTTCAGGAGCTGGCTTGAGGTAGTTTGCCAGCTAGTGGTTGTTTCATCTTGTTCCTGCACACAGAGCATATGATGCTTGCCCTCTAAATGGATGAAGTAGAATTTTTTTCTTATTCATTCAGTAGCCCTTATTGAATACCCAGAATTTGCCAGTGAAATATGGAGACAAATACGGAGAATCCCCACCAGTAATCTAATGAGAGTGAAAAGTCAGATTAGCCAATGCTCCAGATGCAAAGGAAAAAGTGATAAGTGGCAGGGGAGTTATTTTCAACTGGGGTTGATCTGAAAATACCTCATGGATGGCTTCAGAGAGTTGAGACTTGAAAGAGGGCCGCAAATTTGATATGCAGAAATGGAAGAGACTGCCGGGCACGGTGGCTCATGCCTGTAATCCCAGCACTTTGGGAGGCTGAGGCGGGTGGATCACAAGGTCAAGAGATCGAGACTATCCTGGCTAACATGGTGAAACCCCGTCTCTACTAAAAATACAAAAATTATCTGGGCGTGGTCGCATGTGCCTGTAGTCCCAGCTACTTGGGAGGTTGAGGCAGGAGAATCGCTTGAACCCAGGGGGCGGAGGTTGCAGTGAGCCAAGATGGCGCCACTACACTCCAGCATGACGCCAGCGCAAGACTCCATCTCAAAAAACAAAACAAAACAAAACAAAACAGAAAAAAAGAAAAAGAAAAAGAAATGGAAGAGATTTATTGCAGGTGGAAGAAGCAGCACAAGGTAGGAGAAGTAAGGAAAGCCACTTAACACCCAGGATTATTCCTCTCCAGTCTGTGAGTCTCAGTTTTCCCAGGCTATTCCAATACTCCTTTGTGCTGCCCTGTCACCAGGCATTGAGCTGGTTGGAAGTTTTTACACTCTCACATTCCCCTGCGTTCTATACTCACCACATGGAACCATATGCTGCACTTATTCTCTTCCATTTATTATCTGCATGAGAGACAAAAATTCTAGCTTTCCAAAAGCTAAATAAATTTCCCCTTCTGTTTAGCTTTGGTGGTTTCTGTGGCTTTTAGTTTTGCTGGGATTTGTGTCAAAATCGTTCCTCCCTCCTTTTTGGTCCCAAAGCATTTTGCTGTGCTTCCCTTATAGTCAGGGTTTTCAAGCAGGAGGGAGGCAGCCTTTTTGGCAGTGAAGTGTTTAATGATAACAGCTTCACCTTACTAAACGCTGGCCATGCATTATGACCGTAATACTCAGCATTGTTCTAAATGTCTTGTATATATTAGCTATTTTTCTCTCACACAACTCTATGAACTACTTATTCATTCAGTGATTCAAAGAATTTTGTTTGTTTGGTTGGTTGGTTTTTGTTCTTGTTGCTGTTTTGAGATGACGTCTCGCTCTGTCACCCAGGCTGGAGTGCAGTAGCGTGATCTCGGCTCACTGCAACCTACGCCTCCTGGGTTCAAGTGATTCTCCTGCCTCAGCCTCCTGAGTAGCTGGGACTACAGGTGTGCACCCCCACGCCCGGCTAACTTTTGTATTTTTTTTAGTAGGGACAGGGTTTCACCATGTTGGTCAGGCTGGTCTCGGATTTGTGACCTCACGATCCGCCCACCTCAGCCTCCCAAAGTGCTGGGATTACAGGCGTGAGCCACTGCGCCCAGCCAAGAAATCTTTACTGAGGGCCTCCTTTGTACCAAGCACTGTGCTACATGCTGGGAATAAGGCAGTGGAAAAAGCCTTGGATCTCTGGTAACTTACATTGAATTGAAGATGACAGACGATAAAAAAATCAATAAAATTTAATACAATGTCAGGCACTAACAAGTGCTATGAACACCATGAAGCAGGGTGAGGGGTAAGGGAATGGGATAGAAAGTGCTCCCAGGTATGCATGGTGCTATATTTATTGATGATGATGATTATTATTATTTATAGAGTCTTGCTCTGTTGCCCAAGCTGGAGTGCAGTAGTGTGGTCATGGCTCACCGCAGCCTTGACCTCCTGGGCTTAAGTGATCCTCCCACCGCAGCCTCATGAGTAGCTGGGACTGCAGGTTCATGCCACCATGTCTGGCTAATTTTTTTTTTTTTTTTTAGAGACGAGGTTTCACTATGTTGCCTGGGCTGGTCTCAATCTCCAGGCCTCAAGCAATCCTCCTGCCTCTGCCTCCCAAAGTGCTGAGATTATAAGCAAGAGCCACTGTGCCTGGCCATGGTACTATATTTAATCAAGTGATGAGGGAAAGCCTCCTTGTGGAGGTGATGTTTGTGCAGATATAAATGACATAAAGGAGCAGTCATGCAAGTATCTGGAGGGAGAGTGTCCAGGAAAAGAAAAAGAGAGTGCAAAGGCCCTGAGGTAGAAAGGAATTGGATTTTTATGTTAAATTCAGAAAGGAGGTCAGAGTGAGTGGAGCAGAGTGAGCAAGGGAAAGAGTGGTAAGGGATGAAGACAGAGAGGTGGGGAGAAACAAGGCCAGGTAGGCTTCATAGGCCATGGGAAGGACTTTTTATTTTGTCCCACATGTGATCAGGAGGCATCAGAGGGTTTTGAGCAGGTAAATGATATCATCTGGTAATTTTAAAGATCACTCTGGTTTCTTCATAGAGGGTAGGCCACATCAGTAAAAAATAGAAGCAGAAAATCCAATTAAGGGACAAAGGAAGGGACAATGGAATCATGGGAGCTTGGATTAGGGTAGAGGAGAGGGCCAAGAATAGAGTCCAGAGGCTCTCTAATATTTAAAGGTCTGGAAAAGGAATAGGAGCTGTCAGTGAAGACTGAGAAGGAGCAGTAAATAAGGAACTAGGGAATGCTTTCTTTCTTTTTTGTTTTTGAGACAGCCTGTTGCCTAGGCTGGAGTGCAGTGGGGTTACCATGGCTCACTGCATCCTCGACTTCCCAGGTTCAAGTGATCCTCCTACCTCATCCTCCCAAATAGCTGGGACCACAGGTGTGTGCCATTATGCCCAGATAATTTTTTAATTTTTTGTAGAGATGGGGACTCCTTATGTTGTCCAGGCTGGTCTCAAACTCCTGAACTCAAGTGATCCATCTGCCTCAGCCTCCCAAAGTGCTGGGATTACAGATATGAACCACTGCACCTGGCAGGATAATTTTTTTCTTCTTTCTTTTCTTTTTTTTCCCCCACAATTTTAAACCCAAGCAGTACACCTGGTTGGTTGTTACATGATTACATTGCATCCTGGTGGGGATTGGGCTTCTAGTGGTGTACCTGTTACCCAAATAGTGAACATTGTACCCAATAGGTAAATTTTTTTTTTTTTTTGAGATGGAGCCTCACTCTGTTGCCCAGGCTGGAGTGCAGTGGCGCTATCTCTGCTCACTGCAACCTCCTCCTCGCCCCAGGTTCAAGTGATTCTCCTGCCTCAGCCTCCTGAGTAGCTGCAATTACAGGCTCACGCCACCATGTCAGGCTAATTTTCATGTTTTTAGTAGAGACGGGGTTTTGCCGTGTTGGCCAGGCTGGTCTCGAACTCCTGACCTCAGGTGATCTGCCCGCCTCTGTCTCCCAAAGTGCTGGGATTACAGGCGTGAGCCACTGTGCCCGACTTTTTTTTTTTTTTTTTTTTTCCCGTGATGGGGTCTCACTCTGTAACCCAGGCTGGAGTGCAGTGGTGTGACTCCAGCTCACTGCAACCTCTGCCTCCCTGGTTCAAGTGATCCTCCCACTTCAGATTCCCAAGTAGCTGGGACCACAGGCACATACCACTATGCCCAGCTAATTTTTTGTGTTTTTGGTAGAGACTAGGCTTGTCTCGAACTGCTGAGCTCGAGTGATCCACCTGCCTCGGCCTCCCAAAGTGCTGGGATTACAGGCATGAGCCGTCACACCCAGCCAAATATTTGGTTTTCTATGTTTGAGTTAGTTCACTTAGGATAATGGCCTCCAGCTTCATCCACGTTGTTGCAAAGGACATGATTTCATTTTTTTTTTTTTTTTTTTTTTGAGATGGAGTTTTTCTCTTGTCGCTCAGGCTGGAATGCAATGGCATGATCTTGGCTCACTGCAACCTCCGCCTCCCAGGTTCAAGTGATTCTCCTGCCTCAGCCTCCTGAGTAGCTGGGATTACAGGCACGTGCTACCATGCCTGGCTAATTTTGATATTTTTAGTAGAGACGGGGTTTCACCACATTGGCCAGGCTGGTCTCAAACTCCTGACCTCAGGTGATCTGCCCACCTCGGCCTCCCAAAGTGGTGGGATAACAGGCGTGAGCCACCGCGACCGGCCAATTTCATTCTTTACTATGGCTGTGAAATAATTATTTATTGTGTCCTCCAGTTGCAAGGAGTTTAACAGCATGCCTGGCCGCTGCTCACTAGACGCTAGGAGCACCTCCTCAGTTGTGATAACTGAAACAACTCTAGACATTGCCAAATGTTCCTGGGGGTGGGATGGGAGGATCACCCACTCTTGAAAACCACTGGTCAAGATGTCCCACAGGAGATACTTGGCAAGACAATGCACAGGTCAGACCCCCATGACAAAGAACTATCTGACCCAAAATGTCAATAATCCCTGAAACTGAGAAACCCTAGTTTAGACTCTAGTTGAGAACTTATTCCTGGAACTAAGCCAGGTTTGGCTGTGTTTTCTCGTGGCCCAATAACGAGAAGCAGACAAACTAGGAAAGAAGGGAATTTGTTGCTGTCACCGGATACAGGGAAAGGGTCGGAGATAATTCCACCAGACCAACTCAAAGTGTTACAATTTTCTTTTTTTCTTTTTTTTGAGACGGAGTCTCGCTCTGTCGCCAGGCTAGAGTGTAGTGGTGCGATCTTGGCTCACCACAACCTCCGACTCCTGGGTTTAAATGATTCTCCTGCCTCAGGCTCCCGAGTAGCTGGGACTACAGACGCGTGCCACCACGCCCAGCTAATTTTTGTATTTTTAGTAGAGACAGGGTTTCACCATGTTGGCCAGGATGGTCTCGATCTCTTGACCTTGTGATCCACCCACCTCGGCCTCCCAAAGTGCTAGAATTACAGGTGTGAGCCACCACACCCGGCCAGTGTTACTATTTTCTTAGTGTTTATACAGGTTTAGGTTATATGCCTACATGCAGTATGGCATTCACCAAAGTCTATCAGTAACTAATTTTGTTTCAACTAGAGGGTCAGAGGCAAAAAAATTCTTGCTAAGTCTGATTAAGCTGTGAGGGCCCCAGTACCTTCAAGGCCTGTTTACTGTGGTACCAGAGTGATTATTTCTATCTTATCTCCTTTACAGCTTGGTGCGGAGAGCTGCCTTAGATTCTCCAATGAATCTATTCAAACAGCTGCCTCTGTTACCTTGACTTGTCTCAGATATCGTCGACCCGAGACGAGTCCTGGCACTAGGAATGTAAGGCTGTCTCTGTTATTTTGACTTGCTCCAGCAAGGGAGAAGCCCATGCAAGGCTCTTACTCACCATGTGTTTCATTTCTAGCTTTGATGTCTGTACACCAATTCCCCTAGGTTTAACTATTTGCTCAATGTTAAGGCAATGCTGTGGAAATCTGTCTGTGTAACTGGGGTGCTATGCAGGCCTGTCTGTGTGACTGTCAGGGAGAATTGGCCTGCCACAAACTGACCCTTGACCATTGGGTTTAGAAACTTGGAGGTCATTTGTGACTCTGACATGTGGTTTAAGTAAAGTGGTGGGGATGAGAGCCTGATTGAGAGAAATTCAAGAGTGAATGAGAGGTGAGAAAGTAGAGGCAGTGAGAAGTTTTGTTAAGTGGAGAGAGAAGTGGAACACTGAGGGAGTGAGCTGGGTCAGGGAAGAGTTTTTAAATTTAAAAATAAATGCATTATTTTATACATATAAAATTATAATTTATATGCATAAATATATATGTATTACAAAGAATAATTTTGTGAACATCAGGCAGCTTATGAAGTAAAATCTTCCCATCAGGGCAAGGTGGCTCACACCTGTAATCCCAGCACTTTGGGAGGCTGAGGTGGGCGGATCACCTGAGGTCAGGAGTTGGAGACCAGCCTGGCTAACATGGTGAAATCCTGTCTCTACTAAAACATTAGCCAGGTGTGGTGGTGCGTGCCTATAATCCCAGCTGCTTGGGAGGCTGAGGCAGGAGAATCGCTTGAACCCGGGAGGCGGAGGTTGCAGTGAGCTGAGATCGTGCCATTGCACTCCAGCCTGGGTGACAGAGGGAGACTCCATCTCAAAAAAAAAAAAAAAAAAAAAAGAAAGCAAAAACAAGAGGTAAAATCTTCCCCAGTATAGTTAAGGCTCCCTGAATTTCCCTTTCCAGATTGCTTTTCTGCCAAAGGGTAAGCACCATTCTCTGAATGTTGTGCTTTTACTACCTAGGTGAGTAGCGAAACAGTTTTTTTCTTTCTTTTCAGAGATGAAGTATAATTTTATAGCATGTTTGCATAATGATGGGAGTGTTGCAGTACAGAGGGGTAAACTGATTAAGTGAGAGAGAGAGAGATAGGGGATAATTTCAGGAATAACATCTCTGAGCAGGTGAGAGGGAACAGGATCCCGGGGTACAGATGAGGTGGCAGGTGGGTGCATGTCAGCTTCTCTGCGGTAGAGTTGCAGGTAGACTGGTGAATTTGGGGTGGGAACATGAGGAAGTTCCCTTCTGAAAGTTTCTGTTTTCTCACTGAAATAGGAAGAAAAGTCATCATCTTGTGAAGTTGTGGTCTCAGATTTGGGGAATGTGAACTGAGTAGGGAAAGGCGAGCTGGCATGCCACACTGAGGGCCCGCAGGAAGCAAGACCAGTCAGTATGACTGTGTGTTTCTCCCCAGCTGTTGAATGCAGGTGTGGAGCAGGCAGAGTGGGATTTGACCAGGGATAAAATGTGCCAGAGGAAGGGGGGCCAGGAGTACAGGGTGAGGGCTGAGAGGCGATTACCATGTTGAACCTTGGAATCTAAACTGGGTAATGAGGAAAGTGAAGAATTGAGATCAAACAATGAAAAGTAAGTTAGTGGATGGGAGGCCCAGATGGGGTTGAAGAATTTTTGGGATAGGGGTACTGGGGAGCAACATGAAAAGACTGAGGATGAGATTTTAGAAGGGCAGTAGGTATTGGTGGCAACCAAGTTGAAGGTATGACATAGGGCGAGAGGGAAGCAGGGAGAAATAAATCACTGCAAGAGAAGGGCAGGGTGCTAGAGAATCTGCATGAACATTGAAAACAAAAATAATAAAACGGGGCCAGGCACTGTAGCTCATGCCTATAATCCCGGCACTTTGGGAGGCTGAGGCAGGCAGATTGTGTGAATTCAGGAGTTCGAGACTGTCCTGGGCAACACAGTGTGACCTCATCTCTATTAAATATCAAAGGCCAGAGGCCAGGCGCAGTGGTTTATGCCTGTAATCCCAGCACTTTGGAAGGCCGAGGCGGGTGGATCACGAGGTCAAGAGTTTGAGACCAGCCTGACCAATATGGTGAAACCCCATTTCTACTAAAAATACAAAAAATTAGCCGGGCATGGTGGCACACGCCGGTAATCCGAGCTACTCAGGAGGCTGAGGCAGGAGAATCGCTTGAACCTGGGAGGCAGAGGTTGCAGTGAGCTGAGATGGCACCATTGCACTCCAGCTTGGGCAACAAGAGCAAAATTCCGTCCAAAAAAAAACAAAAACAAACGAACAAAAAAACAGGCCAGGGGCGGTGCCTCAAGCCTGTAATCCTAGCACTTTGGGAGGGTGAGGAGGGCGGATCACCAGGTCAGGAGATTGAGACCATCCTGGCTAACACGGTGAAACCCCGTCTCTACTAAAAATACAAAAACAAAATTAACTGGGCATGGTGGCGGGTGCCTGTAGTCCCAGCTACTTGGGAGGCTGAGGTGGGAGGCGGGAGAATGGCATGAACCCGGGAGGCAGAGCTTGCAGTGAGCCGAGATCGCACCACTGCACTCCAGGCTAGGCGACAGGGTGAGACTCTGTCTCAAAAAAAAAAAAAAAAAAACCCAAAATTTATCCGGGCGTGGTGGCAGGCGCCTGTAATCCTAGCTACTCAGAGGCTGAGGCAGAGAATTGCTTGAATCCAGGAGGCAAGGTTGCAGTGAGCTGAGATTGTGCCACTGCACTCCAGTCTGGGCGACAGAGCCAGACTCCATCTCAAAAAAAAAAAATAAAATAAAAATAAAAAAAATTAGCTGGGAGGATCACTTGAGACCGGGAGATCGAAGCTCAGTGAGCTATGATCCTGCTGCTGCACTCCAGCCTGGGTGACAGAGCGAGACCCTGCCTCAGAAAAAAAAGAAAAAAGAAAAAGAGGCTGGGCTCGGTGGCTCACGTGTGTAATCCCAGCACTTTGGGAGGCCGAGGTAGGCAGATAACCTAAGATCAGGAGTTCAAGACCAGCCTGGCCAACATGGTGAAACCCTGTCTCTAGTAAAAATACAAAAATTAGCTGGGCGTGGTGGCAGATGCCTGTAATCACACCTACTAAGGCTGAGGCAGGAGAATCTATTGAACTCAGGAGGCGGAGGTTGCAGTGAGACGAGATTGCGCCACTGCACTCCAGCCTGGGCGAGAAGAGCAAAACTCCATCTCAAAAATAAATAAATAAATAATAAAAAGAAGAAAATGAAATGAGCGGTGGAAGTAGAGTGATCAGGTGCTGAATCTTCCATTGTAGAGGGGGAATGATGACCCAGAATCTAATCATGGTTTTCCCCCATCTGTATGAGAGCACCCATACAGATGTTATGGGAGGGCAGAGCCTCTCCTAGAGGATGGAGTCTCTGTCAGTAGAGGTGCCACAGCCAAGGGTATCACCTGCAGAGGGAGGTGAGTCAGATAGGAAGAGGATCACATTGTAACTTTTTTTTTTTTTTGAGACGGAGTCTCGCCCTGTTGCCCAGGCTGGAGTGCAGTGGCACAATCTCGGCTCACTGCAAGCTCTGCCTCCGGGATTCACACCATTCTCTTGCCTCAGCCTCCCAAGTGGCTGGGACTACAGGTGCCTGCCACCACACCCAGCTAATTTTTTGTATTTTTAGTGGAAATGGGGTTTCACCGTGTTAGCCAGGATGGTCCTGATCTCCTGACCTCGTGATCCGCCCATCTCGGCCTCCCAAAGTGCTAGGATTACAGGAGTGAGCCACCGCGCCCGGCCACACATTGTAACATTTTATTTCCTCATGAGGGAGGAGTCTGGGTGAGGTTAAGAGATCTGAGATTAAGAAACAAACATTCCTAAGGAAAAGCAAAAGAAAGCTAAGTCATTTTTTATTCATCTCTCCCTTTGCCTGATTCCTTTCAATTCAATTGAGTTCAAAGATTGGTAGAGGAGGTTTTATCTGATGAGGATCTGAAAAACAGAGATAAGCCAGATTTGACTCTTGCCTTCAAGTAGCTCACAAGGTAAACTGTGTATGTCAAGATATCAGGTGGGAAGAGATGAGAAAATATGCAGATAACATGAATCTTAGATCTAGATACTTTTCTCCTAAAGAAAATTGCCCGGGTTGAAGTCATTTTTTGGCCTTTCCATTCTCCCTGGGTGGTCCTTAAAGTGTCTGTAAACCTGTGATTCCCAACCTTAGCTGCCCTTTGGAATCACCTGGTTATGTCTTAAATACTGATGCCAGAGTTCCACCCCCAGAGATTCTTTTTTGTTTGTTTTGAGATAGGGTCTCACTCTGTTGCCCAGGCTGGAGCACCGTGTTCTGATCACTGAAGCCTCTGCCCCTCAGGCCCAAGCAATCCTCCCGTCTCACCCTCCCAAGTAGCTAAGACTACAGGTGAGCCATGGGGCTCGGCTAAATTTTTTTTTCTTTTTCTTTTTGAGACTGAGTGCCTCTCTGCCACCCAGGCTGGAGTGCAGTGGTGCAATCTGGGCTCACTGCAACCTCCGCCTCCTAGGTTCAAGCAATTCTTCTGCCTCAGCCTCCTGAGTAGCTGGGATTACAGGCATGTGCCACCATACCCGGCTGATTTTTGCAGTTTTAGTGGAGACGGGGTTTCACCACGTTGGCCAGGCTGGTCTTGAACGCCTGACCTCAGGTGATCCACCCACCTCGGCCTCCCAAAGTGCTGAGATTATATGTGTGAGCCACCGCGCTCGGCCTAGGCTAATTTTTTTTTTTTTTTTTTTTTTGAGACGGAGTCTCGCTCTGTTGCCCAGGCTGGAGTGCATGGCACGATCTCGGCTCACTGCAAGCTCCACCTCCCGGGTTCATGCCGTTCTCCTGCCTCAGCCTCCTGAGTAGCTGGGACTACAGGCACCTGCCACCACACCCAGCTAATTTTTTTGTATTTTTAGTAGAGACGCGGTTTCACCATGTTAGCCAGGATGGTCTCGATCTGGCCTAGGCTAGTTTTTAAACTTTCTTGTAGAGATGGGGTCTCACCATATTGCCCAGGCTAGTCTCGAACTCCTGGGCTTAAACGATCCTCCTGCCTCGACTTCCCAGAGTGCTGAGATTACAGGTGTGAGCCACTGGCACTGAGCCCAGAGATTCTGATTTAATTGTTTTAGGATGCGACATGGGCTTTCAGATTTTTCAGTGCTCCCCAGTGGATTCTAATGTGTAACCTGGGGTAAGAACCGTTGCTCCAAGGAATGCCTGAAGCTCTGTTTGGAAACCCACTGCTTTAATCTAACCCAGAGGAAAGAGAGACACCTTTTTGCTACAGTGAGGGATGAATTGATCCGGACTTTGAAAGATATTGTAAATAAAATTTGACCAAGTAGAGAGGCAGATGTCAAGAGGGGGAGAACATCATGAGCAAGAGCCTAGATGTGGTCTAAAGCCTCTGAAATTTGTGACAAGCTGCAAACAATTTGGTTTATAATAGGCAGAGATTTGGGAAGGAGGTCTAAGATTTGGGAACAGCTGGGCAAATACCTGGAGGTGGGAATGATGAGTAATTCAGTATGGTTAGAAATTAGAATGAACAGAGAAGCTGGATGATTTTAAATTATGGAAGGTGTTAAAGGCCAGATTAAAATTTTGTAAATAATTGAGTAGGCAATAGGGAACCTTGAAGGGCTTTTGAGCAGTGGAGTTATGAAAGTGTGTTTAGGGAGGCTGATCTGACAATAGTGTGGAGGGAGACTTGAGGTAGGGAGAAGTAGGAAGTAGGGAGACCTGTTGGGAAAGCTGATGCAATAATCCTAATGAGGTAATTTTTCCAGCAAGGGCTGGGGAAAAATTACAGATTCAAAAGACATTGTGGTGGCAGAACTGACTAGGCTTGAGAGCACACCAAAAATAAGGCAGGAGGGAGAGGGAGGAGGCGGCAAATTTCTAGATAAGGAAGAGTGATTGGGAAAATGGTCTATTAACAGAGACAGGGAAGCAGGTTTTCTGTGGCATTTCATCAGTTTGTTTTGGAATGTGTTGATTTTAGAGGACCAGCAAGCATCTTCCATGTGGCTATGATCTTCAGGCACTGGAAAAAACGTCTGCATGTAAAATACAGGTTGGAAAAGCATTTGATTAGCTGAGTTGAGTGAATGAGCTTTTCAAAGGAAAGTCTCAGAGAAGGAAAAAAAATCAGAGATGGACACTTAGGGGAAGGGAGGAGAAAAAGCAAGGAGGGAAGGCAGAGGCGGAATGGTTAGAGGTCTGTGTGTGTGTCGGGGGAAGGGAGGTAATACGTTCTTGAACCTGGGTATGTGGGGAATTCAGGGTCAAGGGACAAACATGGGAGGGCTTAGAGAGGCAGAATACTGTGAAAATGCCATTGATTTGGGATCTGGGTAATTGGTTGCCATTTGAGAGGGAGGTTTCAGGAGAATAGGGTGTGGATGCATATTCCAATAAGTCAAGAAATAGTGGGTATGAAAAAAAGACAGATACAGACATATCTCTGATAGCAATATTCCGCACCCCCCTGCCCCTTTTTTTTTGAGATGGAGTTTCGCTCTTGTTGCCCAGGCTGGAGTGCAATGACTTGATCTTGGCTCACTGCAACCTCCGCCTCCCAAGTTCAAGCGATTCTCCTGCCTCAGCCTTCCAAGTAGCTGGGACTGCAGGTGCCCGTCACCATGCCCGGCTAATTTATTATTTTTAGTACAGATGGGGTTTCACCATGTTGGCCAGGCTGGTCCCGAACTCCTGACCTCAAGTGATCCGCCTGCCTTGGCCTCCCAAAGTGCTGGAATTACAGGTGTTAGCCACCGTGCCCAGCCGTGAATTCTGTTTTTCAAGAAGTTTGGTAAGGTAGGCACATTAAATGCGAAACATCCAAGGGCGAACCCATGATATTCACACCTCACCCCACCCTCCTCCCACATCTCCTATCACATTTCCTATCTCAGTGCATGGCTTCCCTTCTAGATTGTAAGCTCCATGAGGTCAGGGGTCACACCTGCTGTCTGGGTGGATGTCTCACCAGCATCCAGCATGGAGTCTGCATGTTGCATAAATGCATAAATTAGGTTAGGACCCTGTCCTGTGGGTGTACAACCAAAGACCCAAGCCCACTGCTGGCAGCATCCCCTAATCACCACTCCCCTCAGAAAAGAGGCCTATTGGTTGACCTCAGGATAGGAGAGGGCAACTAGTCCCAGGGAGACTTGAGAGGCCATTGACCTCCTCCCTGGGCTCCCACAGCAATCTGCTCTCTTTGCCTTTCCTATACCCCCTACAGTCCAGCATGTGGGGCTCTAATCCAAGTTATCTGCCACCCTCCAGCCCACAGTCAGGAACAGCTATGGGCAGCTGGCATCTCTTCTTGGCCCCCATCACTCTATCCTTGACCAGCTTCTTCACCATGGTCTGCCCTCTCTGTTCTCTTGTCTTCCTGGAGTTCTGGGGATAGTAGGGAATGGAAAAGGGGTACTGGGGAAATAAAGCCTCACTAAGAAAATAAAGCCTCACTGAGAATGGACCCCAAGGTCTTCCTTGGTGGATTCCCAGGGAGCTCCCCTCCGTCCCCCATATTCACGTGTCTCTCTGGCGATCTGGGAATCTGTGTCCCTCACGTTAGTCTCTGTCGGGTTTTCTTTTTTTTTCCTTGGAAGAGGAGATGAAGGGAAGTGAAAGGCGGAATCAAAAGTGGGGAGGGTCTTTGCGGGGCCGCAGTCTTTGGAATTGCGGGCGATAAATCAACTAAGTCTCTTTAATATTGTCTTTCAGAAGTTCACACACACTCACACACAGATCAGAACAAGGCGGGGCCGCCGAGGGGAGCGGGGAGCGGGGACTTGGGAGGTCCATAGCCTGGATTCCCTTCTGCCCGGCTGCCCAGGGGCTGGGATGGGTGGAAGGGAGTATTTACAGAGCGTTTACAGGCAGGTTTCTTATCCCAGGGAGAAGGGTCCTACACCAGGAACTTCCCAAATGTCCTTAAAAAAAGCAAAAGGAAAGGTTCTGGGATTAGCAAGAAAATAGGCAGATACCTGGGTGGAGGAGGGACAAAAATGTACTTGCAAAAAACAGGAGTGTGGGGGCCTTACTACCCCAGGGCTCGGTCCTTTTGCCGGAAGAAAGGGAGGGGTCTGTCCGTCTGTGGGCGAGGCCTGGAGCCACAAACCCAATCACTGGACTGAATCACCCCGCGGAGAAGAAAAGAAGGCGGAGCCTGCCGACCTGGAGGCGGGGTTTTGTCAGAGCTGGGGCGGTGCTTATAGAGGAGGCGGGGTTTTAGGGACCAAACCGAGGTTGCTCGGTTGGGGGCGCTACACTTTGAGGGTGAGGGGGCCTGGAGCGACTGAGGGTCCGGCGTTTGGCCGGGATCCCGGAAAGCGGCGTCCCTGGGGGTGTGGGTTTTGGAGGGGTTCCTGAGGAACTGGATTCCGAGCTTGCTCGCAAGGCGAGACGTTCCGTGGAGGCGGAGTTTACGATGTATCCAAGTCTGACGGCCCCAGAAACGGGTGTGCAGGGCGCCCATTGGGTCCGCGGTATGACTGCAGAAAGAGCCTGGGAGATCGAGGGGCGCAGAGTGGGGCCGGACCAGGGGCGTTTTTAGGGATCCCAGTAGTTCTCGTGGTGCTGCGCGGCGATGATGATGACTACGGTGAGGATGGTACAGAGCACCATGGCCGCGATGCCCACGGCCAGGGAGATGAAGGAGAAGTTCCGGGCCTCGCGTGAAGCGATCTCGGCCGACACCATGTCTCCGCGGGCCAAGGCCGTGCGCACCTACGGAGGAGGGGTGGGGGAAGGAGGTCAAAGAGCTGCGGCCTCGTTCGAACGCCTCAGCCTTTCTCTAAGATGGTCCCCAGAACGCCCAGAACTCCCTGTCCCCGCCCCCAAACCGAGTATGCCCCTGCCCCCTACCTGCACGGCCTTGAAGATGGCAATGATGCCAGTAGGCCAGAAGCAACAGATGGTGGTCAGCACCGCGATGGGCATGTAGTCGTGTGGCGGGCGCCTCGGCTCCAGTAGGGCCAGCCCTGGGCCCTGGGGCGGCGGGGGGAGAGTGGAGGTCACTCCTGTTCCCCCCGGGGTCCCGCCTGCATATGGCTGTGGAAGGAAATTTGGGGGGCAGGGGCATCACTCTGACCCTCTCCCAGCCTACCAGCGTTGGGCGGCTGGCAGAGTGGCTTTAAAAGCACAATTTTTACCTATGGCTTCTCAAAATAAAGCACCCATTACCCTTCCAGGACACCCATAAATTCCACCTAAGCCCCTCTCCTCCCTTCCTTGCTTCATTAACCACCATATTCTTGGGCTTTCTACATTCTCTCCCGCAAGGTATGGTCCCACTGGGGCTGTCCTGGCCTCAGGTCAGACCTTCTTTCTTCCCTCCAGACACCTACCAGGCCTCCCCTACCCCCTTAGTCCCAGGCTTCTCCCACATCCCTCTTGGTTCCCAGCTTCCATTCCCCCCGTCCCCCGCCAGGCGGTTTCCTACTTTCAGACCTCCTCTGAACCTCTAGGCTCCGATCCCCCTCCCAGGCCCTGACTCTGGGCACCAGTAGACTCCTACTCCCGTGTCTCTCCCTAGTCCTTCCTGTCTCAGGCTCCCTTCTTTCTAGGGCTTGTCCCGGGAACACTACCTGTTCCCTGCCCTTGTTCCTCTATCCTACCAGCCCCCAGCGTATCCCCAATTTCAAGTCCTGTATCGCGTCCCCCTCTTTCCCATGTCCCTGTCTGCCCGGCACTCACCGTGCCCACCGGGTAGACCGGCACGTAAGCAGTGCAAGGCTGCAGCTGCAGGGGGTATCCGGGCGCTACGTAGCCCCCCAGCGGCAGCGTGCCCACAGTCCCCGCGTGCGTGGGCACCACGAAGCCAGGGGCCTGGGCAGTCTGGGCTGGCGCCGGCGGGGGCGGGGCGGCGGCAGCGGGCGGCGGCGGGGGAAGTGGGCCCTCGAAGCGAGTCTCCTGCAGGTAAGGGTCGGGTGGCATGCGGGGCAAGGTAGCGCAGCCGGGTGGGGGTGCCCCGGCAGCAGGGCCGGGAGGGGCGTGGTGGGGGGGCCTCGGCAGCGTGGCAGAGGAGGAGGGACCGCGCTGAGCGGTGGCCGCGGAAGAGGCCAGGCCCCCTGCCCCTAAGCGCGGGAGGGTGGCGGTGCCAGACTGATGGTAGTGGTGGTGGTGGTGATGGTGTGAGGAAGGGGCTGCCTGTGGCGGTGGGGCTGGGGGTTCGGCTGGAGGCTGAGGGGCATTGTAGGGCGGCGGAGAAGTGTGAGGGACTGAGTCTGGGAGTCCTGGGGGAGGTGAGTGGAGGAGAGTATAAGAGGAAAGATGACACAGTGATGAGTTGAGGAGGGGGTAAGGGGAAACACAGCCGGTCAGGGATGGAGAAAGATAATGGGAGAGACACATAGAGAGAGACGGGTGAGAAACCATCTCTAATTTGAGGGGCAAGAGAGGGGCTGTATCTAGGCCATCTGCCCCCCTCCTTCTTCCTTCCAATCTAGTTTTGAGGTCACAACTCTGGTCTGCTTCTTTTCTGTCTTTTTCATCACCATGCACCCAGCTCTCACCTGCAGACCTAATCCCCTCTCCTTTGCTATAGCTGCCTTTGGGCTGGCCTATCCGAGCTAGTCCTGTGTGTGCGTATGCGTAGACATGCAACCCTGTGTTAATATGTGCTCAATTCAACAGTTGTATAAACACATGTGGGATGACATGTGTTCCACTCTGCTGTTCCTTCAGTGGGGGGAGGAGTGCCCCAGCCTCTGTGAGAATCTCGGGACCTCTTTTAGGGCAGATTAAGAAGAGCCCTCTGGATTTTGCTCCCTTGACAACCCCCATCTGGTCATGTCTCCATATTTCCTCACAGGATGTCTCCATGCCAGCCAGTGATTGTCCATCTGTCACTCCCAATGATGCCATCCCTGCAAAACCTGGCTGTACCTCCTTCACCCTCTCAACCTACCCCCCTGACCATGTTGTTGGCAAGGGGCAGAGGCTGCCACTGGAAAGAGGAAAGGAAGAGAAAGGGGGAGACAGAAAGAGGAGGGGGACTGGGGGAGTGTTGAGAGCTGGAGAGAAGGGGAATGAAATAGAACCACAGCTGAGGAGGGGTAAGGGAGGGGGTTGGGGCAAGGGGGACGGAGAGTCTGGAGACAGTGGAGGGGGTGGGAGGTTTTGTTATTGTTTTTACCTGACTTTTCGGATGACATGCCTGCGGTCTCGCTGGGACAGGGTCCCTGCAGCCGGAGTGGGGGTCCTCGGCCGGTGCTGGAGTCTGGGTGCTGGATGGCGCAGCCGGCAGCAGCGCAGAGATGGAGAGATGAAGGCAGCGGCGGGGGGGGGGGGCGGGGGGGGCGGGCGGAGGGAGAGCGGGGAGGGGGGGAGCTTAAAGGGACCGAGGCGAGGGAGGGGGAGCGCTTCAGATGTTTCCCACTCGGTCTCTCTCTGCTCTCGGACCACCTCTCTCCTCCTCTTACCCCGGCATTCAAGCCCCCAGTTTGGGTTCCTTTGGAGTTGTCATGGAAACACGGAGGCTAGACCAGGCGAGGCGGGTGGGACTAAGGAAAGGAAGGAAGGAGAACTCTCTGGAGTCTCCCCCACCAAGACTCAGTGATTGTATTGTGGGAGGAAGTGAACAGGTTCTCAGTGGAGTTAATAACCCAGGTGCCTCCAGAGGCAGGTCGTCTCCCCCTCTTAGCTCCCTGCAAGGTGCCAGGGTCTTCTCCCAAATCCTTGGCCCCAGTTTCCTCCTCTTTAGAAGAGATAAATACTTGTGTGTGAGAGAGAATTGTGCAGAGTTCAGAACTGCGATGGTCTGAAAAGTTCCCAGGGTTTGGTGAACCTACCAACCTAGCAGTAAAGAGGGAGGCCCAGGTCTGTAAATCAGGGGGAGCTGGGCCTTGGAGGGAAAAGGGAGAGAGAGTTTGGGCGGTGTGCATACATACCTTCTTCGTCCAGGACTAAGGAGCTGAAGCTCTTTTGGAGGGGGTAGGGGGTATGACTTAACTGCTCATTTCTGGCAGCTCTGTTGGTAATGTGTGCTTGTTCCCCCACTTTCCCTTTGCTTTTGAGGCTGCTTAGAGTCTCTGGGCTGGTCAATGTTCAGATCCATTCCCTAAACCCCCCTACTCCCACCCACCACCTCCCACCAAGACGCATCTCCAGCTCCTGAGTCGACCTGCAGTACAGCGTTATTAGTCTTTTTATTTGCTTATTGCATCTTGGGAGCGCGTGGGTGGGTGAAGGGAGCGAGGATAGGAAGTCTATGGAGATTTACACCAGTTTTTTTTTTTTTTTAAACAAAAACACAGCCAGATAATTATTATTCTTCCCTTACGTCCCCCCAGCCCCCACCTGGGGCAGTCGCTCTCCCGGCTGCGTCCCTTTTCGTCCATGTCCTAGCAGAGACTACAGAGCAGTACAGAGGCTCTCGCTGAAACCAGTCCCAGGCTCCACAGAGTCAGATCACGGCTTCACACCAGTCGTTCTGGTCACTTAGGCGTTCGCGTGAGCGCTCAACCCCTTACCGCCACCTCATCGTCACTCTACACCATTCTGAGCGCAAAAATGTTTTGATTGAGACAAATTTAGACCAAGCAATGACCTTGTAAACAGAGAGAGGGGCTCAGACATGCTGAGAAATCCTTATCTCTAGAGAAACGTCTTTAAATGCTAAGTAAAAGCCCTAGCAAGTAAAAGCCCTGAGGCACTAGGGTGTCGGTTAGGGGTCACAGGCGGAGAGGTGGGGCGCCTGGGGGTTTCGGTAGGGAGCCACCCACAGATAACTCAGACAGCCAGATTCTGGGGGTCGTTCAGGTTGAAAGACTGGTCGAAATTACGCGGGCATGAGTCAGCGCATCCCTACGCGCCCTCCGCCCCTTGAGGGTGGGTCGCTTATAGGGAGGGGAGTAGAGTAGGGCAGGAGAAACTGGGCCAGGCTGCACTTAGCTCAAGGGGCCTCGAGGACTCTCTGCGTCTCTGGAGACAAGGGCACTACACGCACTTCAGAATGAAGAGTTGTAAGTCGCTGACCTGGGGCGGACTGGAGGGTGGGGTGGGGTGGGTGTTGAGGGGCACGCCCGGGCTGGCATCAGCCCTCCAGGCCACCCTGCCACTCACCCAGCACACGGCAAAATGCAGAGGACTACCTTTCCCTGGTCCGCCCCCTGGCCGCCCCTTGGGGAATGCAAACTTCGTGTTCTGCTGCGGAGCCAGACGCCTGTATTGGGAAGTGGGGAGAATCAAGGCGGGGAAATCGGACTTTTGGGTCGCTGGGGGCAACGAAGCCTGGAGAGGCCTTCTTTCCATTCCCAGAATATGTTTGCTGCTTTTTCCTCTCCCCACTGGCCTAAATGGATCGCTCCGCCTGTTTCCTCCCCAGCACCTAGGGCGCAATGGAATATTCCATTGCCCCTCCTGTCCTGGGTCTGTGTTGCGGGGAACGCTCGCGCGGTTGCCAGAGAAAGCCCCGGACGTGACGGATTTGCGCGACCCCAAGCAGCCCGCCCTTCCCCCTCCCATCCGTCATTCCCCTGCGCTCTCTTTCCTCACCCTTCCCCCCGCCACCGTGGGTTCCAGACTTGGGATAAGTAAACAGCGGGTGGAGCGAGGCCTACGGACCCAGGCCAGGTGGGAGTCTGCACTCTTCAAGGGGCCTGGGCTGCTGCTCACGGGTATTAAAGAACTCCGCGTTGTTCATGGCTGAGGCGATGCATTAGGAAGATCCTGGACCTAGAGAACAAGTCCCCCGAACGCTGAGTTGGAGGCGGGACTTCGGGTGCGCGTTGGTGCGTCAACGTGGTGGGGGGGTGTGTTTGTAGGGAGAGGGCTGGAGTAAGTTAAAAGTAGGCTATTTTGTGACACGGACCTGGTGTGGGAGCGAGAGGAGGTGGCTTGATTGCCGGGCGTCTGTTCCGAGGGAGGAGGGTGTTGCCATCTCCCTCACATGCCCTTATCACCCCTTTCTCAGGCGGGAGCATGCTGGGGCTCTGCGGGCAGCGGCTCCCCGCGGCGTGGGTCCTGCTTCTGTTGCCTTTCCTGCCGCTGCTGCTGCTTGCAGCCCCCGCGCCCCACCGCGCGTCCTACAAGCCGGTCATCGTGGTGCATGGGCTCTTCGACAGCTCGTACAGCTTCCGCCACCTGCTGGAATACATCAATGAGGTCTGGCAGGGGACACCTGGGTGCAGGGCGTTAGAGGCGTCTACTGTGGCAGGGGAGGGAGAGCGGGGAACTGAAAGCCACCCCTCTGGGCCTGCCCAGTTCCTCAGGGAGCTGGTGCTGGCGTGGGGGAGAGTTGGGGGACGGGATCCCTGGTTCTAGCAGGGTACAATAGACCTGTGGACGCGGGCCAGGGGGTGGCGTGTGGGAGCTTCTTAGCCTATCCCCGGTGGCTGCATTGCCCCCTTCCCACAGACACACCCCGGGACTGTGGTGACAGTGCTCGATCTCTTCGATGGGAGAGAGAGCTTGCGACCCCTGTGGGAACAGGTGCAAGGGTTCCGAGAGGCTGTGGTCCCCATCATGGCAAAGGCCCCTCAAGGGGTGCATCTCATCTGCTACTCGCAGGGTAGGCGACTCCCCTGCCCCTAACTCCTAAGCCCTATCTGAGGCTTGATCCTTATCTGAGGGACACTTCCTAGCGTCCCTTTTTCTGAACCACATTGCTCCAGGCACAACCCTGGTACCTGAGCCCTTCCTTTCTGACTTCCCTCAGCACCTGGGTCTCATCTCTGTCTTGAATGGGAGGGAGGCTCCCTACACTGCTGCCCTTTTGCTTCCTGTTACCCATGGTTCTTGGACATAAGGGCTAATGGGGCAGGTAAAAACATCCTAGAACTAGAGGCAGGAGGCCCAGCATCTAATTCGGGCTCAGTCACTTATATGATGTGTGACCTTTTGGCACAGGGTGTGCCTGCCTTCTGTAAGCCTCAGTCTCCTTTGTGTACAGTGTGTGTCTGTGTGTGTCTCTGTGTGTGTGTGTGTGTGTGTGTGTGTGTGTGTGGTGGGGGTGGGGGGTGCTGCTGGCTTTGCTGTCCTTAAGTGCCTGCCCAATGTGGTGTTCTGCTTACAGGGGGCCTTGTGTGCCGGGCTCTGCTTTCTGTCATGGATGATCACAACGTGGATTCTTTCATCTCCCTCTCCTCTCCACAGATGGGACAGTATGGAGGTGAGTGGGCACTAGACTCCATAGAATGCCCTGAGTTTTGGGGGAACAGAGGTTTATGGTCACTTAGCATTGCCATTCGCTTGCCAGACACGGACTACTTGAAGTGGCTGTTCCCCACCTCCATGCGGTCTAACCTCTATCGGATCTGCTATAGCCCCTGGGGCCAGGAATTCTCCATCTGCAACTACTGGCATGGTGAGTGGGGATGCTGAACTGGGGCTTCCATGGATCAGGTCAGTTGCTTCCACCTCTGCTACAACCAATAGCAGTGATGACAATAAAGATAACTTACATTTATTGAGTTATTTGAACAGGCTCTGTTCAGAATTTTTTTTTTTTTTGAGACGGAGTCTTGTTCTGTTGCCCAGGCTGGAGTGCAGTGCACCATCTTGGCTCACTGCAACCTCCGCCTCCCAGGTTCAAGTGATCCTCCTGCCTCAGTCCCCCTAGTAGCTGGGATTACAGGCAGGCGCCATCATGCCCGGCTAAGTTTTGTATTTTAAGTAGAGATGGAGTTTCGCCATGTTGGCCAGGCTGGTCTCGAACTCCTGACCTCAGGTGATCCACTCGCCTCGGCCTCCCAAAGTGCTGGGATTACAGGTGTGAACCATTGCACCTGGCCCAGAATGTTTTAAGTGTGTCACCTTATTGCCTTAGAAGGTTTAGTCTGATGTGGGAGTCAGCAAACCTTGTCTATAAAGGGCCAGAGAGTAAATATTTTTGACTTTGTAGGACATATAGTCTGTTTCACAACTCCTCAATTCTGCTGTTGTAGTGTGAAAGCAGCCATGTACCATATGTGAATGAATGTGCCTGTGTTCCAGTAAAACTTCATTTACAAAAACAAGTAGCAGGCTGGATTTGGTCCTTTGGTCACAGTTTGCCAACCTCTAGACCAGACCATGGGGCCAGAATACTTGGGTTTGAATCTTGACCCTATTGGGTGCCTTTGGGCAAGTTACTTAACCATTCTGTTACTCAGTTTTCCTTATCTGTAAAATATTATAGCATGTACTTCACCAGGTGGTTGTAAGGATTAAATAAATAAATGAATGCAATGTACTTTGAATAGTACCTGGCTCATATAGTAGATACTAGATAGAAGTACTTGCTATTGCCAGGTGTGGTGGCTCACACCTGTAATCCCAATATCTTGGCAGGGGGAGGTGGGCGCATCACCTGAGGTCGGGTTCGAGACCAGCCTGGCCAACATGGTGAAACCCCATCTCTACTAAAAATACAAAAAAAATTTAGCTGAATGTGGGCACACGCTTGTAATCCCAGCTACTCAGGATGCTGAGTCAGGAGAATTGCTTGAACCCGGGAGGCAGATGTTGCAGTGAGCGGAGATCCTGCCACTGCACTTCAGCCTGGGTGACGGAGTGAGATTTCATCTAAAAAAAAAAAAGTACTTGTTACTATGTTTACGGTTGTTATCACTACTATTATTATTTTGAGATGGAGTCTCACTGTGTCTCCCAGGATGGAGTGCAGTGGTGCAGTCTCGGCTCACTGTAACCTCCACCTCCTGGGTTCAAGTGATTCCAGCGCCCCGAGTAACTGGGATTACAGGCATGCACCACCACGCCTGGCTAACTTTTGTATTTTTAGTAGAGACAGGGTTTCGCCATGTTAGCCAGGCTGGTCTCAAACTCCCGACTTCAAGTGATCCACCTGCCTCTACCTCCCAAAGTGCTGGGATTACAGGTGTGAGCCACCGCACCTGGCCTACATTATCACTACTATTTTATTACTATCCACCTTGACTATTGCTGCAGCTTCCTTATTGGGCTTTTCACCACCAGTCTTGCCTCCCTTTTCTGCTTCTTTTTCTAACTGCTGTTTGTACCCAGATCCCCACCACGATGACTTGTACCTCAATGCCAGCAGCTTCCTGGCCCTGATCAATGGGGAAAGAGACCATCCCAATGCCACAGGTGAGAATTCAGGCTCCTACCTGTGTTGCTTTTTCTGCTTCTTTGACTCCCTATGTCTCCCTCTCCAACCTGGCCTGACCCCTGTGGCTGACTCAGCCTCTCTTCTTCCCATCCTACAGTATGGCGGAAGAACTTTCTGCGTGTGGGCCACCTGGTGCTGATTGGGGGCCCTGATGATGGTGTTATTACTCCCTGGCAGTCCAGGTAATAAGGGATTTTGTGGCCTGAAGATTGGCTAAAGACATCCCCCAACCCCAGTTGGTCTTTATCTCATGCCTAAACTGGCCTGCTCCTTCCACTGTTCAGTTAGTGCTCCTCCCCCCATTCATCATGTCACCCAAGACCAAAACCTGGGAGTCATATCCCAACCCCTTGTATCAAGCCAGTCACTAAGTCCTGCTGACTCTTCTCCTCTCCATCCCTATCACCCCCTCCCCCACTTTATAAAAACTTTTAATTTTGAAATTCTTATAGATTCATAGGAAATTGCAAAGATAGTATAGCAAGGCCCTTCACCCAGCTTCCCCCAGTGGTTGCATCCTATGTAATTATAGCACAGTATCAAAACCAGGAAATTCACATTGGTTCAATGTGTGTGTGTAGTTTTATACCATTTTATCACATTTCCTACCACCTCTTTACTTACCTGGACTATTATAACAGCCTCCAGCTTTGTCCCCTCCATCCTATTCCTTAGAAAAAAATCCATGGCTCCATGGTACTATGTGCTTGCCTGTGTTATAGGTCACCATGTGTGATCTGTAATGTCACCTGAGCTACTTGAATTGCTCAACAAATATTTATTCAACATTATGGGCGCAGGCTTGTTCTGGGCCCTAGGGATGCAGTGGTAAATAAAAGAGAAGTCCCTAATGTTATGTAGCTTATATTCTAGTTTGTAAGATAGCTGATACATACATACAAATATATATGTCAGGTAATAAGGCAGGGGAAAGGATTAGAGGATGTCCGGGGCCTAGTTTCAATAGTGGCCGAAGAAGTCCTCCTGGAAAAGTCACCATTCAATTAGAGACTGAAGGAAGTGAAGGAGGGAGTTGTGCTCTGGGTGGAAGAACCCCCCAGGGAGAAGGTCTGGCACCTGCAGAGGCCCTGAAGCACGTGTGAGCAATAAGGAGGCCAGCATGGCTAGTGCACAAGGAGCTGGGGAGAGGACAGGAGAGGAGCTAAAAGTGGTAGCAGGGGACCAGGCATGTCAAACCTTAGCAGGTCAAGGTAAGGCCCTTGATATTTTTTTTTCTTTTTTTTGTGATAAAATATACATAACATAAAATTGCCATTTTAACCATTTAAAAATGTACAGTTTTGTGGCATTAAGTATACTCACATCATTGTAAAACCATCACCCATCAGCACCATCCATCTCCAGAACTTCTTTTTCCCCAAACTGAAACCGTATACCCATTAAAAAATAGACTGGGTGTGGTGGCTCACGCCTGTAATCCCAGCACTTTGGGAGGCCGAGGCAGTGGATCACCTGAGGTCGGGAGTTCGAGACTAGCCCGACCAACATGGAGAAACCCTGTCTGTACTAAAAATACAAAACTAGCTGGGTGTGGTGATGCATGCATGTAATCCCAGCTACTTGGGAGGCTGAGGCAGGAGAATCGCTTGAACCTGGGAGGCAGAGGTTGCAGTGAGCTGAGATTGCGCCATTGCACTCCAGCCTGGGCAACAAGAGCGAAACTCCATCTCAAAAAAAAAAAAAAAAAAATATATATATATATATATATATCCTCATCCCTATTTCCCGACAGTCCCGGTAACCAGGCTTTTGATTTTTTTTTTTAAATTCTGAGTGAGATGGGAAGGCACTGGACAGTTTTCAGTGAAGGCAGGACATCTCTTAAAATATTGTAATAATATAATAGTAAGTGATGAGTTTTATGTACATCATGTCATTTCACATCTACCACAACCCTATGAATGACAGTGATAGCTCATGGTTATATAACATTTTTCATGTTCCAAGTCACTGTTTCTTCCTTTTTTTTTTTTTTGAGACAGAGTTTTGTTCTTGTCGCCCAGGCTAGAGTGTAATAGCACAATCTCGGCTCACTGCAACCTCCGCCTCCTGGGTTCAAGCCATTCTCCTGCCTCACCTCCCAAGTGGCTGGGACTACAGGTGCCCACCACCATGCCTGGCTAATTTTTAGTATTTCTGGTAGAGACGGGGTTTCACTGTGTTAGCCAGGATGGTCTCGATCTCCTGACCTTGTGATCCGCCTGCTTCGGCCTCCCAAAGTGTTGGGATTACAGGCGTGAGCCACTGCGCCTGGCCAATATATATCTCTCTCTATATATAGATAGATATATATTTTTTGAGTTGGAGTCTTCGCTCGGTCGCCCAGGCTGGAGTGCAGTGGCGTGATCTCGGCTCACTGCAAGCTCTGCCTCCCAGGTTCACGCCATTCTCCTGCCTCAGCCTCCTGAGTCGCTGGGACTACAGGCACCCGCCACCACGCCCGGCTAATTTTTTTGTATTTTTAGTAGAGACGGGGTTTCACTGTGTTAGCCAGGATGGTTTCGATCTCCTGACCTCGTGATCCACCCGCCTCGGCCTCCCAAAGTGCTAGGATTATAGGCGTGAGCCCACGCACCCGGCCTTGCCTGGCCAATATTTTTTAATTAAAAGATTTTAACTCCATCTGGCTGGGTGCGGTGGCTCACGCCTATAATCCCAGCACTTTGGGAAGCCGAGGCGGGTGGATCACCTGAGGTCAGGAGTTCGAGAACAGCTGGCTAACATTGAGAAACCCCATCTCTACTAAAAATACAAAAATTAGTGGGCCTGGTGGCGCACGCCTGTAGTTCCAGCTACTCAGGAGGCTGAGGCAGGAGAACTTGAAACCAGGAGGCGGAGGTTGCAATGAGCCGACAGGGTGCCACTGCACTCCAGCCTGGGTGACAGAGCAAGGCTCTGTCTCAAAAAAAAAAGAAAAAAAGGATTTTAAGACCTTTCTATTTTGAAATAATTTCATACTTAAGAAAAGTTTGCGCCTGTAATCCTAGCACTTTGGGAGGCCGAGGCATGAGCCCAGGGGTTTGAGACCAGCCTGGGCAACATGGCAAAACCCTGTCTTTACCTAAAATACAAAAATTAGCTGGGCGTGGTGGTGTGCCCTTGTAGTCCCAGCTACTTGGGAGGCTGAGGTACGAGAATTGCTTGAGCCTAGGAGGCCAAGGCTGCAGTGAGCCGAGATCTCACCATTGCACTCCTGCCTGGGTGACAGAGTAAGACCCTGTCTCAAAAAAAAAAAAAAAAGTTACCAAAATAGCAAAAAGCAGTCATTTATACTCCTCACCTAGATTTCGCAAATGTTAACATTTTGTCATGTTTACATTAATATCTTTTTTCTCTAAATATATATACATTTATTTATATACGTTAATGTTATATTTAAATATAAACATAGATTCAAATTTTCCTGAATATGCGCTCACAGATTATTCAAATTTTTCCAACTGTCCTTACAGAAAAAAATATACAGTGGAAGATCCAAATCAGGATCTTGAGTTGCATGATCTTGTTACGTCTCTTTAGTATCTTTTTGTTTGTTTGTTTGTTTGAGTTGGAGTTTCACTCTTGTTGCCCAGGCTGGAGTGCAATGGCAAATCTCGGCCCACTGCAACCTCCGCCTGCCAGGTTCAAGTGATTCTCCTGTCTTAGCCTCCTGAGTAGCTGGGATTATAGGCGCCCACCACCATGCCCAACTAATTTTGTATTTTTAGTAGAGACGGGGTTTCTCCATGTTGGCCAGGCTGGTCTTGAACTCCTGACCTCAGGTGATCCACCCTCCTTGGTCTCCCAAAGTGCTGGGATTACAGGCATGAGCCACCACACCTGGCCTCTTTTTTTTTTTTTTTTGAGACAAAGTCTCACTCTGTCGCCAGGCTGGAGTGCAGTGGCGCCATCCCGGCTCACTGCAACCTTTGCGTCCCAGAATCAAGCAATTCTCCTGCCTCTGCCTCCTGAGTAGCTGGGATTACAGGCGCCCACCACGCCCAGCTAATTTTGTATTTTTAGTAGAGACAGGGTTTCTCCGTGTTGGCCAGGCTGGTCTCGAATTCCTGACCTCAGATGATCCACCCTCCTCGGCCTCCCAAAGTGCTGGGATTACAGGCTTGAGCCACCACGCCCAGCTAATTTTGTATTTTTAGTAGAGATGGGGTTTCACCACGTTGGCCAGGCTGGTCTTGAACTCCCGACCTCAGGTGATCCGCCGGCCTTGGCCTCCCAAAGTGCTGGGATTACAGGTGTGAGCCACCTCGCCCGGCCAGTAATGCATTTTTGATGGGGTTTCTACAGAAGTGAGGTCGTATCTTCAGTGTATCACCTCATGAAGTACATTATATCCAGTAAGGTAGTTTTGAGTGTCCTCCCTGCTACCTGTCTCCCCAGTAGGCCTTGGGTTCCTTTGGGACCTTAGCCCACCTTGATTTCTTCCTTTCTTTTTTCCTTTTCTTTTTTCTTTCCTTTTTCCTTTCCTTTCCTTTTTGAGATGGGGTCCCGCTCTGTCACCCAGGCTGAAGTGCAGTGGTGCGATCTCGACTCAATGCAACCTCCACCTCCCGGGTTCAAGTAATTATCCTGCCTCAGCCTCTTGGGTAGCTGGGCTTGCAGGCATCTGCCACCATGCCCAGCTAATTTTTGTATTTTTAGTAGAGATGGGGTTTCACCATTTTGGTCAGGCTGGTCTTGAACTCCTGGCCTCAGGTGATTTGCCCTCCTTGGCCTCCCAAAGTGCTGCAATTACAGGCGTGTGCCACTGCGCCCGGCCAGATTTTCTCCAGCTCTTCTGATAACCTCCCCCCAAATCTCTTTGTAGCTTCTTTGGTTTCTATGATGCAAATGAGACCGTCCTGGAGATGGAGGAGCAACTGGTGAGCCCCCTGGGATTACTTCCCCTTCTAGCCGCTGTCCCACCTTATTCCAGAGCCCTCTCTGTGACTCCTGAGCTGAAGGGTTCACCCTGTGGGGAGGAGGTCCAGGATCCCAGCAGTAACTCACTTTGTCTCTCCTTGTGTCTCTCTTCCATGCTTCCACGCCCCTTCGACCACCTTGAAGGTTTATCTGCGGGATTCTTTTGGGTTGAAGACTCTATTGGCCCGGGGGGCCATAGTGAGGTGTCCAATGGCCGGTATCTCCCACACAGCCTGGCACTCCAACCGTACCCTTTATGAGACCTGCATTGAACCTTGGCTCTCCTGAGGATATATTCAGGGGTCCCCAGGAACTCCTCGGTCCAGAGACCAAGTGGTGGCCTTGGAAAGCAGATGTCAGGCTTTGGTGTGCCTGTGACCACCTCATTGCTCCCATATTATCCCCCATTTTTAGTAGAGACGGGGTTTTAGTAGAGACTTGGCCTCCCAGAACCCCCTTCCTCTGCTCCTCCATGAATGACAATTCCAGGCCTCCCCTACCTCATGTCCTCTCATTTGGGGGATTGCTCCGTGCTGTCCCTTTCTCTCAAGGCCGAAGTTGGGAAGTGAGAAACCATGTTTTTAACTTGTGGCTGCTTTTGCTGCTGCTGCTCCTCCGTATCTGGCTGTATGGGTGGAGAACCCACCCCCTGCCCACCACAGGGGTCTCCTTCCAGGCCACTCAGGACATTTTTAGCTTCTCTCCTCCCCATGTTCCCTTTTTTCTCTAAAGTCCCCTGACATCAGCCCTCCCAACTCCTAAGAGGGACTACCCATGAGAGTGGGGTTCTGAGGCTCCCCTATGGGGACAGTTCCGTTCTTGAAGTGTCAGTGTTGGGGAATATCTGTGGCCTATGAGGCCCATCTCAGGTTTGGGGATCCCCCAGTCCCTATGATCAGTGTTGGAGTACCCCCCTGGGAGAGCCTAGTTTCTTTGAGGCCCCAGGCCCTCTTTTAACTACCTTTGAATAGGTGTTATCCCTGTATTTATGGAAATAAAGTTCCATTTCCTCAGTGTGACTTGGCTCATTTCCAGGTGGAGGGGACCTGGCTCCCCAAGGAGGGTGGGGGTGGAGCCTGAGGCCTGGGTGCCCAGATGCCTGGTCTAGGGTGGGGACCCCCTTGGTGTTTCCGCTCTCTCTCAATGCCCATTCTTTGTGGGTTCCTGGTTCTCTGCGGGTTCTTTCCTGCTGAAGACAATTCTCTTCCTCTCCCAGTCCCCAAGACTGGGGGGTTAAGCTCAGGGCTCCAGTGGTTTGGGCCTCAGCCTCATGGGTGGAATGCGCCTGCCACCCCCAGGCTAGACGAGGGGGCAGAGGGTCAGGGTGGGCATTCGTTGTGCCGCTTTTGAGCTTTGTGGGCCAGAGCTGGGTGTAGGGCTGGACAATGAGCCTCCTCTTCCTTGAAAGAAGGAATTTTGGCTGAGACAATAGGGCCCTGTCTGTTCTGGCATGGGGGGTGGTGGCTGACTCAATTCTGTTCCCCCTAAGCCCTAACAAATGTCATGAAGAGAGGGGGGCAGTTTTCCCCTTGGTGCCCTGGGCTGCCCCCCTGCCCCTTTGTGACGACTTGCCCTTCTAGCTTTCCTCAGCTGATCTTGCTTTTTCTCCCATAACCTGAACTGCTTTGTTCCCTGCAGCTGGTTCTCTCCCTGCCCCCTAACTCTCCCCTAGTCTGTTTTGGGTTCAAGGGGGTACTGGTGGTGTTACAGAGCTCATAGCTTCTGATCTGGGGAGTCCAGAAATAGGGGCCTCAGAGGGTTGGAAAGATACTTCTAGGGAGCCCTTTGCTGGGGTGGGGATGAGGGTAGTGGGACTTGACCCTACTGAGCTGACCCTGCTGGAGCTAAGGAGGAGGCTTGTGGGAGGGGGCAGGAATGGGAGGACTCTCTGGCCCAGCCCCTCCTCTCCTTCTTAGCCTGCCAGGCCCACCCACCAGTCTGAGCTGCTTCTGCTGAGGCTGGTCTGCTTGAAGCCTCCCAGGAGAAAGAAGCCAGGTGGGAATGGAGAGAGAGAGGAAGGCAAGTGGGGAGAGAATTTCAAATGGGGAAAGAGTGGGGTTTACTCAGAGCCTTAGGGTGGGCATGAGTTGCGGGGTGTTTTGTTGGAGCAAGGGATGTGCATTTAGGGCGTTATGTGACGGTGTGGGTATATGAGGGGAGTAGCAGTGTGTGAAAGGTGTGGAGTTTCCAGGTGCTTGGTTTGTGTGTACGGTGTGAAGGTATATAGCTAGGGGTTTTTTTTGTTTGTTTGTTTTGTTTGTTTTTTTGAGACGGAGTCTTGCTCTGTCGCCCAGGCTAGAGTGCAGTGGCATGATCTTGGTTCACTGCAACCTCTGCCTCCAGGGTTCAAGGGATTCTCCTGCCTCAGCTTCCCGAGTAGCTGGGATTACAGGCGTCCACCACTGCGCCTGGCTAATTTTTTGTATTTTTTAGTAGAGATGGGGTTTCACCATCTTGGCCAGGCTGGTCTCGAACTCCTGACCTCATGATCCACCCACCTCAGCCTCCCAAAGTGCTGGGATTACAGGTGTGAGCCACCGCGCCCAACCAGCTAGGGTTTTGAAGGTATGAAGTTATAAGAGGGCATGTTAAAGACAGGAGGGTTGGCCAGGCATGGTGGCTCACACCTGTAATCCCAGCACTTTGGGAGGCCAAGGCAGGCGGATCACCTGAAGTCGGGAGTTCGAGACCAGCCTGACCAACATGGAGAAACCCCGTCTCTACTAAAAATACAAAACAAAATTAGCCGGGCGTGGTGGCAGGCGCCTGTAGTCCCAGCTACTCGGGAGGCTGAGGCAGGAGAATGGCATGAACCCGGGAGGCGGAGCTTGCAGCAAGCCGAGATCGCACCACTGCACTCCAGCCAGGGTGACAGCGAGACTCCGTCTCAAAAAACAACAACAAAAAAAAAACCAAAAAAAAAAAACCCTAGCTATATACCCTCACACCCTACAAAACAAAACAAAACAAAATTAGCCAGGCGTGGTGGCGCATGCCTGTAATCCCAGCTATTTGGGAGGCTGAGGCAGGAGAATCACTTGAACCTGGGGGGCGGAGGTCGTGCGGTGAGGCAAGAACATGCCATTGCATTCCAGCCTGGGTAGTAAGAGCGAAACTCCTTCTCAAAAACAAAAACAAAAAAAAACCCAAAAAAAGACAGGAGGGTCATAAGGGGAGGGTTGACTGTGTGTCCCTCCAGGTTGTGCAGAGGGGATTAGAAGTAAGTAGGTTAGAGGGGAGGTGGAGGGAGTGTGCTGGGGTGTGAGCTTTTATGATGCTGAAAGGATCATGATATGCTAAGGACAGGATAGTGTTGGGTTGTACACACAGGTGTAGGCAATCCTGGTGGCTAGTATGTAAAAGTGAATGTCCTGACTCCCTTAGAGGGTACCTGCAGAGTGCCCTTGGAGGGACTAGTGCTGGAGAAATTAATAGGAGAGGGGACGGGCATCCATTAACCTTTTCTTGCCTGCAGCCTGTAGGGTCCAGCGTCAAAGCGAATCATGGGGTCCAGGGCTGAGCTGTGCACTCTCTTAGGCGGATTCTCCTTCCTCCTGCTACTGATACCAGGCGAGGGGGCCAAGGGTGGATCCCTCAGAGAGAGGTGACAACAGAGGGGGTAGGGCCCGGGGTGAGCTCTTCTCAGGAGCCTTCTGCTGGGGGTGGGGCTTCACAGGAGGCAAAACATAACTGTAAGTTTAGAATGGGGGTGAGAGGCTGTCATCTGGAGGGAGAGCGGGGGGCCTCAGTAGCCTCTTGAGGGAAGTGGGACTCCTGGCTCCCCAGGGCCTGGCCTACTCAATCTCTCCCACCTCATCCTCTGGCATGGACGCAGTCAGGGAGTCTGCTCCAAGCAGACACTGGTGGTCCCGCTCCACTACAACGAGTCCTACAGCCAACCAGTGTACAAGCCCTACCTGACCTTGTGCGCTGGGAGGCGCATCTGCAGCACTTACAGGTGAGGGATGGGGAGATGGGACCCCAAGAACCCCAACTAGGACCCGTACTCAGGGTCCTGAGCCGGGCGCTGTGTTCCAGGACCATGTACCGCGTTATGTGGCGGGAGGTGAGGCGGGAGGTTCAGCAGACCCATGCAGTGTGCTGCCAGGGCTGGAAGAAGCGGCACCCGGGGGCGCTCACCTGTGAAGGTGAGGCTGGGTCTTCCGGGCCTTGCGGGAGGCGCGCCCCACGGAGCTGGGGAGCTGGGTCGTCGGTTTGAGTCTGAACCCCACTTCCTCTGTCCTCAGCCATCTGCGCCAAGCCTTGCCTGAACGGAGGCGTCTGCGTTAGGCCTGACCAGTGCGAGTGCGCCCCCGGCTGGGGAGGGAAGCACTGTCATGTGGGTGAGTCAGCTTGTCCTCCCCACCTACCCAGGTGCTTGCCCCCGCCCCCTCTCTCAGCCCCTTCCTTTTTTCGGTAACTAGACGTGGATGAATGTAGGACCAGCATCACCCTCTGCTCGCACCATTGTTTTAATACGGCAGGCAGCTTCACCTGCGGCTGCCCCCATGACCTAGTGCTAGGCGTGGACGGGCGCACCTGCATGGAGGGGTCCCCAGAGCCCCCAACCAGTGCCAGCATACTCAGCGTGGCCGGTGAGTGGGCAGGAGTACGGGCCACCCGAGGGACTCGGGACGGGCGTCCGGGCTCGGGTAGTGGTCACACTCTTGGTCTCCTTTGTCCCTAGTTCGGGAGGCGGAAAAAGATGAGCGCGCTCTGAAGCAGGAGATTCACGAGCTGCGAGGGCGCCTGGAGCGGCTGGAGCAGGTGAGCCAAGCCTGCTGGGTGGGGCGAGGCCAGACGTCACTGTCAATACCCTGAGGCATCTCTTCCTTTCTAGTGGGCCGGTCAGGCTGGGGCCTGGGTCAGAGCGGTGCTGCCCGTGCCGCCTGAAGAGCTGCAGCCAGAACAGGTGGCTGAGCTGTGGGGCCGGGGTGACCGGATCGAATCTCTCAGCGACCAGGTGCTGCTGCTGGAGGAGAGGCTAGGTGCCTGTGAGTCCTCACACTCCTCCCGCCTTGACTTCTATTCCCCAACTTTCCCCAAGACCCCTCTCCATTCAGGCATTCCCTCTTTCCTCCAAGCCCCTCTCCAACATTCACTATCCTCATGCCTCTCCACTTTACCATCGTTCTCTTCTGAAATCCTGTCCCCAGCCCAACAGTTTCACTTATTGTTTGGTGAGAGTGGCAGTGTAGTCCACTCCAGGCTGACCACAGCCACTGTGTCTGCCATGTCATTAACCAGGCTCCTGTGAGGACAACAGCCTGGGCCTCGGCGTCAATCATCGATAAGAAGCCTCTACAGCACCCCTGCCCCCTAATTTATACAGAAACCGGACCCACTAATCCTCTGGGATTGGCCGACTGTGAGCTGCAGATAAGGCTATCAGCCACCAAAGAGCAATGAACAATGGAAACTTCAGAGAGCTGAAGAAAGGGGGAGGCCTGTGTTCTTGGCCTGCCCCTGAGTCTTCTGGCTGGGGGCAGGTTGCCTGGGCAAGAACTGCTTCTTCAATTCCTTAACAAATGCAACCACCAACACCCAGATCTCTCTCTCTCTTTATTTTCAGTTTTTTTGCTGTTATCCAGATAATTAATAAAAACCAACCACGCAAAACTGGGTCCCACCCTCTCCTTTTGCTCCCAGCCTACCTCCCCAGTTGTGGGAACAGGTCTGGAGTGAGAGGCAGGGAGTGGCTAATGCCACCAGGAAGAAATGAAAACTGGCTCAGAGAGGGGGAAGCCTCAACAGAAAAAGAAATAAATTAAAAGCCCTCCTATCCCCTCCAGCCAGGGTTCGTTCCTTTCCCCAACTCCCCAGGGGGCAGAAGTGAGTGCAGCACCTGATGTCTGCTTCTTCCCCTTGTGTCTGGTGAGATGGTGCAGCAGGGCTGCAGGGGGCTGGGTGGGGTCATGTCCACTGAAGAACTGTACTATGGGGACAGAAAACCAGAAATGTGGAGACTGAACTGGTATCCCAGAGAGTGCACGACCCTGGGCATCTGGGCAAGGGCAGGCATGAGACCTCTGAATTAGAAGGGTCCAGCCCCCACTGACAGGAGGCTACACTGGGAGGGAAGGTGAAGGTGCTGAGGAAAGCTCCCATGATGAGCCTGGGAGTGCTTCAGGTATCAGCTTCCAGCCAGAGGGCGAGAAGTCCTCCTCACAAATGGATGAGTCCATTGAATCCATGGACTTTGGAGTGGGGGGGATTTGTTCCAAAGAATGGATGAGTCCACTGGCCAATGTGGGGTAGAGGGGTAGAGAAGACCACATAGGAAGAGACTCCACTGGGGATGGAATGTTCCCCTCCCTTGTGTAGGCTGAGTCACTGGAGATGAGGGGGAGGCAACTGTCCCACAGACAAGACAGTAGGAGGTGGGGGTCAAGAGTGGAGACTGCACCGAGGCAAGAGTCCATGGATGGGGCCAAGAGGGGGCAGGAGTGGCGCTGTATCCACATTCACTTCAGAAGTTGAAGATTCCAAAGAGGAGAATAAGTGGGGAGAGGGGAGACAAGGAAGAGGGTTTGGCCCTGCTTCAGGGCCCACTGGGTGGGTAGGTGTGGGGAGGAAGATGGGGACAGATGGGAGGAGAGCTCAGAGCCAGGGTTCACCCACCGCCCCCAGGCTTCTTCAGATAGTCACCACCACCCCGGCCATCAGTGGAGATTTCCCGGAAAACAGTGAGCATGGAGTGCCGGACTCTGTCAGCCAGAGCTGGGACGTCATCTGGTGTCAGCCCTTCCGTGGGCACTGGGGGCAGCACCCGCACCTGACATTGTCCTGGGGCAAGGGGAGCACCATCATGGCCTGTCCACCCAGGTCTTTGCCCACAGGTGGGGCCCAGCTTCCGAGTGATACTCTTCCTCAACCTTTCAGTTCTCTTCCCCCAACCCTGGACAACCATCCCTGGGCTTGCCAGCTGCCACTTCTGAGGCCCTTCTCCTATACAAAGCCTTCTCCAATCCCCAGTTCAGACATCTCCTCAGCACCCCTCCAGCCCCCCTCCTCTGGGTTTGGCATTTACTGCTGAATGAGTGTTATTCATTACAGCTTTGTGCACACAGGCCTTATCTTTCCTGTTAAGATTAGTAACAGCCTCTCTTGGTGGGACCAAGTGCTACCCATCTGGCAGGGTATGGTGGGTGCTTAGTAAAGACTTATTGGCTGATGTGGGGTTAGACTAGATGACTGTGTAGACATCTCATGGCTCTGACACTGAATGATCCCCCTGCCTCACAGGGATGTCCTCCCAGCCTCTCCGGACACACCCTACCCCAGAACTGCTCAAAGCCCTCACCCGAGGTGAAGCGACGCTCCTTCTTGCAGTAGAAGTCTTGGTAGGAGGACATGACTATGGGGACAATGGGAACCTGGGGAAGGGTTAAAGCAGGTCAGTCCACAGCTCTCTTCAGAGACTCCTACAATAAGCCCCTGCCCAGAGATGAGGGAATGGTGGGGGTTGGCAGCTGAGTAGCAGAACGAAGAGCAGTAGTCACCTGGGCCTGCACTGCAAGATGGAAGGCGCCACGTTTGAAGGGCAGCATGGAGCCATTGTGGTTTCTCGTTCCCTCAGGAAACACCCAGACCCTCACCTGGGGGAGAAAGAGGGTCAAAGAAGACAAATACATATGGAGGAGTCAGAATAGGTGTGATGTTATAATGGGACCTTTGAGGCCCACTGGCCCTGCATATCAGTTTATTTACAACTGTTCTACTCTGTATCCCTCCAATCCCCCATTTCCCCAGGATGACTCACGTCCTGGGTGAGCAGGGTCTGGGCGACCTCAGACATGACACTGATGGCATCCCCCGTGCGCTTCCGGTCGATGAAGATGACTCCTGCCAGCCAGCAGGCCAGCCCGGCAGAGCCAGCCCACAGTAGCTCGCGCTTGGCAATGGGCACACAGCGGCCTGGCAGTACCTCCATCATCCCTTGGGCAGGGTGGGAGTGGGTGAGGATCGGGGTGGAGGCAGAGTGTCACAGAAGGCAACCCACCTCACCCAGCTCATCACCCTCTGGTAGGGACTGGAGGTGAAGGAGGAGACTAGGCAGGGAGGGGGGCCCCAAGTGAAGGAAAGGGTGACCAAAAGTATATGTAACCTGCTTATGAGGGCAGTTCTACCCAGGGAATGAAGGCCTGAGTGGGAGGCAAGGGGGCAATGTCCCAGAGGAAGGGGAATTGAGGATCTCTAGGAGAAGATATTCTAGGGAAGGTTTCAGGAGGGGAGGCATGGCTGGGGGAGGTGTGCCCTGTGGTGGGGTCTCACCAAGCAGATCGAGAGAGCTCTGGTGGTTGGAGACAACAACATAGGGCTGCGAGGGAGGGAAGTGGTGAGCCCCTCGCACCTCCACTCGGATCCCGTACAGGTATTTGATGTGGAGCAGCATTAGACGCAAGATCCTGTGGGGTCATGGCAAGGGGTCCCAGTGGGATCCATTGATGTCCATCTGCATGCCTCAGCTCCCCCCACCTTACTGTCTTTCTGACCACCTTTGCAGTCCTCTCCCCATTCCCTGTCTCTGGTCTCTCTCAGTCTTTTCTACACACACCATGCCCCCTTCCCCCAATCCACTACTCACTTTGTACCCTTAGGTTCCCTCATTGCCCAAGACCCCTTGCCCCTCACTTCATGTTCTCGACGTTGCGTCCTCGCACGGCACACACAGGGATGGCGAGCACAGCCAGGAAGAGGATCCAGCCATTGTAGAAGGCCATCTTGAAGAAGTACTTGGCACTGGGGCTGCAGAACCACAGGGTGGGCAGCAGGAAGAGCAGCAGCAGGAAGAGCAGCAGCAGCAGCATCCATGCCCCTGGCCACAAATCCATTCTGGCCACCTGCAGGGGATGGGGCAAGGGACAATCAGCCTGGTTTCTGGAGGAGAGTGGGGTAGGCAAGGCACAGAAGGCAGGGCTGGGGGCTGGTGCTATGAGGACAAGGGCCTGAGACACAAACTGGGGCAGGGGTCTCATTGAAACCTTCCCAGGAAGGCTCTCTAGGATGAGGGTGGTGGAGAAAGAGCTCAGGACTGCTCTCCCACCACTCTTCCCAAAGGCTCCGGATATATTCAGACAAGAGACACAAGACACAGACATCTACAATTCACAGATACCTGATAATAAATGACAACAAGAATAATAGCTAACACTTGTAGCTGGTAAGGGTCTTATAATGGTCTATACTTGTGCTGTCCGAGAAAGTAGCCACCACCTACATGTGGCTACTTGAAATGCAGCTAGTCTGAACTGAGATGTGCTGGAAATGTAAAATACACATCAGATTTCAAAGACTGAATAAAAAACAAAATGTGAGATATCCATTACTAATCTTTTATGCTGACTACATTTTGAAATTATAATCTTGGGCCGGGCGCAGTGGCTCACGCCTGTAATCCCAGCACTTTGGGAAGCCGAGGTGGGCAGATCACGAGGTCAGGAGTTCAGGACCAGCCTGACCAACATGGTGAAACCCCGTCTCTACTAAAAATACAAAAATTAGCCGGGCCTGTTGGCGCATGCCTTTAATCCCAGCTACTCGGGAGGCTGAGGCAGGAGAATCGCTTGAATCCGGGAGGCGGAGGTTGCAGTGAGCCAAGATCACGCCACTGCACTCTAGCCTGGGCAATGGAGTGAGACTCCATTTCCAAAAAAAAAAAAAGAAATTATAATCTTTTGGATGTTATCAGATTCAAGAAAATATATTACTAAAATTAATTTCACTCTTTTTGCCTTGTAAAAATGTGGCTACCATAAAAAAATTACATTGTGGCTTGCATTATATTTCTGTAGAACAGTACTGGTCTATACATTAAGTTAAACTCTTAAAATGATGCATATGATAGTCTAGAAAGTACTATTACTATTTACATTTTATAGGAAATAGGCCCAGGGAGGCTAAATAACTTACCTGAGGTCATACAGCTCCTAAACAGCAGTTTCTAGGTTAAATCTAAGCCGCCTGTGTTCCTAACCACTCCATTACGCTGACACTGGTATGTATTGCATATATATATACGAACACAGCACACAGCATATATGGTGATTGTGACAGAACACTCACAGCCATATACCCAAGGGCCAAATGGCAAGATTAAAAGTTCGTGTCACTAATGCCAACAGACACACAGTCATACAAAGACTAACATGTTCACACATAGACACAAATTTATAATTACACCCAGTGACAGATAAAAGAATGTAAATGCATAACTAGAAAAATCCCTCTCCACCCAGGCAGCTCCCCTATTCCTAGGTAAACTTATGGACATACCTGGAATAGCTACAAAGACCAATCCTACCTCCAGACAGGCAAACGAATCCTACTACCCTTTCCCTTCCTTCTAGTGACACTTTGCGTGGGCAGGTACAGTGTGTGAGGCCTCACCAAGTGAAAAAAGGAGGGAATGGAGTAAAGGTGACCTAACAGCACTTGCCCTGGGAGAGGAAAGGGCTCAAGAGGAAGAGAGGCAGGAACACAGAACCTGTGTTCTAGGTTCTTCCTCCTTCCTCCACTCTGCCCCAGTGTTGGGGGCAGGGTAACAATTCACAAAAAGGGTGTTCAGGCAAATACCTGTCATTCCTACTGAGGCCACAGGCACTGTCTTCCCATGATGGGAAGGGCTATGCTCAAAGGTAAGCCTATTGCCAAGCGAGAAGGTAACAGGCAATAGAGGAAACAGGAGACCCTGCCAGTTGGAATACCGTAGGCTTTCTGAGCTGCTCCATCCCACTGCCCCTACAAGTTCAGAACAGCATCATTTCTCCCCTGAACTATGTGGAGTAGGCTCCCAACTCCCTCCAATCCATCTTCCACGTAGCAACCACAGAGATTTTTCTGTTAGCACAGATTTTTCTGAAACACAGAGCATTTCCCTGTCTTGCCTAAAGGCTCTTCTTGATAAGTTGACTTCTGCTTACATCTTCGACCACATCCTCACAAAACTCTTTGTTCCAGTCAAACTGATTCACTTCAGTTCCTCAGACACCATGATCTTTCATGCTTCCCCACCTTGAACATGCTGTTCCCTTTGGCTGGAATGCCTGTCTCTTCTCCTGCCTCACACAGCTCAGTGTCACCTTTTGGAGGGCTGCCTGAACCCCTCCAGGCCTGTGCTTTCCTTACACTTTTATCTTGATCAGCGGGTCTCGAAGTATAGAAATGCAAATTATTAGACTTCACCCCAGATCTACTGAATCAGAAATTCTGGGCATTAGGTCCAGCAATCTGTTTTTCTTTTTCTCACTCTGTCACTCAGGCTGGTTTTGAACTCCTGGACTCACGCGATCCTCCTGCCTCAGCCTTCCAAACTGTTGGGATTACAGGTGTGAGCCATCGTGGCTGGCTAGCAATCTGTATTTCAACAAGCCCTCTGGTGAGTCTGATGTGCGCCTGAATTTAAGAACCACTGATCTTGACAACACACTATGTGTTGACTGGCGTTTTTGTTTCCCTCCTTAGGCTGTAAGCAGCTTAAGGACAGGGACTCTGTCTTATCTCCAGTGCCAGGACAATAGGAGATGGAGTAGGTGCTCAATAAACACTTGCTGAACAGATTCTAAGGCTGTATACCCACCCATAGAGCCACAGTTAATGACAGAGATGGCGGTTCTGATCACAAATTAGATAGTTATCCTCTTGAGTAGAAGTGACTACTAAAAGAAGTCACTGAGAAAGTAACGAACACACCAAGCCTAATGGTAACCGACTCTGAATAGATACATGCAATACATAGCCATAATGAAGGCAGAGTAACAATAATCAGGAAGAGGTCATCTCACAAGAGAAATGTACCGAATGGGATCAAGATGCCACAGGGAAAGATGCTGCTCTCATCAAATGTGTGCCAACAGTGCAAAGAATGGAGGATAATGTCCATAAATAAATACCAACAATGGGGTTCACAGCAGGATTGACCCTGTGACATGCATTGAGCTCATGGACACAGACTGTACACAGCCACTGGAAAGATAATGTTTGTGTAGAGAGGTATGGGCCAGGGAGGTCACCAAGGTAAGGCATGCAGGGATGGTTCTTTGCAGACCTGGAGACCCAGTTACCTTCTTCTCTTAACACTTGATATTAAGTGACCCTCTTTGGAGAACAAAAGTCCAAGGATTTAGAAATGCAATGGAGGGCCAAATTTAATGAGCATACGGCTCACAAAATATACTGATGACAAATTTATAACACACATTCTATGGTCCTGTTACATCAGTGTATCATGCAAAGGCGCATACACATGTGTTCTGTGAACTGTGACTGGGAAAACACAGCAAACAGGCCAATTCAGTCAGACATCAGAGTGTGGGGTATTCAGCCAAGCCATGGGATCCCACACATGAAGACTACTGCAAATGGTAGGACCATGGACATGTCAGCCAAAGCAAAATAAGGTATATAACCTTCACATGCTGAAATAAACATGCCAAAACATAAAATGTGCAAGTAACATGAAATTATAGAACAGGTGCAATATATGAAAACTCACACACATGCGGTACTTAAAACATGTCAAAACTGGATGTGAGACATGGACACAAGAATGAAGAATGGGCAATTCTGATAGAAAATAACACACCATTTCTACACAGCCTATGGATAGCATTGGGACAACCTAGTTGCACACAAGCCATTAAACATGTCAAAGGCACACAGACTCAATGTAGAAAACATGGCTCCCATAAGGCATTTGTGTGTCAGTAAGGGTCTAGCAGTGTGGAAGGCCACTGAGAAACAAGAGGTCCTGTGCCTAGATGGAAACAGAGGCACCTAAGGGTATTCCTAAGAGGCAAATTCTGCTGGCCTTCTCCCCTCATGACCCTTCAAGAGTCATGTGGGGTCAAAGGGCAAGAAAAGGAATTGGGGAAGGTGTAGGGAATTCCCTCTCCAGGATTCCCTGTGCACGCTCCCAGTCCCAAATTCACAAGGGTTTCCATTTCTCCTCCCTCCCAGGTCTCTTCCATCCTTCCTCCCTCTCAGGTCCCCTCTCCTATCCCCAGCAACCCTCTTCCCAGTCGGCCCCTCTCCTTTCCCCAGCAACCCTCTCCCCCAGTCGGCCCTCCCAGACCCAATCTCTCCCCTTCCCCTCATCCTAGTCGCTTTCAGCACCCTCTTCCCTCCTCCTCCCATCCCTTTCCCGCCCACACCTCAGAGGGGTAGGGGGCCTGGGGGGCTGGCCCCCTCCCCAGCCAGGCTGCGGCAGCGGTGGTGGCGGATGGCTGTGTCTCTGTCTCTGTCGGGGTGTCGGTGCCAAGGGGGCGACGGGATTTGGGGGTGTCCTAGCCCCGGCCGATGGAGGGGAGGTGGGAGTGGGAGGTTGGGCCCATAGCGGTAGGAATGGTGGGGGGCTGTCCCCCCAGCACCCTCCCTCCCTCCCTTTCTGCTGTCTCTCTGAGGGCTGGGGCTGCTGCCGCCGCTATTCCCCCGCCACCCCTCCCCAACGCCTGCTGGTTTCCGGGGCCGGCCAGGAAGTGGAGGGCGGTGATGGGCAGCCTGTTTTGCCAATCGTCTCCCAGAAACTCTGGCATCTCCTCCCCACATCTACCAGTGTCCTCTTGCGAGCCCCGCCCCAGGGCTCTCCCTCGGTCTTTGCCCCCATCTCTGGCTCCAGCTGCATCTTTTTTTTCTCTAACTCCCTTTCAGCTCTGGATCCCCTGGTGCTGTATTCCTCCTTCCGCACATTCCTTCCTTTATTCTCCATCAGCTCTCTTTTAACTGCCACTTTTACTTGGTCTCTTTTTTTCTCAACTCCGGTTATCTGCTGCTTATTCCCCCCAACTATTCTTAAGGACCCCTTTTCCCGTACCCATTCAATTCTAAACATTTATCAAGCATCTACCTACCATATGACAAGCATTAAGTTCACCTCTCTTCTTTTTCTCTCCAGGACTCCATCTCACTCCATCTCACTCTCCAGTCCTCTGGTCTGGTTTCCTTTGCCCTTTGTCCCTCACTATCTCCCAGCAGTCCAGCTCCCCCCTCCACCTGCCTTCTCTGGCCTTTAAAGAGAAGAGATCTCTTTGGCCTTATCCCTGACCCTTTCCTTTTCCATGCTCTTTTACCTCTGTACCTTTTCTTTCCTACTTCCTTCGTATCAGTCTCCTTACTTGCCCAAGCTGAGACAACCCCTTCTCACAACATACAATATGGGTACATCTTTTCTTCCAATGGAAATTTGGCTTCAGGGGTGCTTTCTAGAAAAATAAAAAGTGAGGAAGAATGCCGATTCCTCTGGAATGCGCGTGCCTCCTTAATTTGGTAGCCATGTATCTAGTTTTCCACCCCCTCTTCTCTTCCTCCACTCCCATTATCCCTTTACTAGGATCATTCCATCACTTCACTCTCCTTCATTTCCACCTTTCCCTCTCAATATCTTCCTTCCTAAACCTCAAGCTTCCTGAATCCTCATCTGCCCCAGTCCTTCTTTACGCAACTGCTAACTTCTCATCTTTCCTTACTCTTGAGTCACATGGGATCTTTTATCAAGGTCCCCCCTCTAGCCACACCTTTACCCTGCATTAGTTTACATGCCCTCGGGAAGAGGATTGGTAGTGGGAGGACTGTTACCTAATTCTGCTCCTTTAGTCACAGTGAGGGTCAGTGATTGTAGGAAAAGCCCAAACTCCCCGGGGTCCAACCTGGGAAGAAGACCCTATTTCTGATGGGCAAATTATAAAGAGGAAAGGGCGGGTCTAGCCTCCGCGGGTCTCCTTAAAAGGGGCGGGCTTTGTCCCTTTTGCACCACTCACAAAGGGGTTGAGCCCAGAGCTTTCCTGCTCTGAAGGTTTAAAACGGAGTTGAAGTCAATCCTGTTCTACTCTGTGTACAACATTAAGAAAGGGGTGGGCCTTTAGTTCAGTTTTGCTCTGTAAATCACCTAATATGGGGAGGGCTGAGTCGTCCAGCCGAATGAGTTGGGTTAACACCAGCGCCGCAGATCGATGTTCCCACTATCCAAACGTCGGGCTAATCCCAGTTCTGCTCCCTTAACTAAAAGGGAGGGGCAGACCCAAGTTCTGCTCTCTACGTCACCAAAGGAGGTTGGAGCCATTTTGAACCCTGCGACCCTAGTGTTTTCCCTCTTTTCCTAGCTCTTCGCCGTCTTTCCCGATGTCGGCCAATCAGGGGAAAAGGAAAAGGCCCAATCAGCAGAAAGTCCACAGCTGAAGGACCCGGATGAAGCGAGCCTAGGACTTTGAAGTGCAAGCCTCGCCAATTGTAGAGCAGTCACCATGGCGACAAGATAGGGGTGAAGAGGTGGAAAAAGAGAAGGTTAAACCCTCACAGGATTGGCCCACCCCCGTCCCGCCGCGTGCTGCGCAGGCGCGTTTTACCTAACCACCATTTTCCGTCAAGTTTTAGCCAATGAGTTGATTTGGAGCCATACGCTCCAAAGTCCAATAGCAATCCGGACATTCTCTAAAAGAGGAAGCGAAGGAAAGAAAGGGGCTTATAGTGGGCGAGGTCTATAGGTAGTCCCGAGCAAATTGCTTATGGCTTTGGTTATGACTGACAACTACTCAGACGAATAAAGCCCTCCTTGGCCAGGCGACAGCGTGTAGCGAGTTATTACCAATCCCTTGGCATTGCACATTGACTTAGACCGTATCAGCCAATAGCCATTGTGCGAAGGCAGGACTGCACTAACCTTTTCCCGCCCCTACCCTTTGGGCCAATCCTTTCTTTTGAATTCTTTGTGACTGGCAGGCATTCAGACCAATAGTGATTAGGAAACCTTGAAGCCTGCCCAACGATCGTGGGCAGGAGGTGGTTTCTGGTTTGTTGGGGCGTGTGTATGTGTATTTGGGGGGACTGAAGGGTACGTGGGGCGAAACAAAACCGGCCATGGCAGCAGCGGAGGAGGAGGACGGGGGCCCCGAAGGGCCAAATCGCGAGCGGGGCGGGGCGGGCGCGACCTTCGAATGTAATATATGTTTGGAGACTGCTCGGGAAGCTGTGGTCAGTGTGTGTGGCCACCTGTACTGGTGAGAATCGAGGAGGGGGGCGGGAGGTGGTGGGTCTCGCTTATATACTGGAGAGGCTAGGAGCGAATAATCATACAGTCATACAGATAATCGGAGGGCACGTTCCCATAGGTGAAGCCCGACAGGAGACATAAGACTTTGCTGGTATGTGTGGGTGGGAGTATAACGGTCGAGATCTGTGGAAAGAAAGGTCTTAGGAACCAGGAGCTGAGGCACGTGATGTGCTGAGAAGAGAAGGTGGGGCGGGGAGTGGCAGGACAATGTGAGACCCGAGCCACCTTACCCCAGAGAAGTGAGGGGTCTTAGCTGTGCAGGTGGAAACAAGTGAGACACAAAGGTTAAGGGAGGCACGCATCAGTTGAGTCGGGGAGAACCAGGAAATATGGATCACATTCAGATGAGATCTGGGAGGGGGCTGGTATAAGGGCACTGTGGAGAGGCAGACTTGAAAGGTTAAAGGGTCATAAAGATAGGGACATTATTGAGCTTGAAAGTGAGTAATGGGGGAATGTGCTAGTAAAGGGGTTTGGTTTGGAGTGATGGGGTTGGGGTTGAAAAGAGGAGACCCAGAAAGAGGTGGCTGAAGGAAATTAGAAATTAACTTGAAAGGCAGAAAAGAGAGGGCACGAAAATTTGTATGTGTTTGTTGGGGAGAGGAGAAAGGAGAGGGTTGAGTGTGTTGAGGATGGACAGAGCTTTAGGTGTTGGAAGATCAGACAAGCAGGAAGGCTAACTAAGTTGGCTGGCATGGTAGAGGTTGCAGAAAATCTGAAAAGCAACAGCAGGTTGCTTGGGAAGAGGGGTTAGATGGGATTCTGCGAAGTCTAGGGTCTGTGTCTCTCTTTTCTGTAGCTAGTTTGACCTTTTTTTTTTTTTCTCCCCCATCCAGTTGGCCATGTCTTCATCAGGTGCGTACTCAGGAGATGAAGAGGGAAATGGGGAGGTCTGAGGAGCTGTAAGACCCTCTTGTATACTGGAAACCACCTTTTTTCTCCCCAGTGGCTGGAGACACGGCCAGAACGGCAAGAGTGTCCAGTATGTAAAGCTGGGATCAGCAGAGAGAAGGTTGTCCCGCTTTATGGGCGAGGGAGCCAGAAGCCCCAGGATCCCAGGTGAGAGACTGGAGGTGTTGCTTAGGGAAGATTGAAGGCTTCTGCCCTTGGAAAACGGTGTGGAAGATGGGAGGAGAAAAATCCCTGTTAACTTTCTCTCTCCACTTCCTCAGATTAAAAACTCCACCCCGCCCCCAGGGCCAGAGACCAGCTCCGGAGAGCAGAGGGGTGAGTCTTCTTGTCCAGTTGTGTCCCTTCCTTGACAGATTTGCCGGCTTCCTGTCTGACTTTTTCTGCCTCCCTAGGGATTCCAGCCATTTGGTGATACCGGGGGCTTCCACTTCTCATTTGGTGTTGGTGCTTTTCCCTTTGGCTTTTTCACCACCGTCTTCAATGCCCATGAGCCTTTCCGCCGGGGTACAGGTAAGAGTCACACTCAGCTCCCATCAGGGAGCCCTGTGAATCCCCTCAGGCCCCCTCCCAGCCTAGGAGCATATGCTTCCACAGCTTTCCTCTCTCCCACAGGTGTGGATCTGGGACAGGGTCACCCAGCCTCCAGCTGGCAGGATTCCCTCTTCCTGTTTCTCGCCATCTTCTTCTTTTTTTGGCTGCTCAGTATTTGAGCTATGTCTGCTTCCTGCCCACCTCCAGCCAGAGAAGAATCAGTATTGAGGGTCCCTGCTGACCCTTCCGTACTCCTGGACCCCCTTGACCCCTCTATTTCTGTTGGCTAAGGCCAGCCCTGGACATTGTCCAGGAAGGCCTGGGGAGGAGGAGTGAAGTCTGTGCATAGATGGGAGAGCCTTCTGCTCAGAGGCTCACTCAGTAACGTTGTTTAATTCTCTGCCCTGGGGAAGGAGGATGGATTGAGAGAATGTCTTTCTCCTCTCCTAAGTCTTTGCTTTCCCTGATTTCTTGATTTGATCTTCAAAGGTGGGCAAAGTTCCCTCTGACTCTTCCCCCACTCCCCATCTTACTGATTTAATTTAATTTTTCACTCCCCAGAGTCTAATATGGATTCTGACTCTTAAGTGCTTCCGCCCCCTCACTACCTCCTTTAATACAAATTCAATAAAAAAGGTGAAATATATTGATGGGATCTCTTCCCAAGTTCGCCCCCACCCCCGACAGAAGCATCTTCTCCCCAACTTGAGTAGATGTTTGGTATAGTATGGTGAAGTATGGGGGTGAGTCCCTTTCCTTCAGGGCCCTCAAGGGTATAGGGGTGAGGTTGTGTCTCATACACACACACAGACACACAAGAGCAAGATGTGTCAGGTGTTTAATCATCATTGTGGGGGGCTCTGGTTGTAGAAGAAAGCTTGGCAAGGTGGGGTTATACAGGAGAGAGATTATACAGGAGAGAGTTGGTCTGAGGCCAGAACAGTTCAAGGGAAAAAGAAAAGGGAGCTGATGGATGGGATCTGTCTGTGGGCCCCTCAAGGCCCTCCAGTACTACTCTCGCCTGCCTCAGGTTCCTCCGACTGATTCAGTTCTGCACGCTCCTCC